>NC_000005.10:112837079-113140110 GCF_000001405.40 Homo sapiens
AATCTAAGAGCTTATAATGTGCACTGACTGCAGAAAAATCTTCAATCAATTCTATCTACCTCTTCCAAGATAACTCAATATCAATATCAGAGTGGCACCCAACCATAGATTAAATTACCACAAAGTTCCTATTCAACATAGGATTTCATGATATAGTTTTTAAATTGGGAAACTGTTATATGAATAGAGTAAATGTATGTGCCCCACCCCCTGCAAATGTTTTAAGCTATTGGGTCAGAATAGGAAATGTAGAATTGACAAAAAATAACACCTTTACTTTTTTTAGTGTGACAGATTAGTACTTTAAAACATTAAACATTACATGAAATTAGAACAAAAGGAGATGTGGAATACTTGGAATTTATAGGATAATTGGTACAATCATATTATGCCTTTTGTCTTCTATCCTTTTATTTGTTGTTACTGCATACACATTGTGACCTTAATTTTGTGATCTCTTGATTTTATTTCAGGCAAATCCTAAGAGAGAACAACTGTCTACAAACTTTATTACAACACTTAAAATCTCATAGTTTGACAATAGTCAGTAATGCATGTGGAACTTTGTGGAATCTCTCAGCAAGAAATCCTAAAGACCAGGAAGCATTATGGGACATGGGGGCAGTTAGCATGCTCAAGAACCTCATTCATTCAAAGCACAAAATGATTGCTATGGGAAGTGCTGCAGCTTTAAGGAATCTCATGGCAAATAGGCCTGCGAAGTACAAGGATGCCAATATTATGTCTCCTGGCTCAAGCTTGCCATCTCTTCATGTTAGGAAACAAAAAGCCCTAGAAGCAGAATTAGATGCTCAGCACTTATCAGAAACTTTTGACAATATAGACAATTTAAGTCCCAAGGCATCTCATCGTAGTAAGCAGAGACACAAGCAAAGTCTCTATGGTGATTATGTTTTTGACACCAATCGACATGATGATAATAGGTCAGACAATTTTAATACTGGCAACATGACTGTCCTTTCACCATATTTGAATACTACAGTGTTACCCAGCTCCTCTTCATCAAGAGGAAGCTTAGATAGTTCTCGTTCTGAAAAAGATAGAAGTTTGGAGAGAGAACGCGGAATTGGTCTAGGCAACTACCATCCAGCAACAGAAAATCCAGGAACTTCTTCAAAGCGAGGTTTGCAGATCTCCACCACTGCAGCCCAGATTGCCAAAGTCATGGAAGAAGTGTCAGCCATTCATACCTCTCAGGAAGACAGAAGTTCTGGGTCTACCACTGAATTACATTGTGTGACAGATGAGAGAAATGCACTTAGAAGAAGCTCTGCTGCCCATACACATTCAAACACTTACAATTTCACTAAGTCGGAAAATTCAAATAGGACATGTTCTATGCCTTATGCCAAATTAGAATACAAGAGATCTTCAAATGATAGTTTAAATAGTGTCAGTAGTAGTGATGGTTATGGTAAAAGAGGTCAAATGAAACCCTCGATTGAATCCTATTCTGAAGATGATGAAAGTAAGTTTTGCAGTTATGGTCAATACCCAGCCGACCTAGCCCATAAAATACATAGTGCAAATCATATGGATGATAATGATGGAGAACTAGATACACCAATAAATTATAGTCTTAAATATTCAGATGAGCAGTTGAACTCTGGAAGGCAAAGTCCTTCACAGAATGAAAGATGGGCAAGACCCAAACACATAATAGAAGATGAAATAAAACAAAGTGAGCAAAGACAATCAAGGAATCAAAGTACAACTTATCCTGTTTATACTGAGAGCACTGATGATAAACACCTCAAGTTCCAACCACATTTTGGACAGCAGGAATGTGTTTCTCCATACAGGTCACGGGGAGCCAATGGTTCAGAAACAAATCGAGTGGGTTCTAATCATGGAATTAATCAAAATGTAAGCCAGTCTTTGTGTCAAGAAGATGACTATGAAGATGATAAGCCTACCAATTATAGTGAACGTTACTCTGAAGAAGAACAGCATGAAGAAGAAGAGAGACCAACAAATTATAGCATAAAATATAATGAAGAGAAACGTCATGTGGATCAGCCTATTGATTATAGTTTAAAATATGCCACAGATATTCCTTCATCACAGAAACAGTCATTTTCATTCTCAAAGAGTTCATCTGGACAAAGCAGTAAAACCGAACATATGTCTTCAAGCAGTGAGAATACGTCCACACCTTCATCTAATGCCAAGAGGCAGAATCAGCTCCATCCAAGTTCTGCACAGAGTAGAAGTGGTCAGCCTCAAAAGGCTGCCACTTGCAAAGTTTCTTCTATTAACCAAGAAACAATACAGACTTATTGTGTAGAAGATACTCCAATATGTTTTTCAAGATGTAGTTCATTATCATCTTTGTCATCAGCTGAAGATGAAATAGGATGTAATCAGACGACACAGGAAGCAGATTCTGCTAATACCCTGCAAATAGCAGAAATAAAAGAAAAGATTGGAACTAGGTCAGCTGAAGATCCTGTGAGCGAAGTTCCAGCAGTGTCACAGCACCCTAGAACCAAATCCAGCAGACTGCAGGGTTCTAGTTTATCTTCAGAATCAGCCAGGCACAAAGCTGTTGAATTTTCTTCAGGAGCGAAATCTCCCTCCAAAAGTGGTGCTCAGACACCCAAAAGTCCACCTGAACACTATGTTCAGGAGACCCCACTCATGTTTAGCAGATGTACTTCTGTCAGTTCACTTGATAGTTTTGAGAGTCGTTCGATTGCCAGCTCCGTTCAGAGTGAACCATGCAGTGGAATGGTAAGTGGCATTATAAGCCCCAGTGATCTTCCAGATAGCCCTGGACAAACCATGCCACCAAGCAGAAGTAAAACACCTCCACCACCTCCTCAAACAGCTCAAACCAAGCGAGAAGTACCTAAAAATAAAGCACCTACTGCTGAAAAGAGAGAGAGTGGACCTAAGCAAGCTGCAGTAAATGCTGCAGTTCAGAGGGTCCAGGTTCTTCCAGATGCTGATACTTTATTACATTTTGCCACGGAAAGTACTCCAGATGGATTTTCTTGTTCATCCAGCCTGAGTGCTCTGAGCCTCGATGAGCCATTTATACAGAAAGATGTGGAATTAAGAATAATGCCTCCAGTTCAGGAAAATGACAATGGGAATGAAACAGAATCAGAGCAGCCTAAAGAATCAAATGAAAACCAAGAGAAAGAGGCAGAAAAAACTATTGATTCTGAAAAGGACCTATTAGATGATTCAGATGATGATGATATTGAAATACTAGAAGAATGTATTATTTCTGCCATGCCAACAAAGTCATCACGTAAAGCAAAAAAGCCAGCCCAGACTGCTTCAAAATTACCTCCACCTGTGGCAAGGAAACCAAGTCAGCTGCCTGTGTACAAACTTCTACCATCACAAAACAGGTTGCAACCCCAAAAGCATGTTAGTTTTACACCGGGGGATGATATGCCACGGGTGTATTGTGTTGAAGGGACACCTATAAACTTTTCCACAGCTACATCTCTAAGTGATCTAACAATCGAATCCCCTCCAAATGAGTTAGCTGCTGGAGAAGGAGTTAGAGGAGGGGCACAGTCAGGTGAATTTGAAAAACGAGATACCATTCCTACAGAAGGCAGAAGTACAGATGAGGCTCAAGGAGGAAAAACCTCATCTGTAACCATACCTGAATTGGATGACAATAAAGCAGAGGAAGGTGATATTCTTGCAGAATGCATTAATTCTGCTATGCCCAAAGGGAAAAGTCACAAGCCTTTCCGTGTGAAAAAGATAATGGACCAGGTCCAGCAAGCATCTGCGTCTTCTTCTGCACCCAACAAAAATCAGTTAGATGGTAAGAAAAAGAAACCAACTTCACCAGTAAAACCTATACCACAAAATACTGAATATAGGACACGTGTAAGAAAAAATGCAGACTCAAAAAATAATTTAAATGCTGAGAGAGTTTTCTCAGACAACAAAGATTCAAAGAAACAGAATTTGAAAAATAATTCCAAGGTCTTCAATGATAAGCTCCCAAATAATGAAGATAGAGTCAGAGGAAGTTTTGCTTTTGATTCACCTCATCATTACACGCCTATTGAAGGAACTCCTTACTGTTTTTCACGAAATGATTCTTTGAGTTCTCTAGATTTTGATGATGATGATGTTGACCTTTCCAGGGAAAAGGCTGAATTAAGAAAGGCAAAAGAAAATAAGGAATCAGAGGCTAAAGTTACCAGCCACACAGAACTAACCTCCAACCAACAATCAGCTAATAAGACACAAGCTATTGCAAAGCAGCCAATAAATCGAGGTCAGCCTAAACCCATACTTCAGAAACAATCCACTTTTCCCCAGTCATCCAAAGACATACCAGACAGAGGGGCAGCAACTGATGAAAAGTTACAGAATTTTGCTATTGAAAATACTCCGGTTTGCTTTTCTCATAATTCCTCTCTGAGTTCTCTCAGTGACATTGACCAAGAAAACAACAATAAAGAAAATGAACCTATCAAAGAGACTGAGCCCCCTGACTCACAGGGAGAACCAAGTAAACCTCAAGCATCAGGCTATGCTCCTAAATCATTTCATGTTGAAGATACCCCAGTTTGTTTCTCAAGAAACAGTTCTCTCAGTTCTCTTAGTATTGACTCTGAAGATGACCTGTTGCAGGAATGTATAAGCTCCGCAATGCCAAAAAAGAAAAAGCCTTCAAGACTCAAGGGTGATAATGAAAAACATAGTCCCAGAAATATGGGTGGCATATTAGGTGAAGATCTGACACTTGATTTGAAAGATATACAGAGACCAGATTCAGAACATGGTCTATCCCCTGATTCAGAAAATTTTGATTGGAAAGCTATTCAGGAAGGTGCAAATTCCATAGTAAGTAGTTTACATCAAGCTGCTGCTGCTGCATGTTTATCTAGACAAGCTTCGTCTGATTCAGATTCCATCCTTTCCCTGAAATCAGGAATCTCTCTGGGATCACCATTTCATCTTACACCTGATCAAGAAGAAAAACCCTTTACAAGTAATAAAGGCCCACGAATTCTAAAACCAGGGGAGAAAAGTACATTGGAAACTAAAAAGATAGAATCTGAAAGTAAAGGAATCAAAGGAGGAAAAAAAGTTTATAAAAGTTTGATTACTGGAAAAGTTCGATCTAATTCAGAAATTTCAGGCCAAATGAAACAGCCCCTTCAAGCAAACATGCCTTCAATCTCTCGAGGCAGGACAATGATTCATATTCCAGGAGTTCGAAATAGCTCCTCAAGTACAAGTCCTGTTTCTAAAAAAGGCCCACCCCTTAAGACTCCAGCCTCCAAAAGCCCTAGTGAAGGTCAAACAGCCACCACTTCTCCTAGAGGAGCCAAGCCATCTGTGAAATCAGAATTAAGCCCTGTTGCCAGGCAGACATCCCAAATAGGTGGGTCAAGTAAAGCACCTTCTAGATCAGGATCTAGAGATTCGACCCCTTCAAGACCTGCCCAGCAACCATTAAGTAGACCTATACAGTCTCCTGGCCGAAACTCAATTTCCCCTGGTAGAAATGGAATAAGTCCTCCTAACAAATTATCTCAACTTCCAAGGACATCATCCCCTAGTACTGCTTCAACTAAGTCCTCAGGTTCTGGAAAAATGTCATATACATCTCCAGGTAGACAGATGAGCCAACAGAACCTTACCAAACAAACAGGTTTATCCAAGAATGCCAGTAGTATTCCAAGAAGTGAGTCTGCCTCCAAAGGACTAAATCAGATGAATAATGGTAATGGAGCCAATAAAAAGGTAGAACTTTCTAGAATGTCTTCAACTAAATCAAGTGGAAGTGAATCTGATAGATCAGAAAGACCTGTATTAGTACGCCAGTCAACTTTCATCAAAGAAGCTCCAAGCCCAACCTTAAGAAGAAAATTGGAGGAATCTGCTTCATTTGAATCTCTTTCTCCATCATCTAGACCAGCTTCTCCCACTAGGTCCCAGGCACAAACTCCAGTTTTAAGTCCTTCCCTTCCTGATATGTCTCTATCCACACATTCGTCTGTTCAGGCTGGTGGATGGCGAAAACTCCCACCTAATCTCAGTCCCACTATAGAGTATAATGATGGAAGACCAGCAAAGCGCCATGATATTGCACGGTCTCATTCTGAAAGTCCTTCTAGACTTCCAATCAATAGGTCAGGAACCTGGAAACGTGAGCACAGCAAACATTCATCATCCCTTCCTCGAGTAAGCACTTGGAGAAGAACTGGAAGTTCATCTTCAATTCTTTCTGCTTCATCAGAATCCAGTGAAAAAGCAAAAAGTGAGGATGAAAAACATGTGAACTCTATTTCAGGAACCAAACAAAGTAAAGAAAACCAAGTATCCGCAAAAGGAACATGGAGAAAAATAAAAGAAAATGAATTTTCTCCCACAAATAGTACTTCTCAGACCGTTTCCTCAGGTGCTACAAATGGTGCTGAATCAAAGACTCTAATTTATCAAATGGCACCTGCTGTTTCTAAAACAGAGGATGTTTGGGTGAGAATTGAGGACTGTCCCATTAACAATCCTAGATCTGGAAGATCTCCCACAGGTAATACTCCCCCGGTGATTGACAGTGTTTCAGAAAAGGCAAATCCAAACATTAAAGATTCAAAAGATAATCAGGCAAAACAAAATGTGGGTAATGGCAGTGTTCCCATGCGTACCGTGGGTTTGGAAAATCGCCTGAACTCCTTTATTCAGGTGGATGCCCCTGACCAAAAAGGAACTGAGATAAAACCAGGACAAAATAATCCTGTCCCTGTATCAGAGACTAATGAAAGTTCTATAGTGGAACGTACCCCATTCAGTTCTAGCAGCTCAAGCAAACACAGTTCACCTAGTGGGACTGTTGCTGCCAGAGTGACTCCTTTTAATTACAACCCAAGCCCTAGGAAAAGCAGCGCAGATAGCACTTCAGCTCGGCCATCTCAGATCCCAACTCCAGTGAATAACAACACAAAGAAGCGAGATTCCAAAACTGACAGCACAGAATCCAGTGGAACCCAAAGTCCTAAGCGCCATTCTGGGTCTTACCTTGTGACATCTGTTTAAAAGAGAGGAAGAATGAAACTAAGAAAATTCTATGTTAATTACAACTGCTATATAGACATTTTGTTTCAAATGAAACTTTAAAAGACTGAAAAATTTTGTAAATAGGTTTGATTCTTGTTAGAGGGTTTTTGTTCTGGAAGCCATATTTGATAGTATACTTTGTCTTCACTGGTCTTATTTTGGGAGGCACTCTTGATGGTTAGGAAAAAAATAGTAAAGCCAAGTATGTTTGTACAGTATGTTTTACATGTATTTAAAGTAGCATCCCATCCCAACTTCCTTTAATTATTGCTTGTCTTAAAATAATGAACACTACAGATAGAAAATATGATATATTGCTGTTATCAATCATTTCTAGATTATAAACTGACTAAACTTACATCAGGGAAAAATTGGTATTTATGCAAAAAAAAATGTTTTTGTCCTTGTGAGTCCATCTAACATCATAATTAATCATGTGGCTGTGAAATTCACAGTAATATGGTTCCCGATGAACAAGTTTACCCAGCCTGCTTTGCTTTACTGCATGAATGAAACTGATGGTTCAATTTCAGAAGTAATGATTAACAGTTATGTGGTCACATGATGTGCATAGAGATAGCTACAGTGTAATAATTTACACTATTTTGTGCTCCAAACAAAACAAAAATCTGTGTAACTGTAAAACATTGAATGAAACTATTTTACCTGAACTAGATTTTATCTGAAAGTAGGTAGAATTTTTGCTATGCTGTAATTTGTTGTATATTCTGGTATTTGAGGTGAGATGGCTGCTCTTTTATTAATGAGACATGAATTGTGTCTCAACAGAAACTAAATGAACATTTCAGAATAAATTATTGCTGTATGTAAACTGTTACTGAAATTGGTATTTGTTTGAAGGGTCTTGTTTCACATTTGTATTAATAATTGTTTAAAATGCCTCTTTTAAAAGCTTATATAAATTTTTTTCTTCAGCTTCTATGCATTAAGAGTAAAATTCCTCTTACTGTAATAAAAACAATTGAAGAAGACTGTTGCCACTTAACCATTCCATGCGTTGGCACTTATCTATTCCTGAAATTTCTTTTATGTGATTAGCTCATCTTGATTTTTAATATTTTTCCACTTAAACTTTTTTTTCTTACTCCACTGGAGCTCAGTAAAAGTAAATTCATGTAATAGCAATGCAAGCAGCCTAGCACAGACTAAGCATTGAGCATAATAGGCCCACATAATTTCCTCTTTCTTAATATTATAGAATTCTGTACTTGAAATTGATTCTTAGACATTGCAGTCTCTTCGAGGCTTTACAGTGTAAACTGTCTTGCCCCTTCATCTTCTTGTTGCAACTGGGTCTGACATGAACACTTTTTATCACCCTGTATGTTAGGGCAAGATCTCAGCAGTGAAGTATAATCAGCACTTTGCCATGCTCAGAAAATTCAAATCACATGGAACTTTAGAGGTAGATTTAATACGATTAAGATATTCAGAAGTATATTTTAGAATCCCTGCCTGTTAAGGAAACTTTATTTGTGGTAGGTACAGTTCTGGGGTACATGTTAAGTGTCCCCTTATACAGTGGAGGGAAGTCTTCCTTCCTGAAGGAAAATAAACTGACACTTATTAACTAAGATAATTTACTTAATATATCTTCCCTGATTTGTTTTAAAAGATCAGAGGGTGACTGATGATACATGCATACATATTTGTTGAATAAATGAAAATTTATTTTTAGTGATAAGATTCATACACTCTGTATTTGGGGAGGGAAAACCTTTTTAAGCATGGTGGGGCACTCAGATAGGAGTGAATACACCTACCTGGTGCCTTGAAAATCACATCAAGTAGTTAATTATCTACCCCTTACCTGTGTTTATAACTTCCAGGTAATGAGAATGATTTTTTTTAAAGCTAAAATGCCAGTAAATAAAAGTGCTATGACTTGAGCTAAGATATTTGACTCCAATGCCTGTACTGTGTCTACTGCACCACTTTGTAAACACTTCAATTTACTATCTTTGAAATGATTGACCTTTAAATTTTTGCCAAATGTTATCTGAAATTGTCTATGAATACCATCTACTTCTGTTGTTTTCCCAGGCTTCCATAAACAATGGAGATACATGCATATAGGTCATACTGGTTTCCTTTCATTTTTTGATTTTCTATTTCTAATTTTCTGAATTACTGCATGCCAGTTGTTGCAAACCACTTCAAGTACTTCTATGGAAAGAGATGGATGTTAGTCAATTAGATAAACTTGCCTTTTAATTCAAATAAGGAAGAAAATATAAATGCTGAAAATGAACATTCCACATGCCAGAAAAGTGGAATTTTTGTAGGCAACACTTGAGTGGGGGGAGACGGGCCAGTCTATACTACCCATTGAAGTAAAGACTGCTGGATGAGGCCCTCTGTTAGAGATAGTGGTTCTGAATTAGTAAAGGGGCAAATCTCAATTCTAATTATAGATGTTCACAGGGTGCTGCTATAATCGATAGCAGGCCAAATATTCCCAGTTTATGCTTGTTAACAAATGGCATACTAAGCCCAGCGTTGGGAATTAGTCAGGAGTTACGATGCCTGTTTAGAGAGGAGTGGGGGAGGGAGAGTTACCTAACGTAAGGCACTTCAAAGGAGTGCGTTGGGATCACCAGGAGTGCTTAACAAGACATAGCTGGGCCATACCCCCAGTTTGATTCAGGATGTTTGGAATGGGGCCTAAGAACTTGCATATCTAACAAGTTCAAAGGTGAGGCTAATGCTGCTGGTCTGGAGACCACACTTTTTGAGAATTACTGCCCTAAGATCACAGTGAAGCTCCTTGAGTGGTTGCCTTCAGCTCTAGCGATTCCTCCCAACAACTGGACCCTTAATCTGACAAAGTATAGCAACAGATAAAAGACTTCCCCTAGGCATAAAAGATTTCAATATTAAGCCATCCAATTTCATAATGCTCATCTCAACTCCTGACAGCAGACAAACTTAGCCAGACATGAACAAACAAGTAATTCTAAAGACAGTGATTATATTTGAAGGATCAGTTAATGTTCCCTTTGAGACTGTCATTATAAAAAGCAGTAACTTCAGCAAAGATCTAATTTGAATTTTCAATAAGATTAAAAGACTATGAAAAGGGAACTTTGAGATGAGAGAAGGTTGATTTCAGATGAAAATATCCAGTTTTTTAATATACAGTGGAAGTGATCAATAATTAGCAAATAAGATATTTGAGGACAACTTTACAGATTACCAGGGTAATGAAAAGGAAGTAATCAAAGATAAGCCCCATAAGGATCAAATAGCACTGTAAGTACAGTAAAATGTTTCTTGATTAAAATATGGATCATGTTGCCACAGGTTAATTACATGAAAGAATGAATCTCTTGCAGAGGATGGGAGCCAGTTGCACAATATCTGAATATATGTTATCCCAGGGTTTCTTGGAATCTAAGGAAAAAAGCAGAGCACCAGAAATGCAAAAAGTAAATTGCCCATAGTTAAAGGAACATCTGAGTAGTCAGATCATTAAAATTTATGAAACAATTATTTTTCACAAGTCATGGTGGCTGAAATAGAGTGTATAATTTTTTTCCTTTCAAATAAGCGTATTTTCCTCATATTACACTGACTTAAAATTTAAAAATTACTTTGTAATGTTGAAACCTATAGACTGTGGCTCCTGTAAACCCCAGGTCATTTTCCTGCCATTCTTACAACTCTGTCTAAGATCTATAAAAGTATATTCTGCTTTTTGTTAGGCCATTCATGCTTTTTTCAACCTGTACATTCTATGTATATAATATTGTTCTTGGTGCTAAATACACTTTCTTTTATCTGATATTCAGGATAATTCTTTCTCTACATTTGTGACTATCCACTTATTTTCTCGAATAATTAAAAATATTCAACATAATGTATGTTAGTGAAGGTGACCAATGAATATAAAGCAGCATTAGTGAAAAATAACTATTGAAAAAAATGCCAAACATTAACTTCCCTACCTACACCACCTTTTGGAATCCAGACCCTTAGCCTCATTCACTGGTCACTGAACTACGTACCCAGTCTTTCTCCCTGACCTTGGCTATTTGTACCAGAGTTGTATCTGACCTAGAGGAGACTCATCATCAGCTGGTCAGTGACCAGAGACTTGTATAGCACTGCTTGGAAATAAAAAAATGATCAGGCCAATCAATTTGAAATAGTAACAAAGGACATTTCTGGCCGGGTCTTGAGTGCTGGAACTGAAAGAGCACGCACACAGTTAAGGCTCAAATTACTATGACTGGCATCATGAAGCTTAAACTAAGAGGAAGCCACCTAGTGGAGAAAGAGGAAAAGGGAACAGATACTGGGAGGACACATAGTGAGAGAGAGACAAGAATCACAAGCTCAAGACCAGCCTGGGCAACAAAGCGAGACCCTGTCTCTACAAAAAAAAAAAAAAAAAAAAAAATAGGGCCTGATGGTGCATACCTGTAGTCCCAGCTACACAGAGTCTGAGGCGGAAGGATCGCTTGAGGCTGTCAGTTCAAGACTGCAGTGAGCTGTAAGCCCTCCAGCCTGGATGACAAAGCAAGACCCTGTCTCTTAAAAAAAAGAAAAAAAAAATCCTAGGGGTAACATAGTGAGACCTCGTCTCTACAAAAAATTAGCTGGGCATGGGGCTACACGCCTGTAGTCCCAGCTACTCAGGAGGCTGAGGTGAGAGGATCGTTCTCGCCACTGCACTCCAGCCTTGGTGACAAAATAAGAACCTGTCTCAAAAAAAGAGTCCCTAGCTCCTGGAGTCACTCAGTTCCTGCCATTTTTGAGACTTTGTTCTACTTTTCCCGGTTTGGGGAGCACTTGTGAACCTCTCACCCCTCTTTGGTCCTGAAGTAACTTTAACAGAAAACCATATTTAGACATACAGTAAGTTTTAAAATTTCCAAGATAAGACTATAAAAACATCATTGGGGCCGGGAGCGGTGGCTCACGCCTGTAATCCCAACTCTTCGGGAGGCCGAGGCAGGTGGATAAGGAGATCAAGAGATCAAGACCATCCTGGCCAGCATGGTGAAACCCTGTCTCTACTGAAAATAAAAAAATTAGTCGGGTGTGGTGGCGCGCGCCTGTAGTCCCACCTAGTCAGAAGGCTGAGGCAGGAGAATCACTTGAACCCGGGAGGCGGCGGAGGTTGCAGTGAGCCAAGATCTCACCACTGCACTGCAGCCTGGGTGACAGAGCGAGGGAAAAAATAAATAAATAATAAAAAAAATTAAAAAAAAACAATAGGAAGAGAAGAATAGGTTGCCTTAAAAGAAAAAAGTTGGCATCAAATATCTCTGTAATACTAAATGTCAAAGAACAAAACACCACAAAAAATGGAACACAATACATGCGGCATTTGGAGGGAATAGAAATATTACCTAAGAATTCTGAAACCAACCATACTAACATTTCATTTATCAGCCTTTGGGATTCTTGTTATAGTTAAAAACAAGACCTCTAAATGACAAGATGTTTATTTAAAGAATATGAGGTAGCCCACAGGATCTGTATGAGGACTAGAAAATCAGCCTTAGAAACTGATTTTTCTAAGTGGATATTGTTTCACAGTGGAAACAATATCCAAACCATACTGTGAGACTGCAGTAAAGACTTAGATGCTACCCCTAAATGCTGGAATCCTCTGACACCATCGCCATAAAATAAGATTACATGTGGCACTCACTTCACGCTGCTTGCTTCTGAATTGAAGTCTTGCTTGGGTGGACGTGATTGGCAGAGGATGTATTGACATGCCTGTAGCACCTGGGAAAGTTCACTTTTTTGTTTCTCCATTGAGGCTGGATTCATAAAAATGAATTTCTCAAATCTATGAGTGACACTGCAAAAGTGCTTGGGAGCCAGAAACCATGACGTATTTCTACTACAGTATTCCAGCTGCCCCAGTAATTAAGATAAATGGAAAGGTATTAAGATTGAGCAATGAAATATTTAAACTTGAATAAATGTATAAATAATGTTGTTAACCTGATAATGAATCTCAATGTGAATGTTTAAATAACTCACAGAGAAACAATGAAATGCTTAGTAATTTAAATCATCTTAAATTCAAGATTATTCAACCCAGACGGGGAAATAAGGGTTAGAAGGAAAGGAAGAGGTTAAAACACACTGTTTTGAATTTTATGTAGGCAGTGTCAATAGATACTATTTTATTTTTAACTTAGAAAAAATACAAATTCAATTTTTAAGTTTAGTGGTCATGTCAATGTTTAAAAAAAGTATACTACTTTTTCCAGTTTGGGGAACACTTGTGAACTTCTAACCCCTCTTTGTTCCTAAAGTAACTTGAAACTAACAGAAAATCTTATTTAAGTAAAATTTTCCCTCCAAATCACTAGCTGAAAGATAACAGCTAAATTAGCCACAGTGAAGCATAAAATGACGGAATAAGAGTAATAAATGTATTAAACACATAAAATAGCCACTATCAGATTGGATAAAATGAAATCTCCCAACTATATCCCACTAACAAAACAGTCTAAATGATTCAGAATGGATACAATAAAAAGTACAACCACCTTGCAGAGGCAAATGCAAAGAAAACAGTAAAGGCAAATTTATGACAGTATAGTTCTCGATAAAAGGCATCAAACATGAAACATGATGACAACATTTGGTACTATAAATAATAACTTTTCCTTTTGTTTTGCACAGACTAATTCATCTGTAAAGCACTGGCAGCCTCATTGTTACCATGGTTTTTGTTAATTTCTCTTTGCATTTGTAATTTGTTGTTGTTGCCCAAACAACAGTCTCACTCTGTTGCCCAGGCTAGAGTGCAGTGGTGGGATCTCAGCTCACTGCAACCTCTGTCTCCCAGGTTCAAGTGATTCTCCTGCCTCAGCCTCCTGAGTAGCTGGGATTACAGGCATCCACCAACACACCCAGCTAATCTTTTGTATTTTTAGTAGAGACAGGGTTTTACCATTTTGGTCAGGCTGGTCTCAAACTCCTGAGCTTAGGTGATCCGCCCACCTTGGCCTCCCAAAGTGCTGGGATTACAGGCGTGAGCCACTGCGCCCGGCCTGTAATTTTGTTTCATACATTTGCTACCAAGGAGCAGTTATTATTTAAAAACTACAACTTCTGAGCTGGGCATGGTGGCTCATGCCTGTAATCCTAGCATTTAGGGAGGCCAAGGCAGGAGGATTGCTTGAGCCGAGGAGTTCAAGACCAGCTTGGGCAACATAGTGAGACCCCTGTCTCTATTTTAAAAATAATAGCCAGGCGCGGTGACTCACACCTGTAATCCCAGCACTTTGGGAGGCCGAGGGGGACAGATCACCTGAGGTCGGGAGTTCAAGGCCAGCCTGACCAACACGGAGAAACCCCGTCTCTCCTAAAAATACAAAATTAGCTGGGCGTGGTGGCCTATGCCTGTAATCCCAGCTACTCGGGAGGCTGAGGCAGGAGAATCACTTGAACCCAGGAGGTGGAGGTTGCAGTGAGCCGAGATCACATCATTGCACTCCAGCCTGGGCAACAAGAGTGACATTCGGTCTCAAAAAAAGTAAAATAAAATAAAAATAATAAAACCACAACTTCCTTTTAAAAAGGTGGATTCTGTGAAAGGACGTTTCTCAGAGGATCCTTTTCTTTAGCTGAGGACCTTTATGAGTTTGAAATCTGAAAAGCCAAGCCTGGAGTGAGTTGGGAGGAGAGTTAGAGAAAATTTAATAGGTTTGCTTAAGAGAGGTGAGAATCTGGAATTCTTGGGGTAGTCCAGGAATGGGAGGCTGAGGAGGAGAGATGGGAGAGAACAAAGGGAAAGAGGAGAAAGCAAAATATGGAGAGGTCAAGGTTCTAGGTGAAGTAATATGCCCATGATGCAGTGGCTAAAATGATTCAAGAAAGAGAGGTACATTATTTTAGTTGGAACCCTAGGTTCTTTGCAAAATCTCTATTCCAGTGTTAACGTATTCACTTGTTTTTAATTTTCAGGGTCTTTTCTTTACAATTGTAATTAGCTTCACCATCATAGTAACTATAATTATTTAAATCTAAGTATAAATTAGATTTCAGTATTCAGCACTGTTCTATATTACATGACTTTGATTTTCTTCAATTCTGTATGTTAATTTGGCTTAGCTGGAGTATTTCCTCAAATGATTATTATCTTTTCAGAAAAGCTAAATTAGGGTACTGTCTAAATCCATACTCGTTTTCAAATTGTTTTATTTTGCCCTCACACAAGGATAATTTGGGTCACAATTTTGGTCACAATTCTTTTTCTCAGAACTTTTAGATTTTAGCATTTACTACTGCTAAGAAGTTCCAGTATCATTCTGGGTTTCTTCCAATATAGATAACTTTTATTTCCTACTTGAGTGTTTATAGGGTTTTATTTTAAGCCCTTCAATAAAGAAATTTTACTAGCGTTAAGTCCAGCTGTTTGTCTTTTTTCCCATAACTCTTTTAATCCTGAATCTTTTCAATCTTGAGCCTTCAAGCAAATGTTCACATGTTCTTTCTTTTACTGTTACTTCCCCTCCATCACTTCTTTTCTCTCACTTTGCTGCATAAGAAATCAAGCCATAATATAAGGAATTTGGACCAGGCGTGAGGGGTCACGCCTGTAATCCCAGCACTTTAGTAGGCCGAGGCAGGTGGAACACGAGGTCAGGAGATCAAGACCATCCTGGCCAACATGGTGAAACCCTGTCTCTACTAAAAATACAAAAATTAGCTGGGTGTGGTGGCATATGCCTGTAGTCCCAGCTACTTGGGAGGCTGAGGCAGGAGAATTGCTTGAACTGGAGAGACAGAGGCTGCAGTGAGCTGAGATCACGCCACTGCCCTGCAGCCTGGATGACAGAGCGAGACTCTGTCTCAAAAAAAAAAAAAAAATGTAGTGGATACTGGGTCCAAATCAACTGTATCCACCAAAATGGCCCTTGTTATCAGAAACTGGGCAGTGCCTAAGTGGGGACTCTACTCTCAGGAGTTCTTGATGTCCAGAAGTTGCACTGCATTCCCCTAGATGTGGCAAGAACACCTGTCCTCCACTTTGGTATTAACATTTTCCCATAAGATTACCAAACCAGTACTGTTTGTGTTCAAATGCCTTAAGGTATTTTTAATGAAATAGTTTCATTAAAACAGATTTTAATGATAGCCTATTCTCCTAACTCAAAATATAGATATGAATCCTCCAGGGTCTGGATATGGAACACATACAAATCTTAGTGACAAACACCATGTTGTGCTCTGACAGTTTTCCCCCAGATGGTGACAGTTTTGTCATTGGGTCAAGCTGGTCTTCATAACTCTTAGTTGTTCTAGGGTAAATTCTGTGTTCTGTGGAATTGACTTCTGACAGAATGGTAGAACATATTTCCAAAAATGGCACACTATCTCCCATTCCACGTGCTTTTTTTACAGTACAAATCTATTGCCCCTCCTTTGAATCTGAGTTGGTCCTGTGATTGCTTTGACCAATAGGATGTGGAGAAAATGATCTTCTGGGACTTCCAAGACCAGGCATTAAAAAAGCCTAGCAGCTTCTACTTTGCCATCTGCAGGAAACTTGTTAAAACTGTAATGAAGACTTTTCTCAAGACTTTGGCAATTGGGGTATTGCAATAGGGGAAAGGGATTAGCAGCTAGAGATTTATAGCCAAAGGGGTAAGTGGATGGAAAATTGCTAAGGGAAGACATCAAGGATAGGGTGATCCTTGCTAACCTGACTTAACAGGTTCTTGCTGTAAGCAGGCCAAAGCCTTTTACATTAAAGGTGGGGGATGAGAAATCTGATTAGATTTCAAGGGTAGGGAAATTCTCACTAAACTTAGCAGGATTCTTGCTAAAACTAGGTTGGGCTAGACAGGTCAAAGAGAAGACTGGGGCCAAGGTCGAGACCTAGTTGAGAAGAGGATTCAGAGGAGACTGTTTAATGTTTGGTCAAGGAGAGAGTCTTTATCAAAGCCCAATCTAACCATATGGAGATGCCACACCACATGGAGATAGAGATATCCAACCAGCCTTCAGCTGTTCAAGCCATCCCAACTGAGGCAGACATAAACATAAAGTCATTGTGGACTTTCTAGCCCCAGCAGATGCCACATAAAACAGAGACAAGCTGGTCCTGTTTATCTACCCTACCCAAACTGCACTTTCATGAGCAAATAAATTTTTGTTGTTGTTTTAAAGCAGTAAGTTTTAGAGTGCTTTGTTACACAGCAACAGACAAGTGAGACAGGCAGCCATCCCCATTAGCTAACCAAATATGCCCAAGCGTGCCATGAATTTCCCAATAGACTCAACTCAAGCTCAGTCTGGGGTGATCCTGCTATGGCTGTATGCATATGAGTCTCACTCTTAGACCTGTGAGCAACTTGAACTAGATTCTTCATGTTAGGCTTTTGAAAGTTTAATTATAATGTGTCTTAATGTGGGTTTTTTTTTTTAGTTAATCTTACTTGGAGTTCACTGAGCTTCCTGGATGTTTATATTAATATCTTTCAACAAATTTGAGAATTTTTCAGCCATTATTTCTTCAAATATTCTTGCTGTCCTTTCTGTCTCTCTTCTCCTTCTAAAACTCCCACAATGTGTATATTGGTCCACTTGATGGTGTTCCAACAGGTCCCTTAGAATTTGTTTGCTTTTCTTATTTTTTTTTCTTTTGGTTCCTCAGACTCAGTAATTTCCATTATCTTCAAGTTTGCTCATTCTTCTGTCCGTTCAAAACTGCCTCTGACTCCCTCTAGTGAATTTTTCATTTTAGTTGCTGTATTTTTTCACCTTCAGAATTTCTTTTTTGTCTTCTTTTTAGATTTTCTGTCTCTTTATTGTTATTTCCATTTTGTAAATACATGGTTTCCTCAACTTTCTCCACATCCTCCTTTAGTTCTTTGAGCCTCCTTAAGACAGTTGTTTTAAAGTCTCTATCTAGTAGATCTACCATCAGATCTTTTTCAGAAATAGTTTCTGTCGATATCTTTTATTTACTTTTTCTCTTTTCACCCCTACTCTGAGATTTACCAAGATTTTTTCTCTTTGAATGAGCCTAATTTTCCTGTTTCTTCGTATGCCTTGTGATTTTTTGTTGAAAACTGGACATTTGAATCCAATGGCACTTGTTTTCAAACCTTATTTTTTATAAAACCATCTTCCTTTTCTTCAAACACATGTGCCACTAAATCCAACATATTAACCTTGGTTGAGGCTGCTGGCTGGAGATGGGGTTCACAAAGACAGAGAAGATCAAGGTAAGCAGGAGATGTGGTAACTCTGGAAATCAAATTCTCCCCTTCCCTGGGTTTTTTGTTTGTTTAATTGTTATAGGCTCTCTCTGTGCCAAGGTTCAACGTGAGGTGTACACTCGAGGTCTTCTCAGGTTTTTCTGATCCTAGTGTTTTCCTCGGAATGCATAGTTACTTTCTAATTTTCCTCATATATGCCATTGTTTTTGGATGTCCTAGTCTTTAATGCCTGCCTCCCAAAAGAAAAAAAAAAGAGAGAGAGAGAAAAATTAAGGAGGAGGGGCACCAGTCCTTTAAATCCCCTGGAAGTCACTTCAGCTGGAGAGAAGGGGTTTGAACCAATGAGGGGAGGTGCAAAATCCATGACCATCTGCCTCTTTGTCTGCACTTATATGATCAGAAGCAGCAATCAATGACCAGTGTACAGATGCCCAGTACTTGGAAGACAGGGTGCTTTTTGCCCACTCTGGGTCCCATAGGCTGTTCCTGGAATGCGTATACAGCTGACTATCACAGGGCTGGGGATGGGCATGGGTAACTGCTACTGTATTAAGAACTGACACTGACCAAAAGTAACTCCAATTTACTTTTAAATTCTTCCCCTGGAAGTTGCAAGCCTTCAATAGGCTCCATAGTTTCTAAATAGTTACATGTCACAGATTCTGCTAATGTAATCATTGTTGTGGTGGGAAGATGGATTCCTGGTTCTTTCTACTCCACAATGTGCTCAGAATACTCTCTCAATTTCTACTCAACTAAGGAAAATTTCTCTTGTTTACCTTGATCTTCTCTTTCTACCTTTGTGAACCCTACCTCCAGCCAGCAGCCTCAATCAAGGTTGATAAGTTGAATTTAGTGGCACATTTGTATGAAGAAAAGGAAGATAGTTTGATAAAAATAAGATTTGAAAACAAGCGCCATAATTCTATAAAGCCCTTTCATCATCTCCACAATTTTTCCATGTCCATTTTCATCCTCCTTTAATTCAGTCTGCCTTTCCACAAGCATAAGCATTTAAAAACTTCATATTTGGCTGAAACTTTCATTGTCAGTGTGGTAACAATATTGCATTCTTTCTCTCTTCCTCACCCCTCCTCTCTGTAGTTGTACAATATCTCAGCAATGGTGTGGAGTTTAATAGGAGTGTGGATTTGGCATTGAATGACACTAAAAAATATTAGCTCTGTCATTAATTCTCTTAATTCTCTTAGTATATATGAACCAGGACATGTTACTAGCAATTATAATATTGACCTTTTTGTCTCCAATTACTTAGATGGCTCTACAAAAACAATTCCATGGTAAGTAGGCTACTTGCATGTATTAAGCCTCAGGCTACCTCATTCATTTTCTACTTTTTAATATGTGTATGCGTACCCTAAGGCAAGAAAATTATGTATTTTAAAGTTTGGATTCATTTCATCTCTAAATGTACTCCTCAATTTTAGGTCATTGCATGACACTGTTTTAACAGGACTCATATACACTTTAGAAAGAAGTAAACGTTATTTATTTACATCAGGAGCAAACTTAATTTTGTGCTAAAAAAAAAAAAATACATGGAAGATTGAGAGACATAAGTGAGAACATGAAGGAAAGTCAGGGGCTTCCAGTCAGACTAGCTGACTGGAGCATCTATGCTCAGCCATTATTAGCATGAATGGGCTAATTATTTAACCTCACTGAGACTCAAACTTTCATGAAGATTTTTGTTGGTTGAGTTTGGTTTTTCAGTTTGTCTGCTTTTTTATCTGTAAAAGAGAAAACCTATCTCACTTTGCCTGGCTTTTTGAAGCATGTCTTTGTAGGTGTGGAATAAACATCCATTATTAAAACAGGAACGAAGGTAGGTTTAGTTGAATGGAGATGCTGAAATACTACTTTGCAATCAATCTAAGTTATGCAAAAAATATATAGGCATGCCTCAGAGATGTTGCAGGTTTGGTTCCAGACCACCACAATAAAGCAAATATCATAATAACGCAAGTCATACAATTTTTTTGATTTCTCAGTGCATATAAAAGTTATGTTTACATTATACTGTAGTCTGTTAAGTGTGAAATAGCATTATATCCAGAAAAATAATGTACATACCTTATTTAAAATACTTTATTGCTAAAAATGCTAACAACCATCTGGGCCTTCAGAAAATCATAATCTTTTTGCTGGTGGAAGGTCTTGCCTCAGTGTTGATGTCTGCTGACTGATCAGGATGATGGTTGCTGAAGGTTGGAGTGGTTGTGGTAATTTCTTAAAATGAGACAACAGCGAATTTTGCCACATCAACTGACTCTTCCTTTCACGATAGATTTCTCTGTAGCGTGTAATGCTGTTTGGTAGTATTTTACCTATAGTAGAACTTCTTTAAAAACTGGAGTCAGTCCTCTCACACCCTGCCACTGCTGTATCAACTAAGTTTATGCTATTCTAAACCCTTTGATGTCATTTCAACAATGATCACAGCATATTCACCAGTGGTTTTCATCTCAAGAAACCACTTTCTTTGCCCATTCATAAGAAGCAACTCCTCATCATTCAAGTTTTATCATAATTGTAACAATTCAATCCCATCTTCAGTTTCTACTTCTAATTCTAGTTTTCTTGCTATTTCCACCACATCTGCAGTTATTGCCTCCACTAATGTCTTAAAGTCCTCAAAATGATCCCAGAGTGTTGAAATCAACTTCTTCCAAATTCCTGTTCATGCATCAGCATATTTTAACCTCCAATGAATCACAAATGCTCTTAATGCCATCTAGAATAGTGAATCTTTTTTAGAAGGTTTTCAATTTATCTTGCCCAGATCCATCAGAGGAATCACTATTTGGCAGCTATAGTTTTACAAAATGTATTTCTTAATAAGAGATGAAAATAAAAATTACTATTTGATCTGTAAACTGCAGAATGGATGATGTGTTATCAGGCATGAAAACATTAATCTCCTTCTAGATCTCCATCAGAAACTTAGATGTCTAGAGGTCTAGGTGCATTGTCAATGAGCAGTAATATTTTGAAAGGAATCTCTTTTTTTTTTCTCTGAGTAGTTGTTTTCAACAGTGGGCTTAAAAATATTCAGTAAAGGCTGGGTGCAGTGGCTCACGCCTGTAATCCCAGTACTTTGGGAGGCTGAGGCAAGAGGATTGCTTGACCCCATGAGTTCAAGACCAGCCCGGGCAACATAGCAAGACCTTGTCTCCACTAAAAATAAAAATAAAAATCAGCCAGGCATGGTGGCATGAGCCCATAGTCCCAGCTACTCAGGAGGCTTGTGTAGGAGGATTGCTTGAGTGTGGGAGGTCAAGGCTGCAGTGAGATGTGATAGGGCCACTGCATGCCAGCCTGGGTGACAGAGCGAGACTGTCTCAAAAAAATAGTTCAGTAAACCATGCTGTAAACAGATGTACTGTCATCCAGGCTTTGTTGTTCCATTTAGAGAACACAGGCAGAGTTGATTTAGCATCATTCTAGGGTCTCTAGGATTTTCTGCATGGTAAATGTCCATTGGCTTTAACTTAAAATCACCAACTGCATTGTTCCCTAACAAGATAATCAGCCTGTCCTTGGCAGCTTTGAAGCCAGGCATTGACTTCTTCTCTCAAAGAGACAAGGATTTTGGGTGCTACATCCTAGATGGCATCTTTTTCCAATAGAAGGCTGTTTTGTCTACATTGAAAAACCTGTTGTTTAGTGTAGCCACTAAATGGGGCAGCTCTGAAGCCAGACATTGACTTCTCTCAAAGGGACAAGGATTTTGGGTGCTACATCCTAGATGGTATCTTTTTCCAATAGAAGACTGTTTTGTCTACATTGAAAAATCTGTTGTTTAGTGTAGCCACTAAATGATACTAGCTAATCATTGATCATCGTCAATGATATTAGCTACATTTTCTGGATAACTTGCTGCAGCTTCTCTATCAGCACTTGCTGCTTCACCTTGCACTTTTATGTTATATGTTATGGAGATGGATTCTTTCTTAAACCTCCTGAACCACCCTCTACTAGCTTCCCACTTCTGAAGCTTCCTCACCTTTCTCAGCCTTCACAGAATTGAAGGGAGTTAGGGCCTTGCTCGGATTAGGCTTTGGGTTAAAGGAATGTTGTGACTGGTTTGAGCTTCTATCCAAACCCCTAAAACTTTCTCCATATCAGCAATAAGGTTGTTTTGCTTTCTGATCATTTGTGTGTTTATTGAAGTAATTTCCTTTTAATTCCTTCAAGAATTTTGTCTTTGTATTTACAACTTGGCTGTTAGGTGCCAAGAGGCCTAGCTTTCAGCCTATCTTGGCTTACATATGCCTTCCTCACTAAGCTTAATCATTTCCATCTTTTGACATGTGAGACGTGTGACTCTTCCTTTCACTTGAATACTTAGAGGCCATTGTAGGGTTACTAACTGGCCTAATTTCAACATTGTTGTGTTTCAGGGAATAGGGACTCCAGAAGAGGGAGAGAGATGGGAAATGGCCAGTTGGTCGAACAGTTAAAACATACACAACATTTATCCATTAAGTTCCCCATCTTATCTGGGCATGGTTCATGGTGCCCCAAAACATTATTATTATTTGAGACGGAGTCTTGCACTGTCGCCAGGCTGGAGTGCAGTGGTGTGATCTTGGCTCACTGCAACCTCCACCTCCTGGGTTCAAGAGATTCCCCTGCCTCCCGAGTAGCTGGGACTAAAGGCCTGTGCCACCATGCCTGGCTTATTTTTTATATTTTAGTAGAGATGGGGTTTCACCATGTTGGCCAAGATGGTGTCTATCTCCTGACCTCGTGATCCACCTGCCTCGGCCTCCCAAAGTGCTGGGATTACAGGCGTGAGCCACCGCACCCGGCCTTAAAACTATTACAATAGTAACAGCAAACATCACTGATCACCGATCACCATAACAGAAATAATGAAAAGGTTTGAAATATTGCAAAAATTACCAAATGTGACACAAAGTATACGCTGCTGGAAAAATGGCACCAAGCAACTTCTTTCAGGCGGATTTGCCAAAAACCTTCCATTTGTAAAAAGGCAGTATCTACTCGCAGCAGCAAGTGAAGTGCAATAATGAAGTATGCCTGTAGTGATGGCACATGGTATCCTTCAGAAGTTTTAAAAGGTGAATAGTTTTGTTTCGTTTTTCCTAGACGGAGTCTTGCTCTGTTACGCAGGCTGGAGTGCAGTGGTGTGATCTCAGCTCACTGCAACCTCCACCTCCTGGGTTCAAGTGATTCTCCTGTCTCAGCCTCCGAGTAGCTGGGATTACAGGCGTGTGCCACCACACTCGGCTAATTTTTGTATTTTTAGTACAGACGGGGTTTCAGCATGTTGGCCAGGCTGCTCTCCAACTCCTGACCTCATGATCCACCTGCCTCAGTCTCCCAAAGTGCTGGGATACAGGCGTGAGCCACCGCACCCGGCCTAAAAGGTGAATAGCTAAGTTTCTAACGCAGAGCACACTGAAACACAACGTCTATAACTTTGCTAGTTCTACCACTACAAAAATCCATTTTGCCAAACTGAAAGCAAGCTCTAGAGCCCAGGAACGGAGAAAAATTAAACGTAAGGAGTATTTCCTTCCCTGTCTAACATATATTTGCATCCTGAACCACACAGATTCCCCTCGTGGCACAGTCTTCGCCCCTTAACAGAGAGTAGCTAGTACCACCCATACTCGCTGAGAAACTGGAAACGAGGGAGGGTCGAAGTTAAACCCTTTTTAGTGGCGGTGCATGCGCCCCACATGGTCTTCCCGGCTTGGGAAAGGAATGAGAAGCTTTCATGATTCTCTCGCGAGAAGGGAAGTCTTCATGCCACGTCAGAGACTAGAGATCCTGGCGCCGAGCGACAGGTGCCGGAACAAACAGGCGATGAGAAATCGCGGACGCGGAACCATTTCTTGGGCAGGACTTCCGGCGGAAAAGCGGGCTGTCTCGGAAACTCAGAGCCGGGTTCCTCCCGGGTTTCTGCCGGGTTTCTCCCTGCGGCTCCTGGGTTGTTGAGACTCTTGTGAAGATGGCTTGCGCTGCCGCGCGGTCCCCGGCCGACCAGGACAGGTGGGTTCTGAGGCGGTGGGTCCTCCGAAAGGAAGGGGCTTGCTGTGGTGCTGCAGGTGCTACACCGCGCTTCTCCGCTCCGCGGCCTCCAGAATGGCCTAGCTGATCCAACTCGCTCTGTACGGGCCCCGCGCCTCTCCCTGGCAGCTCGTTTTTCTGAATCCTGCAGCAGCCACCAGGCTCTTCTCAGGGCTCCTGAAATTCCGACCATAGGTAGCCTAGTGTTTATCTGTACGCGAGACAAGGATTTTGGGTGCTACGTGGACATGATATCAAGTAATATAATCACAGTGTGAGAAATGTGTTCTTTTTAAGTATTGTTGCGTTCAGAAAGGCTCATTTGTGAAATTTTAAGGTTTTTAATACCTCGGACACTTTATATAAGAGGGCGGGCCCATTCTCAGGAACTTTTGACGGGCTGCTCTGTCTAATGTAACAGTTACCCAAGTCGTTTTGTTTCTATTCCTGTGGTTTTTTTCCATCCAAGGTAGTGGATAAAGTTTATTTTTAAATAAGTTAAAGTGAGGTAATTTAAAGAAATAACATTAAGCAAATAATAGCATAGGTGTACCAGCAATGATGACGACTACCACGGACCGAAAGAATGTATTTTTGAAAATACTTGTTATCTGTTGAGTGTAGTTGTCCAGGTTCTTGGCGTTTTGAATAAGGAATTGAACAAAACACACAAAGCAAGGCAGCGAAAGCAGATTTATTTTAAACAAAAGTACACTCCACAGGGTGGGAGCCGGCTCCAGCAAGCTACCCAAGAGCTGTTGGTTACAGAATTTTCTAGGGTTTAAATACCCTCTAGACGTTTCCCATTGACCTGTGCCAGTCTGATTGGTTGAGGGAGGGGGATCAATCAGAAAGAGGAGTAGGCCCGCGGCCAGTCTGATTAGTTGCTCGAGGGGACCACTCCGAGGTACTTTGATTTTTCAACTGCCACGCAGAAAAAGGAGGGGTTGAAAAGGGAGTACCCATCTGATATCTAGGCAGCATGAATTGGCCTTTGGTTCCCTGCCACCCGACCCTTTTCTCCTGCCTCTTACTGCTCTAGTGATACCACTTATGCTATTGTCTATGGCAGGTTTATTTGTATCTATCCTGCTTATTTAAATAATAAGAAGACCATCGCAGAGGGAAGGCGAATCCCCATAAGTAAGGTAAGCAAGATGGCTGGCACCTTGATCCTCGAGGGAATGGGGGGTGTCATCCTGGTCGGGCCACGTAATCTTGTTAGAGCCGCAGGGGGTTCTCTTCACTGCATTTATTTAGGGCTTGAGAACACAGCCAAGAATTGGGGTGCGTTCCTCAGTGTTGGTGAAACCAGAAAGGCATTAATTCATAGCTGAAGGGATATTTTTTTAACGTCTCTTAATGAGCCTTTGTTTGTAAAGGAGTGGGGGCAGAGTGTAGAGTTCACATGTTTTTAAAACAAAGGTTATGACGGTGTTTCCCTTGATATAGGAAATCAAAATTATGACATTGTACGATACATTAATAATGTTCAGAATGTAGTTGAGATTTTTTTAAGTGTGTGAAGAAGACATGCAGAAAGTTCAGCCCTGTTGAGTTTTATTAAAGTGTCATTTGTATTTTGTAATATGACAGATTTAAGACACCTAGGTTTGATGCAGTGAATTCTCCCATGATGAGTACATCTGGGTGGTAACAAGCACTCAAAAAAGAAAACACTACAAGCATCCAGGAAGATTGCTTTATGTTCCCTCTCAGTCACTGTCGCCTCCGCATATGCTCAAAAATACCAGGATGACCACCGTTATGACTTCAACACCATAGATTACTTTTGCTGCTTTTTCAGTTTTCTGTAAATGGAATTACACACTATGTAATTTTGTATCTTTTTTTCACTGAACTTTAAGCTTTTGAGATTTACCTACATATTTGAATGTAGTTGAATTTTCATTGCTCTATAACAGGGTTTGTCAATAGCAGCACCATTGCCGATTTGAGCTAGATAATTGTTGTTGGGGGTTGTTCTGTGCATTTTAAGATGTTCAGCAGTATCCCTGGCCTCTACCCACTAGATGACAGGTCAGCCCCCTCCAGCCCCCCATCCCCTAGTTGTGACAATCAAAAATGTCTCCAAGCATTGCTAGATGTCTTTTGTGTGTGGGTAGGGGTAGGGAGGCTGAGGACAGAATTTCCCTGCTCAAAACTACTGCCCTGTCTCCTCTATAGTATCGCATGGTGTGAGTATGCCAAAGTCTTTTCTACCTTCTTTTTTGTTTGTTTTTTTAAGAGACAGGGTCTGGCTCTGTCACCCAGGCTGGAGTGCGGCAGTGTAGTCTCAGCGCACTGCAGGCTCCACCTCCTGGACTCAAGCCATCCTCCAACCTCAGCCTTCTGAGTAGCTGGGACTACAGGCACATGCCACCATGTCCGGCTACTTTGGTATTTTTTTGTAGCAATGAGATTTCTCCATGTTGTCCAGGCTTGTCTCAAACTCCTGAGCTGAAGTGATCTGCTGGGATTACAGGTGTGAGCCACCACACCTGGCCCTTTCTACTCTGGATGGAAAATTGGATTATTTCTATTAATAGTTTGAGGCTATTATAAATAGATGTTTTTTAGAGAACATATTTTTGCTTTTTTGTAGAACGCATCTGGGAATGGAATTGCAGGGCCATAGAGAATGCATATATTCAGCTTTAGTAGATACTAGCAGTTTTCTAAAGTGTTTGTATGTGTAATTGTTTAAGCAGTCAATAATCATTGAGCACCTACTATGTTGAGAGTACCATGCTAGGTGCTGGGGAATACACTGGTTAACAAAACAAAGCCCCTGCCCTCAGAAGTTTATGTTCTGTTGGAGGGGAGATGGGCACACAGTTACGCATTAGTGTTATTCCTAGGAATTTTTAAAATTACAATAGAAGCATCTGTACTTAATGAAAAAGGAAACCTAGGGTTTTGGTACTTGTTTGATTATAGTATTTGAAATTATTTACCCAACACTATGGCAGTGTCCACTTAAAGCACATATATTTAGTGTTTATGTTTTTAACTGTTCAGGCTGTTGAAAATCCTACAGCTACAGAGATTCAAGATGTATGTTCAGCAGTTGGACTTAACGTATTTCTTGAGGTATGACGTGGTTCTTCACTATTTTCCATACTCATCTAATTGATGTAATAACTTTCTTAAGTCCTGTTTTTCTTTTGTTTCGTTTATGTTAGAAAAATAAAATGTACTCTAGAGAATGGAATCGTGATGTCCAATACAGAGGCAGAGTCCGGGTCCAGCTCAAACAGGAAGATGGGAGCCTCTGCCTTGTACAGTTCCCATCACGTAAGCTTGTTTAAATGAATCAGTGGGGCTCAGGGATAGGTTTCTCCTACACAACACAAAAAAGGTTCTAAAACTGAAAGGTAAAAGTCAGAATTTGCATTCTGAAGATTAATTTAAAGACAGGACTACTGCTCATGGAGAGAAGCAGTAGTTCTAATTTCTTTGAGGTGAATGACCTCTTTGAAAATGTAATGAGACCCACTAAACATTTTTCAAAAAAATTGTTGTGTGAACATTTTATAAACCTCTGGAAGTCTGTCATTGCTCCCAGGTTAAGAATATAAAATTATTAAATCGTTGGATGTTAATTGCCATTTCAGATCCTAGAGGTCCTTGAGGTCTGTTAATATCTATAATATCTAATGATTCTATCATTAATAAATCTGAAAAGCAATATTGACTGAAAAAAGCAAGAGATATACATAGTGTGGTACCACTTAGGTAAATTTAAATACAAAATATTACTATTTATTGATAGATGCATATGTAATGTTGCTTATTGGCATTTTTTTGAAATGCTCTGTAAGGAAACACTCATTCTTAAGAGAGTAGTCACCTAATGGTGAGCGGGGTAGAGAGTAGAGACACGGGTTGATGGTCATAGAAGACTGTTGCATCATCTCTAGTGTTTTATTTTATGAAAAACAATAGCAAAACGACATCAATATAACAGAATGTTCTGAATATTAGGAAGATAAGTTTTTGTTTGCATGTTGTTTATTTTTCTGAATTTTCATCTCTGAAAATTTTAATTTTTTAAAACAGAGCTATTAATTTTTTCTTTCAGTTTAATAACCCCCTCAGTTTAATTAAACTGTCATTAAATTTACTTAAAAATAATGAAATCGTCAGACGAACTGACAGCTTGTTTGATTTTTTTTTTTTTTGAGATGGAGTCTCGCTCTGGCTGGAGTACAGTGGCGCGATCTCAGCTCACTGCAACCTCCGACTCCCTGGTTCAAGCGATTCTCCTGTCTCAGCCTCCCAAGTAGCTGGGACTACAGGCATGTGCCATCACACCCAGCTAACTTTTGTATTTTTGATAGAGATGGGGTTTCGCCATGTTGGCCAGAATGGTCTCGATCTCTTGACCTCGTGATCCACCCACCTCGGCCTCCCAAAGTGCTGGGATTACAGGCATAAGCCACTGCCCCCGGCCTGATTTTTTTAAAATAGAGAGACAAGGGTCTCACTGTGTTGCCCAGGCTAGTCTCAAACTCAAGCAATCTTCCCATCTTGGGGAGATCCCAAAATGCTGAGATTACAGGCGTTTGCCACCATGCCCAGCCTGCATGTTTGAACTTTTATTTTTAAAGACAAGGTCTCACTCTGTCATCGAGGTTGAGTGCAGTGGCACGATTATGGCACACTGCAGTCTTTTTTCTTTTTTTTTTTTTTTCTGAGACAGAGTTTTGCTCTTGTTGCCCAGGCTGCAGTGCAATGGCGTGATCTTGGCTCACCGCAACCTCCGCCTCCCGGGTTCAAGTGATTCTCCTGCCTCAGCCGTCTGAGTAGCTGGGATTTCAGGCATGAGCCACCAGACCCGGCTAATTTTGTATTTTTAGTAGAGATGGAGTTTCTCCATCTTGGTCAGGCTGGTCTCGAACTCTCGACCTCAGGTGATCCGCCCACCTTGGCCTCCCAGAATGTTGGGATTATAGGCGTGAGCCACTGCGCCCAGCCAACACACTGCAGTCTTGACCTCTTGGGCTCAAGCAACCCTCCTGCCTCAGCCTCCCAAGTAGCTGGGAATATCGGCACATGATTTTTTATTTTTTCTAGAGATGGGGTTTTGCTATGTTTCCTAAGCCAGTCTCAAACTCGTGGACACAAGTGATCCTCCTGCCTCAGCCTCCCAAAGAGCTGAGATTACAGACATGACCCACTGGGCTCAGCCTAAAATAGATTGTTTTTTATATACTAAAACCCATCAGGATTGGTAGGTATTGCTAGATGCTTCAGGTTGTGACTAAGGAGTGACATCATATTCTGATATGTTTTTTCTCCTTAACATTTTCCTATATTATATCTCAAAAGACCAAAAACAAACAAAAACTTGTAATTAACTAGTAGATAAAATAGGGGTAGAAGTTGTGGTGAGAACATGTCACTTCCTATTTCCAGTAAGACCCAAGTAAGATAGTAAAAAGAAAGCAGAGCTGAGGAACTTGGTCTGTTGGGGGTGAAGGTAGCTGGTTGTAGGTGTGCAGAGCAGGAATGCATGTAAGTGTAGATCATCTGATCTTACCCATCGGATCGCTTGTAACTTGATGATACTGTTTTTTTGTTGTAAGACTGAGAAAACCCTGTATTTCAGTGTCTTAAGATACAGTGATATTCTGACTCTGTTTCTACCTGAGGTATATTTGGATACATACTCCTTAGATCTTCAAGCTGATTACTAGGACCAAACCAAAATTTTTGTTTCATACTTAGTGTTTTGCCTTTTGATTTTATTCATTTAAATATTTTCAGCATTATTCTCACTCTCAGTACATTTCCCCCGACTTGAGCTAGTCAGTGTCTTCAGTCATTTGATTTTTGATTTTTTAAAAAAGTTATTTTCCATTTTCTTGATGTGATAGTTTCTTACACTTTGTGATATTCAATTTGATGACTTTTTATGTCTTATTTCTCAGATTATACACTAAGCCTAACTTCTGGTTCCTAGGTAAGTCAGTAATGTTGTATGCAGCAGAAATGATACCTAAACTAAAAACAAGGACACAAAAAACAGGAGGTGCTGACCAAAGTCTTCAACAAGGAGAGGGAAGTAAAAAAGGGAAAGGAAAGAAAAAGAAGTAACCTAGTATCAGCATCAAGTATGTGGTACTACTGTAAGAGACATGAATGGAGACTTCTAATTTGTATCGGAGGGAAACAGAAGCTTTTTGTTTGCATCATTTAACTGAACTGTGAACCCTTGTGCCTCTCATCTTTATCATCGGAGTTGACAGTGAAACAAATTTACATCAGAAGTTTGCATCTCGCGTATATGCCGTATAAAAGAATTTTTTTGTCTTTCAATGCAGTTTTTTGGAAGAAAATATTTTTAAATGGACAATGGACTGTACAATAAGTTACTTGAAATAAGTTGTTTCAGATAAATTTCAATTAGATTTAAAATAAACATTTTGTCCACCTTTTAAGTTAATGAAATAAAATTTGAAACTGACTTTTGCAGCTTTTGCTTATATACTAATGCTAGGAGAGGAGGGATAATTAAGAATAAAATATGTAGTGAAAGTTTCCATAGTGTGAGGCTAAAACTAGAAGAAACTGTGGTAGGTCCTTTTGTGGGTGGGGGACAGGGGAGTCTGTAAAAAGCCAGTCTGTAGATGATATTTTAATATATTATTGTAATCGAATCGTTCAGTTGTTTTTTGACATGGAAAGTCCTGGATTTTAAGCTTTAAATTTGCTTATTTTGTAGGTTTAAGAACATGATTTTCATGGGAGTTGTAAAATTAACTGTGCTTTAGCACCTTGAGGTACACTTTCCTTCAACAAATGAAATTGGATTGGTGCTCCAGAATTTCAGAGCGGTTTCTGAAAGTAGTGATTTTGAGCTATCCCAATTCCTGTTCTTCCTGAGGCCTGGTTTAGCTCTTCCTTGAATTCTGCAAGCTATCTCATATTTTCAGTAAATTCCATTTTTTTTAAGTTTGTTTGTTTGTTTGTTTTTGAGATGGAGTTTCACTCTTGTTGCCTAGGCTGGAGTGCAATGGCACGATATCGGCGTACCACAACCTCTGCATCCCAGGTTCAAGAGATTCTCCTGCCTCAGCCTCCCTAGGAGCTGGGATTACAGGCATGTGCCACCACACCCGGCTAATTTTGTATTTTTAGTAGAGACAGGGTTTTTCCATGTTGGTCAGGCTGGTCTCGAACTCCCGACCTCAGGTGATCTGCCCACCTCAGCCTCCCAAAGTGCTGGGATTACAGGCATGAGCCACCGTGCCCGGCCTTCTTTACATTTTTATTGCTCACAGTCAAACATTCCTATTGATTGTAAAATAAGCAAACCTAGAGTTGTGGAGATTTATATGTATTTATTTATTTGAATTGAGACAGGGTCTTAAACTCCCAGGCTCAAGTGATCCTCCTGCCTCAACCTCCCAAAGTGCTGGGATTACAGGCATGAGCTAGCTGGCCTGTTGACTTTTTTTTTTTAACTCTAACAATTTCTGTTTTATAGTGAACATAATAGTATAAGACTTAGTTTATATATTTGACTTACAAATAAATCCTGGGGAGAGGGGAGTATGTGTAAAACATAATTCAGAGCAGCCTTCTTTGAGAAAGTGGGTGTGTTTGGCTGTGTAACAAAACAATAAGGGGATGTGTTTGCTGTGTAACAAAACAATGAAGGATTTAAGCAGGATATTTTTGCCTCATATGTTAAATCCAAGTGAGGTTGCTGTGGTGGTTGGTTTAGCTCTCAGTGATGCCTTTTTTGTATTTTTCCGCTCTGCTGTCCATGACATATTTCTAACACCTTTATGATTATTGTTCCTGCTTGTAAAAGGGCTGATATTTACATGAGTGCAAGGCAGGAAGAAAAGGTAGCTGTGCCAGCCACTTCTGGCAAGCAGTTCTCCCACCTTAGCCTCCCAAGTAGCTGAGACCATAGGCATGAGATTTCTCAAAATTCCTCCCAGCAGGCTTTCACTTAGTTTCATTGTTGAGAACTGTGACAGGTCCATCTCTAGCTGCAAAGGAGGCTGAGAAAGTGAACACAGCAGTCCTCCTTATCCTTGGGGAATACATTCCAAGAGTGGATCCCTGAAACAGCAGATAGTACTGAACCCTATATATACTATGTTTTTGCCTATGTATATATACTTGATATGGTTTGGCTGCTACCCAACCCAAAATCTCATCTTGAATTATAATCCCCAAATCCCTATGTGTTAAGGGTGGGACCAGGTGGAGATAATTGGATCATGGGGGCAATTTCCCCTGTGCTGTTCTTGAGATAATGAGTGACTCTCAGGAGATCTGTTGGTTTTATAAGTGCCTGGCGTTTCCCCTGCTTGCAGTCACTCCATCTTGCTGCCCTGTGAAGGTGCCTGCTTCTCCTTGCCTTCTGCCATGATTGTAAGTTTCCTGAGGCCTTCCCAGCAATGCGGAACTGTGAGTCAGTTAAACCTGTTTCCTTTATAATTAATCAGTTTTGGATATTTCTTCATAGCAGTGTGAGAATGGATTAATACATACCTATGATAAAGTTTATAAATTGGACACAGTAACAGATTAACAATAAAATAGAACAATTATAATAATATACTATAATAAAATGTATGTGGAAATTGTCAGTCTCTCTCAAAATATTGTGCTATACTCACCTGTTTTGGGACCAAGGTAACTGAAACCACAGAAGTGAAACCACAGATGAGGGATGACTGCATAGCTTTTTCAGTCCTGACAGCCAAGGCAGCTAAGGAAGAAAGTAGTTGAGAATGCATACTGGGTCAGGTACAGTGGCTCACACCTATAATCGCGGCACATTGGGAGGCTGAGGCAGGAGGATCACTGAAGTCCAGGAAGTCGGGACCAACCTGGGCAACATAGTGAGACTGTCTCTACAAAAAAAAGAATTAGCTGGGCATGGTGGCACATGCCTATAGTCTTAGCTACTTGGGAGGCTGAGGTGGGAGGACTGCTTGAGCCCTGGAGGTGAGGCTGCAGTGAGCCGTGATCATGCTATTCCACTCACCTCAGCAGAGCTGGACCCTGTCTCAAAAAAAAAAACGTACTGTGGTAGCCAACTGAAAAGATTTGTCACAGAAAGATGGTTGAAATCTGGAAATGGTTTACTTTTGGGGCAATAAGGATTGTCAGTGCCATATTTTGGATGTCCCCTCCAAAATGCATGTTGAAATTTAATTGCCATTGTGATGTTATTGAGAGGTGGAACCTTTGGGAGGTGATTGGGCCATGGGGGCTGTGCCCTCAGGAATGGATTAATGTTACTATCTGAGGAGTGGGTTTGTTATAAAATGGAGTTCAGCCAAATTTTTCTTTTGCTCTCCTCAGCGCACCCTCTTTGTCCTCTCACCTTCCACCATGGGATCACACAGCATCAAAGACCCTTGCCATATACAGGTGCCATGCTTTTGGATTTCCCAGCTCCTAATCATGAGCCAAATACACATTGCCCAGGCTGGTGTGCAGCGGTGCGATCTCAGCTCACTGCAATATCTGCCGCCTGGTTTCAAGTGATTCTCCTGCCTCAGCCTCCCGAGTAGCTGGGATTACAAGTGCCTGCCACTGTACCCAGCTAATTTATGTAGTTTTTAGTAAAGATGGGGTTTCACCATGTTGGCCAGGCTGGTCTTGAACTCCTGACCTCATGATACACCACGCCCAGCCAATTTCTATTCGTTTTTTAAGATACCCAGTCTGTGGTGTTCTGTTGCAACAACATAAAACACTAAGATTTCAGAACTATTGCTGTAACAATATATTGCTGTTTCTTCACATTATTGCAATTGGTGCAATCAGTGAATTTTTTTTTTTTTTTTTTTTTTTTTTTGCCAGTTGTTAAGTGAAAACTGTAATCTTTTTAAAACAGGCCAAAAAATGTTTTTTTGAGACAGGTCTCTCTTTTTCACCCAGGCTAAAGTGCAGTGGCACAATCACGGCTCAGTGCAGCCTCAACCTCCCAGCCTCAAGTGATCCTCCCATCTCAGCCTCCTGAGTATAAAAGTTTGTAATTAAAAAAATTTTTTTTTAGAGGCCAGGTGTGGTGTGGCTCATGCCTGTAATCTCAGCACTTTGGGAGGCTGAGGCGGGCAGATGACTTGCAGTCAGGAGTTCGAGACCAGCCTGGCCAACATGGTGAAACCCTATCTCTACTAAAAATAACAAAAACTAGCCAGGCGTGGTGGTGGGCGCCTGTAATCCCAGCTACTCGGGAGGCTGAGGCAGGAGAATCACTTGAACCGTGGGAAATGGAGGTTGCAGTGAGCCAAAATTGTGCCACTGCACTCCAGCCTGGGTGACAGAGTGAAACTCCGTCTCAAAAAAAATTTTTTTAAGAGATGAGATCTCACTCAGGCTGTTCTTATACTCCTGGGCTCAAGCAATTCTCTCAAGTGGTTGGGACTAGAGGTACATGGCACCACACCTAGCTGAAAAAGGGAATCTTAATGAGACAGTTGAGTATTTATGTAGATGTTGAAGTGCTTTTCGTATTTATGAACTGAGTTCGCATCCTCTACTCACTTCTTAAGGAATCTGTTATCAGAATTATATATAATTTTAAAAGCCAGCTAGTTTTAATAGTGTGTTTCTGTTTTAGGCATTAACTTCCATTTGTAGAAGAAGAGGATTTAGTTTTTCTTCTCTACCATATGCTTGCATATTTCCTATCTTCCTAGCCTACCAATATATTTCATAATTTAACCACTATTCAGAGTTTACATTATACATTCTGTTCACAGCTCAGCCGTGTAGTACATTTGCTACTAAAAGTATGGTTGAAGGACCAGCAGCACTGGCCTCTGGTGAAAGATTGTGAAAAATGCAGTATCTCTGGCCCCAGCCCAGAATTCAGATGTGTTTAATGAGATCCCCAAATGATTCTTTTTTTTTTTTTTTTTTTTTTTGAGACAGAGTCTTATTCTTGTTGCCCAGGCTGGAGTGCAGTGGCACAATCTCAGCCCACTGCAACCTCTGCCTCCCGGGTTCAAGGGATTCTTCTGCCTCAGCCTCCCCAGTGGCTGGGATTACAGCCATGTGTTACCATGCCTAGCTAATTTTTGTATTTTTAGTAGAGATGGGGTTTCGCTGTGTTGGCCAGGCTGGTCTCCAACTCCTGGCCTCAAGTGATCCGCACACCTTGGCCTCCCAAAGTGCTGGGATTAGGTGTGAGCCATTGTGCCCGGCCTCATCATTTTAAAATCTTTTCTGTAGTCCTTTGCCTGGCTCTGATCTCTTACCCTTTAGACCTAGTGCACAACTTCACTCTGGGTTCTCACCATTGTCTGGAGTGACTCAAGCCACTGCTTTGCTGTTTTGGGGATATCTGTTGTGTATCCCGTGTATTCCTCTTTTTTATGTTACTGCTTTGTTTTGTATATCTTGTTCTCAGGATCTTCCCCAGAAAAGTGCAAGAGAGGTAAATGTTCTTAGACCTTGCATATTTGAAAATTTCATCATTCTACCCTTACATTGTTTGGCTGGATATAGAATTACCTTTGGAAGTCATTTTGTTTAAGGAATTCAAGGGAATTGCTTTTTGGTCTTCTGACCTCTTGTAGCTGAAGGGAAGTTGTAGCCATTCTAGTTTATTATCATGATCCTGGTTCCAGTATTCTGAAATATAACAGTTGTGTGCTTTGTGTGGGTCTTTTTTTTTTTTTTTTTGCCCATCGTGCTGGGCAGCTAAGTGGGTTTTCAGTCTGGGAATTTGTGTTTTCAGCTCTGGGAAAGTTTTTTGAAAATTTCATTGATAATTTTTCTCCTCTTTCTGACCTTTCTTGGTACTCTTTTATTTGACTATTAGACCTGCTGGTCTGATCCTCAGGTTTTCTTTTTTTTTTTTTTTTTTTTCTTTTTTGCCTTTATTTAGATTTGCTCAGCTTTATTTTCCAACCTTTCCTATTCTTTTTTTTTTTTTTTTTTTTAGATGGTGTTTCACACCGTCACCCAGACTGGAGTGCAGTGGCCCGATCTCGGCTCACCGCAACCTCTGCCTCCTGGGTTCAAGCGATTCTCCTGCCTCAGCCTCCCGAGTAGCTGGGATTACAGGCATGCGGCATCAAGCCTGGCTAATTTTTGTATTTTTAGTAGAGACGGGGTTTCTCCATGTTGGTCAGGCAGGTCTCAAACTCCTGACCTCAGGTGATCCACCTGCCTGGGCCTCCCAAAGTGCTGGGATTACGGGCATGAGCCACTGCACCCGGCCTTCTTTCTAACTTCTTTAAGCTCTTGTCATCTGCATGTTCCCTTTTTCTAGCATTCTATTCTCAGTTCATGGATGTAATTTATTTCTCAGAAGGTGAGATTTATAGTCTTATTGTTTCCAAGTTCCTTTTTTTCTTTCTGTTTTTATTTTGATCCCTATCATGTTAAGTAGCTTTGTTTCGGTTGCTGGTTTTTAAGATAGAAGGACCAAAAGGTTGATTATAAGTTGAGATCTGGCCTGGGTGCTGTGGCTCACACCTGTAATCTCAGCACTTTGGGAGGCTGAGGCAAGAAGATCACTTGAACCCAGGACTTCAAGACCAGCCTGGGCAACATAGGGAGACTCCCTCTCTACAAAAAAAAATAAAAAATTAGATGTGCCTGGTGGCACATACCTGTAGTTCTAGCTACTCTGGAGGCTGAGGCGGGAGAATAGCTTGAGCCCAGGAAATTGAGGCTGCAGAGAGTTGTGATCATGCCACTGCACTCCAGCCTGGGTGACAGAGTGAGTCCTTGTCTCAAAAAACAAAAAACCACAAAAGTTCAGAGTGGCAGGATATGGTGGCTCATGCTTGTAATCCCAGCACTTTGGGAGGCCAAGGCAGTGGATCACTTGAAAGCCCAGGAGTTTGAGACCAGCCTGGCTAACAAAGGAAGAGTCTTGTCCTCATTACTAGTTTCTACCAGTGGGTCTCAACCCTGGCTCCATACTAGGATCCATACTAGTATCATTACTAGTCTCTACCAGTGGGTCTCAACCCTGGCTCCATACTAGGATCACCTACAGAGTTGTTAAAGCATACTGGCACCTGGGTACCATGGTAGACTAATTAAATCAGCACTTTGTTAGTGGAGGCAGAGATCAATATTTTTGAAAAGGTCCTCAGATGATTCCATTGTGCAGCCAGGTCCGAAAACCTCTGTGTATTAAGATACAAAGATAGCATTTACCTAACCCAGTGGTTTTATCTCAAAGTGCAGTTCCTGGACCCAACATTGCCCGGGCTGTTTAATAATGAAGAACTTTCAGCCCCACCCCAGACTTCCTGAATCAGAATCTGAGAGGACAGTAATCTTTTTTAACAACACTCCTCTCCATCCCCATCCTCCATCAGTTCTGATGTGCGCCAATTTTTTTTTTTTTTTTTGAGACGGAGTTTCGCTCGTCTCCCAGGCTAGAGTGCAAATGGCGTGATCTCGGCTCACTGCAACCTCTGCCTCCTGGGTTCAAGCCATTCTCCTGCCTCAGCCTCCCAAGTAGCTGGGATTACAGGAATGCACCACCACACCCGGCTAATTTTTTTGTATTTAGGAGAGACAGGGTTTCACCATGTTGGCCAGGCTGGTCTCGAACTTCTGACCTCAGGTGATCCACCCACCTTGGCCTCCCAGAGTGCTGGGATTACAGGTGTGAACCACCGTGCCCGGCCCACACCAAAGTTTTTGGGAAGCATCGATCTAACCAAGGAAACTCTTAAATGTGTATGTTGTAAGATTTTAAGAGTTAATGTTCTAGCAGTGAGCCAGGAAAACTTTTAATATCCTCAAATATGTTTACTTTCCAGCCATGCTATATAGAACTGTAATCTTTGATGGGTAAAGATCTGAATTGTACCTGTGTTATTCTAAACACCATAATTCTAGACATGCAGACATCAAAAAGCAGATGTAGGTGACCGTGCGGACCAGCGCATACCTTCAGAAGTACGTTTTGTTTTTGTTTTTGGTTTTTTTTTTTTTTGAGACAGGGTCTGGCCCTGTCGCCCAGGCTGGAGTGCACTGGCACCGTCTTGGCTCACTGCAGCCTTGACCTCCCAGGCTCAAGTCCTCCCACCTCAGCCTCCTGAGGAGCTGGGACTACAGGTACGTTCCACCACACCTAGCTAATTTTTTGGTATTTTTTGTAGAGGCAGGGTCTCACCATGTGGCCCAGGCTAGTCTTGAACTCATGCACTCAAGCAATCCGCCCACCTCGGCTTCCCAAAGTGCTGGGATTACAGGTCCGCTAGGCCAGAAGTGGGTATTTTTATCAAAATTCTCAAGTACTCCTTTTCTTGATCTCTTCTGAAAACAAGTACAGCATAATTTGGAGGCACATGTAAAAAGTTTACTACATCAAAGCCAGGCGCGGTGGCTCATGCCTGTAATCCCAGCTCTTTGGGAGGCCGAGGCGGGTGGATCATGAGGTCAGGAGATCGAGACCATCCTGGCTAACATGGTGAAACCCCGTCTCTACTAAAAAATACAAAACAGTAGCCAGGCGTGGCGGCGGGTGCGTGTAGTCCCAGCTACTCGGGAGGCTGAGGCAGGAGAATGGCATGAACCCGGGAGGCGGCTGAGATTGCGCCACTGCACTCCAGCCTGGGTGACAGAGCAAGACTCCATCTCAAAAAAAAAAAAAGTTTATTACATCAAGATGCATGCAATACACTATCTTAAGTCATAGGAGACTTCTTTGTGTGTAATGCAATACACAGGTTAAAAAAAAACAGTGGATTCGGTTTCCTTTAAATGTAGTGCTAATTATTGGTAGAAACTTTTTGAGTTGGTATGTTTTCTTTAGGACAAGTCTTTTCCTCTGGTAGGCAAGAACCACCAGGAGAAAACTACAAGCCATGTGAGGAATAGAGTTAATAAAGAGCAGTGTTCATGGCTCATTTATCTGTATTTACTTAAAACTTTCCTTAAATAATTCTGGGTTAGGAAAAAAGCCCCACAAAATAAAATGAAATATAACAGTTAAATGAGAACTCAATTTTATTTACATCTATTTATTTCCATTCAGTGTATCACATCTTCAGGATAGGTGATAACAGTGTGAAGGGTGTGCTCATTTTCTTCAGCTGTGAGTAGAGGAGTCTTCCCGAGAGTAGCAGTTGTTGATCCAAATGATTGAAGCCTTCAGGTAAGGGAATAACTGCTGCAGGAATTCTTTCTTGAAGAATTTAAGCTGTTTGGTAGGAATTCTGTAACTACATACCTTTGAAACACTATTCACATTCAAATAAACGCTTGTTTTCTAGCCAGGCACAGGCTCAATTAGTTTTTCAAACTCTAGCCAAGGCAGTATTTCATTTGGGAAATCATGCAACAGAACTGCTCAATTCTTAACTTCTCCTGCTGTTAACATTTACACTTAGACTGCCAGCAACAGTTAACTTAAATTTTGGTCTCAAGGGAACAAAAAAAAATTGCATTCAGAATTTAATATAGTATTTTAAAACTAATTTTAGCCTGTAAGTCATTATGAGCAATAGTAACTTTTGTACCTCCTCATCTTGTCTGATAATATATTCTATATGCTGTCAATCTGATTATATAGTCTATATGCTAGAAGTTGCTGATTTTCATTCTGCCACCAAGAAAACTGTACTTTTATTTATGGGAAAAGGATTTAAATACTCCTAGATACTTAAAATTTTTTTAATCTAAAAGTTGATTTTCTCCCAAGAACAATTTTGTTTGCTTTCTACAAAGTTTTAAGTTTAATAAAATGCCGGTAATCACCACTGTTTTCCTCCCCAAAATAAATGCTCTGATCCATATTATATTAGAGTGATACTGTCACTTAGTATTGATATCTTTAATATTTTTTACATCATGAGACATTGTTATGATCTTACCTGATTGTTATCTCAAGGTGAGCTAATCATCTTTATTTGCCTTAAAAAATACTGTACTGGCTGGATATTTAATCTTGTTAGTTTAGTTATACACTTGTTTTAGTCGAGTTTAATTCAAAAGGACTCTTAACAGTATGGTGTAAAACTCAGATTTTCTAGTCCAGACAAATTGCTCTCTATAACGATTTGGCAGATCAATGGAGACATCCGTTTTAACTTTACTGTTCTGTACTTACTATGTAGTCATGTGCAGCTTATCAACACAAAGAATACGGATGAGGGCATTTAAATGGACTACAAGTGACTCTGACTTGTAAACTAGGGAAGCCTCTTGTGTTTGACCTTAAAGGCCAGAGAAAAACTGAAGATAGATTGACTTAACTATTGCCAAGCAGATTATGGGTTACTTTATACTTCCTTTCATTCTCCCAGAATTGCTCTTAGAGCTAGGTGTCGTCATTAGCATGTTGTTGCTAATGATACAAACAAGAACATACATGTAATCAGAGGTGGACAAATCTTCAGAAGTTCCTTAAACTGGTTTAAAAAAGAAGATTGGGAAAGAAGACTAAATCAACATGTTTCTCCGCTTTGAAGATAAAACCAGAAATGGTTTCCATTGTAGCATCTTGACAATAGACAAATATGTAAAGTTTATAGCAGATAAGACAGTATTACTAGTTTTTCAGGGAATTGAGAGTTACAGGTTACTCTGTGTGTGTGTGTGTGTGTGTGTGTGTGTGTGTGTGTGTGTAAATTTCCCGATTTATCACTAGAGTGAGTAACTAACTAACTAACTGCTTTATAAAGCTATCCTGGTATTCATATGCCATATACTACGGAAACAACCAGGCCAATCTCCATTCGATTTCATTTCTCACTTTGTTCACTTGCATATTAATCACGTATTTCCTAAAGTATTATTTAGTAGACCACACCAGCACAATGGTTCCTCCAGCTTTTGGCAGGTGGTCTTACTGTACAGAAGTTATAAATGACACATACAACCTTCCCCTGCTCCCTCCCCATGAGCATGATGCATGTTGTAGTCAGACAGTAACATTTCCATATGTACATGTGCACAAATACATTAAAAACATTTCAGAATTATATAAAATTGTACATTACAGGAAGTAGAACCATAAAGATTATCCTAAATGTAACTACAGAGAAAATGCGTGCAGGGAGAGCCCAGTAAAGTACACAGCCTGTGGGGTATATAATTTTATTTTAAGTTTATATTTCCTGCAGGATAGCAACATACATCTTTTCCTACCCAGAGGCAAAATACATTTTCCAAAAACGTGGACACTGCCCACTGCATTAAGTTTAAAGTGCTCCCTATATATATAGACAGTAAAAGTAAGCAAAGAAACTTACAACACATTCCAATCTTTAATATCTCAAAAATGTTTCCAAGGCAACATTATTAAAATAATTATACCACAGTCCCTAATATAACATCAAGCTCCAGTAGGAAGGTACAGAGAGGGCAGGAAGTTTCCATCCAGTCTGGTTTAGGTGCTCTTCTTTTCTTCACCCAGTAAATTCACGGTAGCTTTCTTCGCTGTTTGTTTGTTAGGAGGGAAAGAAAAATATATCAAAGCTCTTTCTTTGGAATGCAAGCTTGCAAGCTTTGTGCCTAATGTAGCTACTAGATAACAAAACTTGGATGACTCATGTTCAGGTGCGATCATGTTGGGGTTTGTGGTCTGGGCTAAGAGGGTTTCCAGGAAATGGAGAAGGTACCTCTTAGAGCACAAATCCTAAATACTTGAGCAAAATACTTGAAGGTCATCTAGCCTAGCCCCTTGTTGTGACAGTGTCACCGAAACTGTCTGCCCTCTATTCTCCTTTAAGCATTGAAAGAAGCAGAGATTCCTTAAGAGTAGTGTTCAAATTCTATTTGTATCTGTGTGCTTGCCTGTAAGATTTCACTTATCAATATATTATCAATCTGATGACAACTAGGTCATCATATTTATCCCATGGCGACAAATCAGAGAAGTCCTCATTCCCAGCACTAGAAATACAGTCATCCCTTGATATATGTGTTTGGGGGGGGGGGCTGGGGGGGCGGTGGGGGAGAGGAGATTAGTTCCAGGAACCCTACAGATACCAAAATCTGTGAGTGCTCAAGCCCTTAAATAGAATGGCATACATAGTATTTCCATATAACCTATGTGCTTTCATATACTTTATTTATTTACTTATTTATTTTTTGAGACGGAGTCTCGCTCTGTCACCCAGCCTGGAGTGCAGTGGCGCGATCTCGGCTCACTACAGGCTCTGCCTCCCGGGTTCATGCCATTCTCCTGCCTCAGCCTCCCGAGTAGCTGGGACTACATGCACTCACCACCACGCCCAGCTAATTTTTTTTTGTATTTTTAGTAGAGATGGGGTTTCACTGTGTTAGCCAGGATGGTCTCAATTTCCTGACCTCGTGATCTGCCCGCCTTGGCCTCCCAAAGTGCTGGGATTACAGACGTAAGCCACCATGCCCGGCCTCTTCCATATACTTTAAATTCGGCCAGGCATAATGACTCATGCCTGTAATCGCAGCACTTTGGGAGGCTGAGGTGGGAAGATCGCTTGAAGCCAGGAATTTGAGACCAGCCTGGCCAATATGAATGGTGAGACCCCCACCCCCCACCTCTATTTTAAAAAAATTTTAAAAGCCCATCTCTAGTTAAAGTACCTAATGCAACATGAATGCTATATAAATTGTTGTTATACTAAATTGTTTTTAAAATCTGTATTTATACTCTTATTGTGCCACCATTCTCTCCTATGATGAGAAGAGTTTGCTCTAAGTCTTTGAGTTGGTGACAAGACACTACATTCATCAAGAAAACATTCTGTCCAGGTGTGGTGGCTCATGTCTATAATCCCAGAGCTTTGAGAGGCTGAGGTAGGAGTATTCCTTGAAGCCAGGAGTTTGAGATCACCCTGGCCAAAACACAGTGAGAGCCCATCTCTATAGAAAAAAAAGAAAAATATATTTTCTTACTTCTGCAGGAGACCAAGCCTTCCACTTTCTAATTACCAAGTGGCAGGGAATGTGCTATGAGAACCAGTACAGTGTGTAAGATGGAGGGGAAAGGGGTTGTCTAGAAGCCTCCAGGGCCCACTGTGAGATTTTACAATCTGCAGCTGTTCTTGATGGAGCCAGAGCCTTAGTGATGAGAGCCAAGGAGTCCCTTCTTGTCCACCAGCTGCCTGATAGTTGCTCTCCCTTTGCTCAGTTAAAATTACTGAACCAAGTTCACAGCAAAGGAGAAAATGTAGTCCTTCCCTTAACTAACCCTTTGTAGAAATTCCTAGTTAATCCAAAAGCTTTGAGAAAAGTCTAAAATGTGGCAGCATGTAAATTCCTCCTAACTTATTTTAATTCTCTTGCCCCTATTTAGGAATGTGTCATAACAAAGTAAGATTGGATTTTAAGTATTGATATCTAAGAGAACCAAGAGGCTAAGAAATGTGGGTGAAGTAGACAGAAATGACATCACCACAGGTTGCTGATTAGGCTAAGGGAAGGGAGAAGAAAAGAAAGCTCTTAAAAATAAGCTGGTAATCCTGGCTGGGCATGGTGGCTCATGCCTGTAATCCCAGCATTTTGAGAGGCCGAGGTGGGTGGATCACTTGAGGCCAGGAGTTTGAAACCAGCCTGGCCAACATGGCATAACGGTGTCTCTACTAAAAATACAAGTATCAGCTGGGCGTGGTGGCCCACACCTGTAATCACAGCTACTTGGGAGGCTGAGGCAGCAGAATCCCTTGAACCTGGAAGGTGGAGGCTGCAGTGAGCTGAGATCATGCTACTGCACTCCAGCCTGGGCAACAGAGTGAGACTCTGTTTCAAAAAAAAAAAAAAAAAAAAAAAGCTGGCAATCCTAAAGTGGGAGGAGGTTAAGGCTACAAGTTAAAAAATACCTAAAACATATTCAAGTAGACTGGATTTGTATGCCCAAAAATAGGAGTCCAGAGAAGAGAGGTCTGTGAGGGAGAAATGGGGAACATACCACTTCTGGGGCATCAGTGCTGCTGGAGAACTGTCTTGGGATTTTACTTCCCCATGGTCAGGCAACCTCACAACTCCCATGTCTAACTACCACAGAGCTCTAAAACACAAAAACCTTTCTCCAATTTCTAAAATCTGAGTCCCTCTGGAACTCAAGACCCATCACTGGCAAAATCTATATCCTCATCCATTCCTCCGAATGTTTCCTTTACCTTCTTGCTCTTAGAGAAAGCTGGCTGTGCCCTGAGGACACTGCTTTCTCAAGTGGTGGCTGTTTCTTTCCTCTCATGACCCTAGTACAAATGGATCTGGTAGGTGTTGTTTTTGTTCTTCATTGCCACTTTCAGAATCTCATGTCATCAGATTCTATCACTGAGTAGCCTTCCCTTTCCCTGTCATCCCTGACTCTTGGGCTACTTTGCCTTAGTTCTTGAAGATTTTAGCTCCTAACTTAATGTTCCTTTCTAACACTACTCCTATTATTTATTTATTTAGAGACAGGGTCTCACTCTGTCACCCAGGCTGGAATGCAGTGATGCCATCTCAGCTCACTGCAGCCTCAACCTCCAGGCTCAGGTGATCCTCCCATCTCAGCCTCCTGAGTAGCTGGGACTACTGGTACGCATCACCACATCTGGCTAATTTTTGTGTTTTTTTTTTTTTGTAGAGACTGGGTTTCACCATGTTACTCAGGCTGGTCTCAAACACCTGAGCTCAAGCAATCCACCCACCTTGACCTCTGGAAGTGCTGTGATTACAGGTGTGAGCACTGCACCTGACCTACTACTCCTATTTTAATTATTGATGATTTTAATATCCATGTAGACATATGTGATGATCTTCTAATATCCTGACCTCTTAGTTCCTCCCCTCCAATAACCCTTATATTCCACCCTACATATGGCACTGACTCCCAGGATCCCTGTTAGTACCAATACTGCAGTCCCTCCATAATCTTGTATCAAGCATCCCACTCAGCCACCATCACCTTTTATCTTTGTAGTGCACTCCCCACCCTGCTTTTTTGCTCATTGTAGATGATGATGGAGTATTCCCGCTATTATCCTGATTCAGAGTTCTTCCACCACCACTTCCCACCTTACTCAGGTTAAATTCCATTGTCAAGCATTAACCACTCCACAGTCCCACCCTCACTTCATAGTTCTTGCTGGAAATCACAACCTTGACACAACTCTCCACCTACTCTGTAGCTATACCCATGTAGCTGAGTATGGCTGGAGAAAAACATAAACAAGAACTGGTTTCACTATAAATTCATGAACGCAAATCTCAAGCATGCCTTTAACACTGCCTGACAGTCCATTTACTCTCCAACTGTCCTAGAGGGGCCAGCACACTGCAGCCAAACTCGCTTATGTAGTGTCCATGGCTGTTTTCACACTACAATGGCAGAGAAGAGTAGCTGCAACAGAGACATGATAGCCCACGAAATTTAAAACATTTGTTATCTGGCCCTTTACAGAAAAAGATGAGCAGTCCCTCTCCTTCGCAACTATTTCATACCTTCTCTTTCCATTGTCTCCTTCCCCATCCTCTCTCAATTGGCCTTCCTACTTTACTGAGAAATATGAAACAATTAGAAAGTCACTTCTGTAGGCTCCCATAGTCACATGTGCTCACAGCATACCATAAAACCTGATTTCCCTGCTGTTACCATAAACTTCCAGCTCTTCGACCAATCCCTCTACTGTATACTGGATCCTTCACTGGTCAAGGACAGAGCTCCAACAATTCACCCTCTCACTCCTATCATCATTTTTTGCTCTGTTGAATTATTCCCATTAATTTTCAAACAGGCTTTGTTTCTCCTACCTTAAGAAAAAAACTTTTAAAATTTCAGGACCATAATTCCTTCTTCCAGTTATAGCCCCATTCTTCTGCTCTCCTTTGCAGGAAATTTCTCAAAAGAAAGATCTATATTCTCTCATCCCTTTTCTCTCATTCTCTCAAATCCATTGCAATCAGGAGTTTGATATCACTCCACAAAATCTGTGTTATCAAAATCACTAGTACCTTCCTCATTGCTAAATCTGCTCAGTTCTCAGTCCTTATCTTACTTGACCTGTTGACAGCATGTAACATGACAGATCACTTCTCCTCTCTGAAAGAAAAACTTTCTGTTCTTGGCCCCAGGGATACCACACGCTCATGGTTTTCTTGCTACCTCAATTGGCCACTCCTTATCAGTCTGCTTTGCTAGTTGCTTCTCATCTCTCCAGTCTCTAAACCTTAGACTCCCCAGCGTTCAGTCTTTGGACCTCCTGTTTCCTAACTACACTACCTTCGTGATCTCATCTAGTCTCATGCTTAATATGTATAAGCTTGTGGCCCCCAAATTTATATCTCCAGTCCAGACCTGTTTCTTGAACTCTTGACACCTGTATCCAACTAGCTATTTGACTAATCCTTGTAGGTATCTAACAAACAGACACCTCAAACAAATGTCCAGGACTAAATTCCATATCCTCCCACCCACCACAACCTCCCACCCCAACAAAACCTGTTCTACCCAGTCTTCTCCAGCTCAGTGGCAATTTTATCCTTCCATCTGTTCAGGCTAAAAAGCTCGTCCTTGTCCTTAACCCCTCTGACCCATGCCCAATCCATAAGCCAATCCATAAGCAAATCCCATTACTTCTACCTTTGAAATATATCAAGAATCTGATACTTCTTACCCCCTACTGCTACACAAGGAACCAAGCCACCATCATCACCTCCAGCCAGATCACTGCAAGAACCTTTTAACTGTTCTCCCAACTTCCTGCCTTACCCCTTCAGTCTGTTCCTAATACAGTGGCCACAGGCATCTTATTAAAACACAGGACAGATCATTTTGCTTCTGTGGTTAAAAGTCCCCAGTACCTCCACATCTCACATAGAGTAGAAGCCAAACCTTTACAATGGCCTATAAGGCATTATGTGATACGTCTTCCAGCCTCCATTCGCAACTTCTTCCACCTCATCTCCTCCTGCACCCCTCTAGATCACTTCTTTTGTTGCTCCCACCTCCGGACTTCTGTATATGCAGCTCATTCTAAAGTATGATTCCCCATGGTTCCTTCTTTTACCATTTTCTATTTTTTTTTTTTTTTAGGGGGATAGGGTTTTGCTTTGTAACCCAGGCTAGAGTGGCACAGCTCACTTGCAGCCTTGATTACCTGGGCCCAAGTGATCCTCCTGCCTCAGCCTCCTGAGTAGCTGGCACCACAGGCTTGCATCACAACGTCCGGCTAATTTTTAAATTTTTGTAGAGAGCGGGTCTCCATAGGAGACCCTGTCACAAACAAGCTGGTCTCAAACTTCTGGCCTCAAGTGATCTCCTGCCTTAGCCTCCCAAAATGTTGGGATTACAGGCTGAGTCACTGTTCCTGATTCCTTTACTACTATTGAGTCTGATTCAGTAGAGCCTTCTGGTATAGATTTCCTAAACGTCTCTATTTAAAATCATAACCATCCCTCCAGTCCTTGGCCCCCCCCCATCTTTCTACTTGCTTTATTTTTTCCCTATATTATATGGTAAATATACTATCTAATTTTCAATTTTACTGCCTATCTCTCAACTAGACTGTAAGCTTCATGAATTCAAGGAGTATGGTCTCTTCGGTATGCTGGTTCACTGCCAGTGTTATGAACATGCTTGGCACATATTAAACACCTCAATAAATAAATATTTATTGAGTGAATTAATCAGAGCTGAGAGTGGACATTCTTTTGTACCCATAACAAAAACTGAACAGCATACTGAACCGATCAATCTGAACTGAATCAGGCTGGCCGTCAGGGCCTCCAAAGTACTGCTTCTGTCTGGTCAGCCTGCTGCTACAGCCTTGGCCAGCTAGGCCCTGCTGCTCATGGTGCCAGCCCAGAGAGGAGCCAGCCAGGAGATGGTGAGTGCTGTGGGGGTGGGGAGCCCCAAGGAGAAGGCACTGAGGAGGAAAAACAGGATTAGCAGCTCAAACTGCCAGAGACAGAAAGCAAGCTCAAATGAGTGACCTGAAACAGCAAGTGGTAGATTTAGAACAGAACCAAAAACTTTTGCTAGAAAATCAGTTTTTACAAGAGAAAATGCATGGACTCGTAGTTGAGAACCATGAGTGAAGACAGCACTTGGGGATGGATGCTCTGGTTACTGAAGAGGAGGCGAAAGCCAAGATAATTCCATCTATTTGATGCTTGACATCCCTAACTAGGCAGATGAGGGTAGAAGTTAGTTGTGGTGGGGTTGGAAGTAAACATCAACTACCTTCCCAGTATGATATCCTGTTGGGCATTCTGGACAACTTAGACCCACTAGTGTTCTTCAAATGTCCTTCCCCAGGGTCTGCCAGCCTGGAGCAGCTCCCAGAGGTCTACTCAGAAGGACCCAATTCCTAACCAGCCTCCCTTTCTCTGTCAGTGGGGACATTATCAGCCAAGCTTGAAGCTATTAATGAACTAATTAATTTTGACTACATATATGCCAAGCCCGTAGTCTGAGACAGAGAGCCAAGCTAATGCGGTAGTGAAAATCAAGGAAGCACCTCTCAGCCTTTTAGAGAATGATCACCCAGAATTCGTGGTCTCAGTGAAGGAAGACTTTGTGGAAGATGACTTCATTCCAGACCTGGGTATCTCCAATCTACTTCCATCCAGCCACTGCCCGAAGCCATCTTCCTGTCTACTGGATGTTTACAGTGACTGTGGGTATGAGGGCTCCCCTTTCCCCTTCAGCGACATGGCCTCTCCACTTGGTGCAAACCATTCTAAGGAGGAGACTGGCCAATGAACTCTTTCACCAGCTGGTTAGTGTCTAAGGAGTGATCCAATACTGTTGCTCTTTTCCTTGACTATTACACTGCCTGGAGGATAGCAGAGAAGCCTGCCTGCGCTTCATTCAAAACGTCACAGAGTGTACAGTCCTAGAGAATTCCCCTATTTACCTGTTTAAACGTCATAGATAACCCCAAGTATTGTCTTTTGGCATCCAGCAGTCCAAGGTATTCGATATGTTACAATTCAGAACTATAGGTTTTGAGGTTGTACTTTTTCTAAAGAGTGGTAGTTTGCCCTAAATATTTATTATGTGAGGGTGATTAGACAAGTGTCTTAGAGTAGACATGGAATTCATGAATGGCTCTTTATCATTTCTCCTCCCGCTTTTTGGCATCCCAGGCTTGTCTCTAGTTTTAGGTCCTTTAGTTTTCTTCTGCAAGTGGAGAGAACACATACCTGAGGGGGCTCTTTTCCCCTCATGTACAGTTCAAGTAAAGATCAAGAATTTTTTGTAAAATTATAGAAATTTACTACGTAAATGCTTGATGGAATTTTTCCTGCTAGTATAGCTTTTGAAAGGTGCTTTCTCCATTTATTTAAAACTACCTATGTAATTAAGTATAATACAAAAAAATTAAATAAACAATTAGAAGAGATGGACTTGCATATCAATATAGATGATTCTCTAAAATCGCTGCCTACCAAGGAAAGTCATTTTTCCTAATGTTCTGACTGAAGGCTACATTAAATGTGGCATGGAGGAAGAGTCTTGGGAAAAGTCGAGAACTGTAAGTGTTCTCAATAGGCAAAGACTTTGTAAAGAAATCCCAGAGTAATGTTGGCATTTGGCTGAGGGGTGGTGATAAGACAAGAAGGCCAGGAAGCCTGTTATTTGAGCCCAGTGTGTCACATCTCCTCTCACATGTGGGGCCATCTTGTTCCTGAGTCTTACCTTCTTTAGTGATGGCATCTGCAGTCTCTTTGGCCTTGTCTTTAAGGTCCTTGACCACACTGTCCATCTGGGACTCGTGCTTCAGGAAGAAAGGACGGATGATGCGCTTGTAGAGCAGTTCAGCCCCATTAGAAGGGCTCGGGGCCATGCACCACAACAGGAAGCCACACTGCACAGAAAAAGAGCCAGCATGGGTAACAGGAGGGTGGAGGGGGCACATTCTGAGAATACACACTGTCTTTCACTACTCTGGGGATGGGAGATGCCTCTGTTATTTTCCCCAAAGGCATTACCAGTGTTTTCTGCAGGTTAAAGGTGGGCTTTCTTTAGATGGAAAAAACATGATGAGTAATGAGCTGGTAAGGAAAAGCTGAGACTAAAAAACAAAAGGTAAAACACACCAGGTCCAGGAGCTTAACTATCTTCCTAACTTGGACCACGTTTTAGTATATAGCTGTAAGAGGCTTTTATTAATCATAACTCTTAGAAATCAATTTAAGAAAATATAGTACTTATCTGCATGTATAAAGCCCTGTACAGATAAGCCTAATATCTAGGAGGCCTGTGCTTGGTAGGCTTATCTTGGTAAGTTTATCACATTTATTCATCCTATTATGGAAAAAATACCTTGTCCATTCCTGAATTCTTCCTTTGGTGGACCTCAGTTTTGGGTAGATCTTAGCCTTCAAGGAATCTTTACAGTTGTTCTTCATCTTTCATCTTGAATGTAGTTATTATTCCTAACTCCTTCTTTACAGCTCTACTTTGCCATTGAGATTTTTTTTTAATTGACAAGAATTCTGCCCTAATTACTTAAATAAGGATTTTCACACTATGTCCAAAAAATTTTTACTGTTGATTCAAATAATAAATACCAACTCGTCACTTCAAGTCATCCATGCAATTTACTCCTTTTTAAGATAAAAAGAAAAGCAGAAGGAAAAGGAATATTCAGAGTAATCTGCCCATTTCCCTAGAAAGTTTAATAAACAATATACTGAGTTATTTTAGTTTAAAAGATTCTAACCACATTGTATTCCACACAGCCTAGGTGACTCTACAAAAAAACAGAAGTCACTTACAGAGATTCCAAATCAGTATTTTTTACAACTTCTCCTTAGTGTAAAAACATCTTAATTTCTCATGCTTTAAATTTAAGTCTTAGTCCTTATGATTCCAAACCAAGGGATGTACTCATAATCAACAAGCTATGATGGTTTTCTAAGACAGTCTTTCAGGTGTTTTAGAGATACAAAGCTGATAAAGGGCTAACACTAATGACAAGAGTTTCAGTTTAAAATGCACAAATAGCTCACTCCATCAGCACCATGTTGGCTCTGAGAAATTTATACTAGACTTTGAACTTGTATAACACTCAAAATAAAAAACAAAACCCAAGTTCTCAACAATATCTCCAGATTATTCTTTCTGAGAGTCTTGCTCTGTCACCCAGGCTGGAGTGCAGTGGCATGAACATGGCTTACTGCAGCCTTGAACTCCTGGGTTCAAACAATCTTCCCACAGCCTCCCAAGTAGCTGGGAATGACTGCAGGCATGAACCACCAGGCCTGGCTAATTTTTTATAACTTTTTTTTGTAGAGACAAGTGTCACAATGTTGTCCAGACTCCCCTTATCTCAACTACAGTAAAAAGTAACTCTTGAAATGTAACCTTTGTGAATTAAAATTTGTTACACATGCACAAGAGTTTTTAAGACAGAGACTTGCTAGGCATGGTGGCATGCACCTGTAGTCCCAGTGACTTGGGAGGCCAAGGTGCAAGGATTGCTTGGGCCCAGGAGTTGGAGACTGACATGGTTTAGCTGTGTCCCCACCCAAATCTCATCTTGAACTGTAGCTCCCATAATTCTCATGTGTTGTGGAAAGGACAGGGTGAGAGATAACTGAATCATGGGGGTGGTTTCCTGCCATACTGTTCTCATGGTAGTGAATAAGTCTCACGAGATGTGATAGTTTTATAAGGAGTTTCCCCTTTCGCTTGGGCTCTCATTCTTTCTTGCCTGCCGCCACCATGTAAGACATCCCTTTGCTTTTCCTTCATCTTCCACCATGATTGTGAGGTCTCCACAACCATGTGGAACTGTGAGTCAATTAAACCTCTTTCCTTTATAAATTGCCCAGTCTCGGCTATGTCTTTATTAGCAGCATGAGAACAGACAAATGCAGAGACCATCCTGGGCAACAGAGCAAGAGCTCATCTCAAAAACAAAACAAAACCCAGACACTATAGGACTAAATTTTTTATAAAACCCCAAAACTATAGCTGTATGCTTAAGAAACATACCTACAACAAAACCAAATAGGAACACTGAAAATAAAGTTATGGGAAAGATATATCAGACAAACACCAACTCCCAAAATAGCTCATTAGCAATATTAATACATACAAATTACTTAAGGCAAAATAAGTAAATAGGATGATAAAGAAGGAAAGCAATTCACCAAGAATATTAAAATTCCTGAACTTGTATATACCTTTGAAATACGTAAATTATATCTAACTTTGCATATGTTTGCAATAGAATTATTTTTATAATTATATATTTATATATAGCTATAGATAGCTTTCAAATATGGCTTTGAAATATTTAAATGTAAGTCAGAATTATATAGACAAATGGACAAAATCTGCAATCATAGATTTTAACATTTCCATCAGAAATTGATATACTAGCCAGGCTTACACCTGTAATCCCAGCACTTTGGGAGGCTGAGGTTGGAGGATCACATGAGCCCAAGAGTTTTGAGACTAGCCTGTGTAACATAGGGAGACCACATCTCTAGGAAAAAAAAAATTTTTTTTTTTTTTTGAGACTGATTCTTGCTCTCTTACCCAGGCTGGAGTGCTGTGGCACAATATCAGCTCACTGCAACCTCCGCCTCCCGGATTCAAGCGATTCTCCTGTCTCAGCCTCCCAAGTAGCTGGGACTGCAGGCAAACACCACCATGCCCAGCTAATTTTTGTATTTTTAGTAGAGACGGGGTTTCACCATGTTGGCCAGGCTGGTCTTGAACTCCTGACCTCAAATGATCCACCCCCATCGGCCTCCCAAAGTGCTGGGATTACAGGCGTGAGCCACCGCACCCGGCCACAAAAAATAAATTTAAAATTAGCCAGGCTTGGTGATGTATGCCTGTGGTCCTCCTGGGAGGTTGAGGTGGGAGGGTGGCTTGACCTTGGGAGGTCGAGACTGCAGTGAGCTGTGATACCATCACTGCAATCCAGGCTTGGTGAGACAGCAAGACCCTGTCTCAAAAAGACAAAAAAAAGTTGATATATAAAACAACCTAGAAATTAGTAAGAATACAGAATAAAGAACACAAAATTTAAGTCTTTTTTTTTTTTTAAATAAAAAAGGGTTTCACTTTGTCACCCAGGCAGGAGTGCAGTGGCACAAATACAAAACACTATAGCCTCAACTTCCTGGGCTCAAGTGATTCTCCCGCCTCAGCCCCCCAGGTAGCTGAAGACCACAGGCATGCAGGCACGCACCATCACGTCTGGCTAATTTTTGTACTTTTTGTAGAGATGGGGTTTCGCCATGTTGGCCGGGCTGGTCTCGAACTCCTGACCTCAAGTGATCCACCCATCTCAGCCTCCTAAAGTGCTGGGATTACAGGTGTGAGCCACTGCACCTGGCCTAAAATCTCACTCTAAAGATATATACAGATCTCTCAACCCAACAAAGAGGGATTCAAAGAGTTAATATAGTATATAGAGAGTAACAGGATGGACTCAAAGAAACTAACTTCCAATCCTGGTTCTGCCATTTACTAGCTAAGCAAACCTTATACAAGTTACTTAATCACTTAAGTCTGGTTTTTCCTCTATAAAATAGGTATTAATTGAAAATTTTAAAATTTACCCCTATAATTTTGTAAGAAAATAAAATTACTAAGCATAGCAAGGACTTTCTCTGACCCAAGAATACTGTGTTTTCTAACAACATCTATGAAACATTACTAACAGGAGAACATGTTAGCTTTCAGTAGGGGAAAGCAAATCCTAGAACCAAAAATATTTAAGCAAATATTTATTTTTATTTTTTATTTTTGAGACAGAGTCTCACTCTGTCACCCAGGCTGGAGTGTAGTGGCACAGTCTTGGCTCACTGCAACCTCTGCCTCCTGGGTTCAAGCAGTTCTCCTGCCTCAGCCTCCCAAGTAGCTGGGATTACAGGCACGTGCTACCAAGCCTGGCTAATTTTTTTATTTTTAGTAGAGATGAGTTTTTGCCATGTTGGCCAGGCTGGTCTCAAACTCCTGGCCTCAGGTGATCCGCCCATTTCGGCCTCCTAAAGTGCTGGGATTACAGGAGTGAGCCACCGCACCTGGCCATAAGTAAATATTTTAGAACTCTCCTTTTAGTACATGAAATGAAATTCAAATTTATGATATACTTAATTACAAAAAAAGTCTAACTGCAATATAAAGGAGAAACAAAATGAAAGTAATTTGTAATATATATAAGTATGCAAACAAAACAATACTAGAAAACATAAAATATTCATAAGTAGAATCACTGACAGTGGCAGCTATGAACAAAATCTTCCATATATTCCCATAGGTTAAGAATGTCTGAGGGGTCAGGCGGTGCTGGCAAGATGGCTGCACTTGAGAAGATGACGTTTCCCAAGAAGATGACATTTCCAGAGAAACCAAGCCACAAAAAGTACAGGGCCGCCCTGAAGAAGGAGAAACGAAAGAAACGTCGGCAGGAACTTGCTCGACTGAGAGACTCAGGACTCTCACAGGAGGAGGAAGAGGACACTTTTATTGAAGAACAACAACTAGAAGAAGAGAAGCTATTGGAAAGAGAGAGGGAAAGATTACATGAGGAGTGGTTGCTGAGGGAGCAGAAGGCACAAGAAGAATTCAGAATAAAGAAGGAAAAGGAAGAGGCGGCTAAAAAATGGCTAGAAGAACAAGAGAGAAAGTTAAAGGAACAATGGAAAGAACAGCAGAGGAAAGAGAGAGAAGAGGAGGAGCAGAAACAACAGGAGAAGAAAGAAAAAGAGGAAGCTGTGCAGAAGATGCTGGATCAGGCTGAAAATGATTTAGAAAATAGTACCACATGGCAAAACCCAGAACCACCCGTGGATTTCAGAGTAATGGAGAAGGATCGAGCTAATTGTCCCTTCTACAGTAAAACAGGAGCTTGCAGATTTGGAGACAGATGTTCACGTAAACATAATTTCCCAACATCTAGTCCTACCCTTCTTATTAAGAGCATGTTTACAACGTTTGGAATGGAGCAGTGCAGGAGGGATGACTATGACCCTGACGCAAGCCTGGAGTACAGCGAGGAAGAAACCTACCAACAGTTCCTAGATTTCTATGAGGATGTGTTGCCCGAGTTCAAGAACGTGGGGAAAGTGATTCAGTTCAAGGTCAGCTGCAATTTGGAACCTCACCTGAGGGGCAATGTATATGTTCAGTACCAGTCGGAAGAAGAATGCCAAGCAGCCCTTTCTCTGTTTAACGGACGATGGTATGCAGGACGACAGCTGCAATGTGAATTCTGCCCAGTGACCCGGTGGAAAATGGCGATTTGTGGTTTATTTGAAATACAACAATGTCCAAGAGGAAAACACTGCAACTTTCTTCATGTGTTCAGAAATCCCAACAATGAATTCTGGGAAGCTAATAGAGACATCTACTTGTCTTCAGATCAGACTGGCTCCTCCTTTGGCAAGAACTCCGAGAGGAGGGAGAAGATGGGCCACCACGACCACTACTACAGCAGGCAGCGGGGAAGGAGAAACCCTAGTCCAGACCACACCTACAAAAGAAATGGGGAATCCGAGAGAAAAAAGAGTAGTCATAGGGGGAAGAAATCTCACAAACGCACATCAAAGAGTCGGGAGAGGCACAATTCACCAAGCAGAGGAAGAAATAGGCACCGCAGCTGGGACCAGGGCCGCCGGAGCCAGAGCCGCAGGAGCCACCGCAGCCGGAGCCAAAGTTCCTCTAGGTGCCGAAGTCGTGGGAGGAGGAAGTCGGGTAATAGAGACAGAACTGTTCAGAGTCCCCAATCCAAATAAACTAGTTTTGTTCTTAAAAAAAAAAAAAAAAAAAAAAAGAATGGACCAGGCCAGGTATAGTGGCTCACACCTGTAATCCCAGCACTTTAGGAGGCTGAGGTGGGTGGATCACTTGAGGTCAGGAGTTTGAGGCCAGCCTGGCCAACATGGCAAAACCCCATTTCTACTAAAAATACAAAAATTAGCCAGGTGTGGTGGCAGGCGTCTGTAATCCAAGCTACTTGGGAAGCTGAGGCAGGAGAATCGCTTGAATCTGGAAGGCGGAGGTTGCAGTGAGTCGACATCATGCCACTTCACTCCAGCCTGGGTGACAGAGCGAGACTGTGTCTCAAAAAATAGAATTTTTGGACTAGTGGAACTACACAGCCTGCTTTCCATATCAGACCATTCAATCCAATGGGATTCACTGCCATAATCTCCATGTTATGATTTTAAGCCAGGCCTCTCTTCACCTTTCCTATTCCTTACATTTAAAGACTCCAAAGCTTGTTTACTGAGCACAGATCTTGGAAAACAGGATCTTCAGACTTGGGAAAGCATGACAGTAGATGATGGAAAGGTAAAGACTCAGACTAGCATCTAGTAGTCTCGCTACACATGGATAGTAATGCTACGTGCATGAATGTGCAATCATGCAAAAACTCAAATCAGCCTTCTGCACACACACAATGGTAGACTAAGACCTTCTGTTAAAGGTCCAAGCACTCCAAGGAAGCCAGCGCCTTGAGGTACCCTCAGTATGTGCAAGTAGTTCGATGTTACTCTTAGTTTTCCCAGCAACTCTGCTCTAGCATGCCCTAAGTTTAGCCAGCAGCAGATCTTACTGAATTATAAGATGTTGCCAGAGGTTCAGAACCTTGGTTTTTTTGAGATACGCATTTGCATTGACCCAAAATGGAGAATTAAATGACTGTATTTTTCACTGGCATTAGCTTTGTTTCCTTGGCATAGTGCCAGTTAATTACAGCAGACCCTGCAAGACCACCTCTCTAGTTATTTCCCTGTGGAAGCCTTTTGGTTGGTTTTGTTTTTTTGGTTTTTTTTGTTTTTTTTTTTTTTTTGAGACGGAGTCTTGCTCTGTTGCCAGGCGGGAGTGCAGTGGCGTGATCAGCTCACTGCAACCTCCGCCTCCCAGATTCAAGTGATTCCCCTGCCTCAACCTCTCGAGTAGCTGGTACTACAGGCGCATGCCACCGTGCCCAGCTAATTTTTTGTATTTTAGTAGAGACAGGGTTTCACCATGTTGGCCAGGATGGTCTTGATCTGACCTCGTGATCTGCCCACCTTGGCCTCCTAATGTGCTTAGGATTATAGGCGTGAGCCACTGCACCCTGCTGCCTTTTGGTTTTTAATATCCAAAATTCATACAATGTTTTACTGTAGTTGCTTATATAGGAAAAGCTATACATCCCCAAAATGCAATACAACATTATGATATGCAGGAAATGTCTTGAGTAACATTTTTGACAGAATATCAGAATCCTTGGTGGACATTTTGAAGAATATGCAGAGCATCACAGGGGATGTGCTATGTATTCCTGCACACAGAGCAATTGTTACTTACTATATTAACTATTTGGAGAGCAGCAAGTGTTTTTAGCATCTAACATCCTAACATGATATTTGTTATATATAGGTATTTTGCTGTATTTTATTAATACTTAGTGAATTCGTTGAGTTTTACATTGACATGTAATACATTAAAATTTTTCCCACTTAAAATAGTGGAAAATAAGCTTCTGCATAGAATGTATTCCTACATAGAATATCTGATTTTCAGAAATGGATTATCAAGAGAGAGACAGATGTCCATATTAAAACCAGAGCATTAAGGTGAAGTGAAAATGACTCATTGGATTAAGAATCAGGAGAGGTGGGGCTGGGCGCAGTGGCTTACGCCTGTAATCCCAGCACTTTAGGAGGCCGAGGCAGGTGGATCACGAGGTCAGGAGTTCGAGACCATCCTGGCCAACATGGTGAAACCCTGTCTCTACTAAAATTAGAAAAAAAATAGCCGGGCATTGTGGTGGGCACCCGTAGTCCCAGCCACTCAGGAGGCTGAGGCAGGAGAATCACTGGAACCCAGGAGGCGGAGGTTACAGTGAGCTGAGATTGCGCCACTGCACTCCAGCCTGGCGACAGAGCGAGACTCTGTCTCAAAAAAAAAAAAAAAAAAAAATCAGGAGAGGTGGGGTGTGTTTTATGACTTTAGGCAAATCAACCTAAGAGACAGTTTTCTCTTCTGCAGAGTTTTAGGAAAGTCACAAATTAATGTACTTGAAGAAAGTGTACAATAGAATAGTAGTATTACCAAATCCTAAAGTTCTTATTGTGGAAAATCTCTGAAATATTACCTGCCTATGTAGATGCCAACCCTTCAGCAATCCAGACAAGCTTATTATCTTTTCTGGATGAATTAAGTGTCCACAGTTTTGTACCTCTTCAATGTGATTACTTTGTAGGCTAGACTGCAGACTGTTAATTGACTACTTTCTGGTACCCTCTAGCTATTGTCTTGAGACAGTAAAATAATTACTGCTCTCTAGCTACATCCTTAGCATTTTCCTGTTCTGAAATGAAATCATTTTCTTATGTTAAAAATAAAGTTAATTACTGTTCAACTCCCAAGGTGATATTCAGCTGCCACCTCTTACAACCCTCTCTTCTTAATCTGTGTAACTATTCTACAGCCCAGGAATAGCCTGAGTTTATTAAAGTCACCCACACAGATCTGGCTCTTTTCAATCAAGCTGCCCTCAAAGTGCCAGCTGATGATACTCCCAAGGAGACTCACAAGCCCACTGCTGCCTGCAGTTCAGACAGAGTCCATGCTATTTTAACTGGACTCTTGGCACTATTAGCACTGACACAATGACTCCTTAAATTACGAATTACAACAGGCCATTCTATTCCGTCTGTGCTTCTAATGCTGTCACCATGTGATTTTCCCCCAGAAGAGATATTTCCCAGGTAGGGGTATGCTTAACATGCAGTTACGGAACTGAGAGTTAATGTCAGAAGAAAGCTTTTGCAGTGTAGCCACAGAATAGTTACAGGCTACATTGCTCAGCATGCACAAATAAAAGCTTAAAAGAACGTGTTAAAGGAAAGATTTCCCTGTCTTTTTAGCCTCCTACGAACATTAAGAAGAAAAATGTTGCGAGGCACAGTGGCTTACGCCTGTAATCCTAGCACTCTGGGAGGCTGAGGTGTCCAAGAGGATCACCTGAGGTCAGGAGTTTGAGACCAGCCTGGCCAACATGGTGAAACCCCATCTCTACTAAAAATACAAAATTTGCCTAGCGTGGTGGTGGGCACCTGTAATCCCAGCTACTTGGGAGGCTGAGGCAGGAGAATTGCTTGAATGCGGGAAGTACAGGTTGCAGTGAGCAGAGATCACGCCACTTCACTCCACTCCAGCCTGAGTGAAATAGCGAAACTCCATCTCAAAAAAAAGAAAAAAGAAAAGAAAAATGTTATATTCTCTGTCAATGGGTGAAATAGCACAGGTGACAATTCAGGTCAGGACCTAATCTTGCCAGAGTTTACTCAACCTTGTTCTAAAAATAAATCTAGCCAGGCCTGGTGGCTCACGCCTGTAATTGCAGCACTTCGGGAGGCTGAGGTGGGTGGATCACAAGGTCAGGAGTTGAGACCAGCCTGGCCAACATGGTGAAACCCCGTCTCTACTAAAAATACAAAAATTAGCCGGGCGTGGTTGTGCACCTGTAGTCCCAGCTACTCGGGAGGCTGAGACAGGAGAATCACTTGAACCTGGGAAAGAGGTTACAGTGAGCAGAGGTCACGCCACTGCACTCCAGCCTGGGCGACAGAGCAAGACTCCGTCTCAAAAAAAGTAAAGTAAATCTAGAAAATGATTTAAATGAAGGTAAACAGAGGATACAAAGATATTAATTGCAGCATTATGTATAATCGCATGACAAATGTCCTCAATGTCTTTCAATTGGGAAGTAGGTAAATTATCAATAACATTAGATAGCTATGTCAAAAAATACTGAATAACATGAGAAAATACTCAGAATACTGTGTTAATTGAAAAAAGCAAGACACAGAATTATATATCATATGTGATCTAAGCCACACATATGTTAAGACAGCAATACATACATATATATATACACATACACACAGAGTTCTGTTTTTATTTATATACACAGACCAATATATTTGCACATTTTAAAAAATAGGAAGACTACTCTAAGATGTAGGATTACAAATGTTATTTTCCTCCCTACATAAAACACATCCCATCACACACACACACACACACACACACACACACACACACACACACAAATGTAAACAGTAGGACAACAAGGACTTTGTTTTATTCGCCAAAGTATCTCCCAGATGTAGAACAGAATCTGGCACATGGAGGTTCTAAATAAATCTGCTGAATAAAGGAATGAGCATATGTAAATTTCATAATCAAGAAAAAAAGCTTTTAAATTTATTTTTAAACCCTCTTGCTCAAGGCCAGATGTCAGAGCAAAGCTCAGAATATGCATGATCCAATTTCTACCTAAATACATCATATATTATCTTCTCAACTAAGCTTTGATGCCAAGCCATTGGCTCCTTTTATTTTCCTCCAATCTTATCAGCTGCTTTAGAAAAATGAAAATAAAGCCAACAATATTAACTCTGCAAAAAATAAAATATTAAACATGTCCTCGGGCTGGGAGCAGTGGCTCACACCTGTAATCCCAGCATTTTGAGAGGCCGAGGCGGGCAGATCACTTGAGGTCAGGAGTTTGAGACCAGCCTGGCAAACACGGCGAAACCCCATCTCTACTAAAAATACAAAAATTAGCTGGGTGTGGTGGTGCGTGCCTGTAATCCCAGCTACTTGGGAGGCTGTGGCAGGAGAATCGCTGGAACTGGAGAGGCAGTGGTTGCAGTGAGCCAAGATGGCACCACTGCACTCCAGCCTGGGTGACAGAGCAACACTCTGTCCCAAAAAACAAAAAACAAAACAAACCCATGTCCTTACTTGTAAGTCTCTTTCCCACACTTCCAGTCAGCATGCGATTGCAACAGCATAGGTAAGATGGATTCTAGTCCCTAAAATTCAATACTCTCCTGAACCTTCTCCTACAGACGAGACTCTGCAATTCAGAGGCCTCTTCTCAGTCTGTTCACTAGGTCATTCAGAGTATGCCACTAATGTAGGAAGAAAGTATTTTGATTGACAGCATCATGAATGTTTAATCCTTTCAAGTATGTTATCTATTTGGAATGTATGCAATAAATTCACTTTCATGAACACTATGATGCCATGCAGCTGGAGACTACTAATGGATGCACATTCATTTTACCATTAGGGAAGAAAGTCTGCTACAAAGCAATATTTTAAATGAACTTCAAAACCAAATATAAATGATTCAGTGACTACCATTTATTTTGGATCTTCTCTCTACCTCTCTGTGAACTCCATTAGCAGAGGTGATTAGGAGTAGGCTAGAAGTCAAGCTTGCTCACATTTGGAAGTCTGAGGTCAGAACTACTGCAAGTAGTTCTGCTGACAAGATAGTGTTCACTGCCACAAGCAAGTGGGCCCAAAGCAAAAGCCAATTTCTTTCCACTAAAGACTACTGTGAGGTCCCTACGATTAGATGGATCTTATTAAGGGCTTTAAAATTATCTGAAGTTTAAATTATGTCATGTCCAAATTAAAGATTGTAAGAATATTTTTATAAATGTTAAATGACTTTGAATAATAAAAACAAAAAAATCCAATCTTTGAAATCAACTCTTTCCACAGACCAATTTTTATTTTCTTCCATCAGTTTTGAAAGGAAAATTCTTAATTGCCTTACAAGGCATTCTGTGGTGAAGTCATTCAAAAATATAAAAGAATCTATACTGAGCATGTTTTCATTTAATTTTTTAAACTTTAAAAGACACTCACTTCATATAGTGTCTTGTCTTTTTTCTTTTTTAACCATAAATGGTGTGATACTGTATTTAATGTTCTATTACTTTTTTTCTTTTTCGAGACAGGGTCTCACTCTGTCACCCAGGCTAGAGTGCAGTTGGGTGATCATTGCTTATTGTAGCCTTGAACTCCTGGGCTCAAACCATCCTCCCACCTCAGCCTCCTGAGCAGATGGGACCACAGGCATGCACCACCATGCCTGGCATTTGTTTTTTGGTTTTCGGTTTTTTTTTTTTTGGTCAACATGCTGTGATCTGGGAGCCTGGTTAATTTTTAAATTTGTGTGTGTGGAGACAGGGTCTCACCATGTTGCCCAGGATGGTGTCAAACTCCTGGCCTCAAGCAGTCCTTCTGCCTTGGCCTCCGAGTATGCTGGGATTACAGGCAAAAGCTAGCACAACTGTCCTGTATAACTTTTCATAATTACTAAATTATGCAAAAATTTCTGGGTCTGTACATATGGATCTATTTCATTCCATTTAACTGTATGGATATACTATTAATTGAATGAACCATTTACCTGCTGATGGACATTTCTGTTTATAATGTTTACATTATGCAGTTCATATTATATACAGTTGACAACAAAAAATGCTGCCATGAATATCTTTGTGCAGCTCTTTAATGCACAGTGACTATTTCCTTAGAATTGTTAAGAGTATCATTTTTCAATTCAACAAGAAATGGTTAAAAGGTCCCTTAAAAAGGTTATTCAAGTTTATACCACTAGGCTGTTAAGTATCCCTTATGTGAAATGCTTGGGACTAAAAGTGTTTCGGGTTTCACATTTATTCAGATTTTGGAATATGTACATTATACCAACTGAGCATACCAAATCAGAAACTCTAAAATCTAAATGCTCCAATGAGCATTTCCTTTGATCATTATGTGGGCACTCAAAAAGTTTGGGGTTTTAAAGCATTTAGGATTTCCAATTTCAGATGTTCAGCCTGTACCATTACATGTCCATTTCCCTATACATTCACCAATACCAGATATTTTCAATCTTTAAAATATCTGCCAGTTTAATGAACAAAATATGGGATTTCACTATTTTAACTCACACTTCCCACATCACTGGTGAGCTGTTTACTAGCCATTCATATTTTTTCTCTTCCGTGAAATACTTAACTTAGAACCTTTTCCCATTTTCTTTTTCTTTTTACTTATGGAAATTGTTATGTATTCTGGATATTCCTTATTTGGTGTAAATGTTGTAAATCTATCTTCCTAGTCTGTCATTATTTTAACTTTGTTTATGCTGCCCACTGTCATATAGAAATTTAATTTTTAGAAATTTTTAGTTGAATTTATCAAATCTTTTTCTTTGAAACTTTTGTATTTTGTCTTGCTTCTATACCTCAAAGTTAAAAAATATTGTCCTCTACTTTTTTCTAAAACAGAGGTTTTGGCATAAAAGTCCTGTCTTTGCAAATCACTCAGGAAAACAGGTGGACACTAACTAAAGGCAGTTACTTCCCTACCCCTCCTGCTCCAACCCCTAGAGCTGTGAACTATAACCCAGGATCACTTCCTTTTGATGCTGCTTTGCTGGGGTAGAAGGGGACTGTACAGTGAAGCTTTGACCTGAGGAGCTCTTCTGTAGGTGAAGAGTGGTTAACTATGGTTCCTGTGTGCCTGGGGCCCCCCACTCCTAGGACTCATCCACCCCCTACCCAGAACTTACTAGTACTAGCATGGACTGGGGCCCCCTCCATTCCAGTGCCTGATGGGATAGCTGATACTCATGGATGAAAAGCAGTTTGTAGGCTAAAATAAAAAGATATTTTAAGAATATATTTCTTTTTTTTTTTTTAGAGATGGAGTCTGGCTCTGTTGCCTAGGCTGGAGTGCAGTAGTGTGATCTCGGTTCACTGCAACCTCTGCATCCCAGATTCAAGCAGTTCTCCTGCCTCACCTCCTGAGTAGCTGGGACTACAGGTGCACTCTGCCACACCCAGCTAATTTCGTTTGTATTTTAGTAGAGACAGGGTTTCACCGTGTTGCCCAGGCTGGTCTCGAACTCCTGAGCTCAGGCCATCTGCCCGCCTCGGCCTCCCAAAGTGCTAGAATTGCAGGCATGAGCCACCACGCCTGGCCAAGAGTACATTTCAAAAGAAAAACAACACAATCAACTACAAGTTTTGGTCAGGAGCAACAATATTAGAACTGCTGACCAAGAATTTTAAACTGGGGAGCGGTAACCATACTAAAAGAAATGAGAAAATATTAGCAATATGAAACAAGGACAAGAAGAAGAGAGCCAAGCAAAAACATTAGGTGTGAACAATATAATAGTTGAAATGAAGAACACGGTATATAGCAGGAATAACAGAATGGTTATAATGTAATCATGGAGTACAGTTGAAAATTAGATGGTCAGATTGAGTCCGGGCACGGTGGCTCACGCCTGTAATCCCAGCACTTTGGGAGGCCGAGGTGGGTGGATTGCTTAAGGTCAGGAGTTCGAGAGCACCCTGGCCAACATGGTGAAACTCTTTCTCTACCAAAAAAAATACAAAAATTGACCAGGCGTGGTGGCACATGCCTGTAATCCCAGCTACTCGGGAGGCTGAGGCAGGACAATCACTTGAACCCAGGATGCGGAGGTTGCAGTGAGCGGAGATTGTACCATGGCACTCTAGCCTGGGCAACAGACCAAGAGTCCATCTCAGAAAAAAAAAAAAGGAGGTCAGATTGAGAAATCTCCCAGAAGAAGTACAAATAAATAGATTTTTAAAAAAACCAACCCTGTCTCTACTAAAAATACAAAAATTAGCCAAGCATGGTGGTGGGCGCCTGTAATCCCTGCTACTCAGGAGGCTGAGGCAGGAGAATTGCTTGAACCTGGGGGGTGGAGGTTGCAGTGAGCCAAGATCATGCCACTGCACTCTAGCCTGGGCGACGGAGCAAGACTCCATCTCAAAAAAAGAAAAAAAAAAAAAAAGGCTAAGACCAAAGACAAAAAGAATTATATATCCATAATTAACCAGAACTAAAACTCAAGATACTACCATTTATGATGGTGGTTGGAGTGATGGAGCTTCCTATATTTAATTTCCTATATCTAAATTTCTTTAGATAAAATTGTTTAAAAGAGTAGCCAGGTGCAGTGGTGTGCGCCTATGGTCCCAGCTACTCGGGAGGCTGAGGCAAGTGGCTTGCTTGAGCATTTTTTTGTTTTTGTTTTTTTTGAGACAGAGTCTCGCTCTGTTGCCCAGGCCTGTCTTCTTGTTTATAATCTGAGACAGAGCCACAGATGCACAACATTCAAGCATTTATTCCTACTTCTTCTATACAGGTACTGAGATGGAGTTTTAGTGGTAGCAAGACCAACATACCTTCAGCATGTAGTAGAAGGGGAACCATGACAGGAAGATATCAGAGAAGAATTCAGCAATGCTGAACACACCATACACTACCCAGTAGGTCAGCCACTGGGTATCATCTTCTTTGTTGGGACTCTCTATAGCTTTAATTCTGAAAGGCAGTACAAAAGAAAGTATATCATTTGGTAAGATATCAATGAAAGATTTTCAAATACACTTTCATAACCTGTCCTCTGATACCACTGAGAAACTTAGGCACATGTAGGCACTGTGTCACTAGATGCAAGAGTACAGCTTAAAGACTGGAAGCAATGTGGATATCGGGACAAGCCATTATAACCACTTGTTTCTAGTCTCCTGGTCACCAGAGAAACCAGCACCAGCTGTTACTGCCCTGGATCTCCACCCTGCCAAAGCCTCCCCACAAGTCCTAGAATATACCACTAGTGACTGGGAGCTAGAGCAATTTCCACTCCCAAGCTGGGTCCTGCCACGAGGGATATATCAGGAAGAATTCTCTCGTGATAACCAGGTTCTTATGTACTTTTAATAATTGAGATATATCATGGGTGAATAAGAATTTCCCATAAAGCAACATTTGGAACATAGGTTAGGTACTGCCCAAAATCCACAGCATATTTTATAGTAAACGGGTGAAAACAAACCTCATGGTGTCTATTTAGTTCAGAATGTCTTTAACTGATCCACAGGCTATGGACTTTCCTCCTCTCCTCAGTTAATAACAGGACTTTCCCAACCCTAACTATTGCTTAAACAAAATTCATTCTGCAAATGGATGGAAATACATTTAAAATAATTTTCTAAATCACAGAAATTTCCTTCAGTCCTAGGAATCTCATTATTCTAAACCTGAAGCTCCACAATTTCTTATCCTAACAGATCTAGATATTTATCGTAACTGAGCTGGACTGAAACAGTAAAATAAAAGAACTCTGAATCTTGTTTAGCCTATGAAACAGGTTAACTACTGAAAATACATTGACAGGGAGCTAAGCTATGAGGATGCAAAGGCATAAGATACAATGGACTATGGGGACTTTGGGGAAAGGGCTGGGGGTAGTGAGGGATAAAAGACTACACATTGGGTACAGTGTACCCTGCTCAGTTGATGGGTGCACCGAAATCTCAGAAATTGCCACTAAAAACTTATCCATGTAACCAAACGCCACCTGTTACCCAAAAACCTATTGAAATAAAAAATTTTCAAAAAGCAAATACATTGGCTACTCCATAACATCAGCTCCCCAAAGAGACAGTCAGGCTGCTAAATCATGCTCAGTCACTCACTAAGAAAGCCCTTGTACAGTTAATTAGAAGCAGCTATGTGTGTGAGTTTTAGAAAATAACCAAAAGGGGAAAAATTGTAGCTCAATGAGATGATTACTAATGAGGAAGACAGAGAGAGGAACAAGTAATAAGGTGAATGTTGCTTTGAACTTCAAGACTAGGCAAAATTTTTATTTTTTTGAGACAGGGTCTCTGCACAGGCTGGAGTGCAGTTGCACAATAATAGCTCACTGCAACCTCAAACTTCTGGGCTTATGTAATTCCCTTCACTTCAGCCTCCCAAGTAGCTGGTACTACAGGTACACACCACCACACCTAGCTACTTGCTAAATTTTTAGTAGAGACAAGGTCTCACTGTGTTGCCCAGGCTGGTCTCGAACTCCTGGCCTCAAGCAATCCTCCTGCCTTGGCCTCCCAAAGTGCAGTCTGGTGGCTCCCACACCCAGCCCCAAATATTTCAAAGTACAAGAATCATATAAAATGAATTTAAGAGAGCTGATTATTAAAAAATGGCTTGTAATGTATGCACAAAGTCTGTATTTTTTTAGCTTCCTTCAGATAGAAGCTGGCGAATGTAATAGAAGGCCAAAGGAAAAGTGTAGACAAGCATGTTAACCAAAGAACACAGTATATCCTTTATGTGTAAGATTTCTTCTCCCGCTGTGTTTCATTTGGTATAGTATGGCTTATCCATATTTAATTGGATTTATTTAATTATTAGTATAATAAAAATTTGTTTCCTGTACATTCATTCTGGGCAGAGGAGATACGTAATTACATTTCACTCAAGGTCTTAGTTTTGTGAACGCAATAGCTCACAACTATGTACTTCCAAAAGAAGCAACTCTCAGGACACACCTGGGAATTAAACAGTCTTTTCTAGAATATGACGTAAAAACCTCAAAATGTGATGGGACTGTCATTGTTAATCCAGTGGCTTTTAAATTCTTTTGGCCACAACCCTCGGTAAGCATACATTTTACATCATGATCCAGTAAACAGACATCTTCACATAAAAATATAAACTTAAATAGATATTTCCTGAAACCATTCTGATATTTTAAATTCCATTCTATTTCATTATTTTTTAAATGTTAGTCAAGTTCCACAGATTGAAAAACAGGAAGCCTAACAGTTCAGCTCTTCTAGGAAAAAAAAATTCTTTTTTAATTCATATCTACAATATGAATTCTAAAGTCCCCATGTTAATATACTAGAACACTATATAGTAACATTGAAAAGTAGAAATAAAAGAACTCCAAATTGAATACATACACTGATCACAACTTTGCAGAAAACCAAGGCATATGAAAGAAGCCAGGAAAAGGCCAATGAGTCTATTAAGCTAAAGAGATTTTTTAATAGATCTTCTCATATTATTGAAGCATTTAATTGTTTTAATTTAAAATAGCACAATGTTCAATTTAAAAAATGTCTTTATGTGTCATAACAATCACAAACTACCCAAAACAAGAAAAAAGGGAAGAGATGGTCTAGCTCACTCAGGAACGTGAGGTTCAAAAAAGTGAAGTGCCCCATGTAGTCATGGTGAGAGAAGAAAAAAGCTTAAAACTGAGGTTTCTGGCCGGGCACAATGGCTCACACCTGTAGTCCCAGCACTTTGGGAGGCCGAGGTGGGCAGATCACCTGAGGTCAGAAGTTCAAGACCAGCCTGGCCAACATGGTGAAACCCCACCTCTACTAAAAATACAAAAATTAGCCGGGCGTGGTGGCACATGCCTGTAATCCCAGCTGCTTGGGAGGCTGAGGCAGGAGACTCACTTGAACCCGGGAGGCGGGGGTTGCAGTGAGCCGAGATTCCACCACTGCACTCCAGCCTGGGTGACAGAGCAAGACTCGGTCTCAAAAAAAAAACAAAACAAAAAAAAAACAAACTTGAGGTTTTCTGAATGCTATTTACTTATATATCTTCTTTTTAAAAAGATTGATTGATTGATTGATTGAGACAGGGTCTTGCTCTGTCACCCAGGCTGGAGTGCAGTGGCATGATCACAACTCACTGCGGCCTCAACCTCCTGGACTCAAGTGATCCTCCCACCTCAGCCTCTCCAGTAGCTGGGACTACAGGTTCACATCATCATGCTTGGCTAACTTCTGTACTTTTTTATAAAGACGGGGTTTTGCCTTGTTCCCCAGGCTGGTCTCAAACTCATGGGGCTCAAGTGATCCTCCTGCCTCAGCCTCCCAAAATACTAGGATTACAGGCATGAGCCACCATGCCCAGGATACTTATATACCTTCTGATTAGACTTCCTTGTCCCAATTCAGTAGATAAAAGTGATTCTCCAACAAAACACTCTACTGCCTTGTACAAATATGAATCATATTCCAACTTGGTGTATCAGAATAAAGAGGTAGCAATTTAGGCAACACAGAGGATTCATGAAACCATAAGATATGCTCTATGCTCTTAGGTCCCTTGCAGTCTAGCCAAAATGGCCAAGCCATAGAATGGAGGGGTAGAAACCTATTATTTAATTTAACCTTCATAATAGCCATGTAGGATAGGTATTGTTCCTGTATTTGAGCAGAAGAAACCGAGGCTTAGTGTAGAGAAATAACATGTGCAGGGCACCCAGCTACAAGTAGCAAGGATTGGTCTTACACTTAAAATTAACTCCAAAGCCTGTGCTTTGTTCACTATCCTATGCTATTTTACTAATTAAGAAAACAGTTCAGTGGCAAGCTGGATAGCACTCAGCAAAATGTCCGGTACAAAGTAGGCATTTAATATTTATTGAATTACTATACATACAATAGGAGGTCACAATCTTACTTTTGGAGGGGACCCCAGAGAAAGGTTAAACTGGCCACAGAGCAGAAAAATAGGAGGCAGGGTCATAGTCTCAGTGTCCAGATCCCTGGAGGTCCATTCTACCCTCCACTCTACTCACCTGGATTTGCAGGGGGGAACTATCAGAAGTGAACAGGATAGTGTTCTGAGTTGGTGTCCTAGTCCACTGGTCCTCAAACTTAGATGATCATCCACATCCATCTACAGAACTTATTAAAAATATACACGCCTGGGTCCTTCTTCAGACCTAGTGATTCAGCTGCTCTTACAAGGCTGTGCAGGTGATCATAATGCAGAACTGTGTTTGGAAACCACCTCAAAGTTCCAGTCTTCACAGCACCTGCCCTACGTGTTCTAAGAAAGGAAATCCAAATGGCCAGTTTGGGTATAATCAGCTGTAGCCAGAGGGCAGGCTACCCCTTTCCAGTAATGAGTGAGAGGCCAAAAGAGAAGAAAAGTTGGACGTAGAAGTCAAACTGAATAATGTCTCTACTAAAATTAGAATAAGTCAACTCTAATATGATCTAGAACCCTCACCTGAATATTCTGAAATTTGTAAAAGGATTCAAGATAACAACACTGAAATAAAACTGTTCACTAAGATTTCAAGAACTGCATCTAAAAGCCCTGTATCTGTCTAGCTGGAACTTCAGCCTGCACAGCTAACCCCTAGAGGAGTTCTGGAATGACCCCATGGCAACAGGCAACAATTCCTACCACTCTCTCCACAGGCCTGGTCCACTCTTTTACAGGCTCCTCTGTCTCTAGTACCGCCTCATCCTCTGGCAGTCACACTGATCCTGGGCTCAGAACTAACACACCCACATACAGCTTCTGTGGACAGACACCACAGTCTTACTGCTCTCTGCACACCTTACTGTCATATTCTCACCACTGTTCTAAAGCCTGGCCGCCTAGGCTCAGTGCTGTGGCTTCCTTATTCTCTCTCCTGAGCCACCTACCATGTTCTGGGGCAGCATTTTGCTTCCCCAAAGCAGATATCAAGAGAAGCCAGGGCTGGGTGAGCAGCAGAGGCACGACTACAAGGCAGAGGATAGTTGGCAAAACTGTGGCAGCAGCTGGCAGCTCTAAAATTAATCGAGCAGAATTAGGAATCACCATGTGTGGAGTTGGAAGACATCTCAGAGATGAACTAGTTCAAATTCTACATTTTATATAGACAAAATGAAATTTAAAGAGAAAGGAGTTATATTAAAATGAATTTTAATTTATTAAACTAGAAGGTTACAGAGCATGTGTATGTAAAGGGCAGTAGACTGTTTACATTTTGGCACATCCGTACAATGAAATATTCTGAAGCCTTTAAAAAGGGTATTGACAGGGAAAGATGTCCAAGATACAGTGTTGAGTGTAAAAAGTGAATTCTAATTTTTTGTTTAAAAAAAGATGTTTTTATATGTTTACAGACCAAGAATGATATCCAGAAAGATATGCAATACATTTCAAATTGTATAAAGTTAATCCTGAATAACAGAATTTTACTTAAGGTCTTTCCAATGAGTATGTACTAAAATTGATTAAAAAAAGAAGGGGGCGGGGGAGATTTCCATTTGGAAAAGAATGAGCATCAGAGACTTTCTTTGTTTTTTGTTTTTTTTTTTTTTTTTTGATGGAGTCTTGCTCTTGTGGCCCAGGCTGGAGTGCAGTGGCACGATCTCGGCTCACTGCAACCTCTGCCTCCCCAGTTCAAGCAATTCTCCTGCCTCAGCCTCCTGAGTAGCTGGGATTACAGGCACCTGCCACCACGCCCCGCTAGTTTTTTTGTATTTTTAGTAGAGACAGGGTTTCACCATGTTGGCCAAGTTGGTCTCAAACTCCTGACCTCAGGCGATCTACCCACCTTGGCCTCCCAATGTGCTAAGATTACAAGCGTAAGCCCCCGTGCCTGGCTGAGCATCAGACTTTCTATAATGATTTTCTCCTATGAGACTAGTTTTCTCTATGAGGCTTTGTTAAAAATAAACACTAAAGTGAACATCAGCTATATTCATTTAATTTCTCTTTGAGAAAACAGCTAATAATTTTTTTTTTTAAGACAGAGTCACATTCTGTTGCCCAGGCTGGAGTGCAGTGGCGCGATCTCGGCTTACTGCAAGCTCTGCCTCCCGGGTTCATGCCATTCTCCTGCCTCAACCTCCCAAGTAGCTGGGACTACAGGTGCCCACGACAGCGCCCACGACCACGACAGCGCCCACGACCACGCCAGCTAATTTTTTGTATTTTTTAGTAGAGACGGGGTTTCACCTTGTTAGCCAGGATTGTCTCGATCTCCTGACCTCGTGATCCGCCCACCTCGGCCTCCCAAAGTGCTGGGATTACAGGCGTGAGCCACCATGCCCAGCCCAGCTAATGATTTTTTTTTTTTTTTTACAAATTTCTCTAACAATGGTCAGATATAATCTGTTTTGTTTTAGAGCATTAAAAGGCCTTCAACACACACACCCACAAAGAGACACACAAGGAGAAAAGAGAGCCACACAGCCCATCACATGAAATTGACTCATTTTAACTTTCTACTTAAATAATACAAACTATCATAAGTTACTGATTACACTGAACTATGGAATGGCCAGGGCTTTCCCTTCATTTCTTCTCAGTGCTTTTCTGGCTTTGCAGCATTTCACCACCCTTAGTTTGTAGCTCTGTATTCTAGCTCTACTACTTACTAGATATATGACCCTGGGCAAGTTATCCAATCTCTCTGAGCCTTAGTTTGTTCACCTATCTAGTATGGATAAGCCTCATTGTGTTGTTGTGAAGATTAAAGTAGTTAATATATGTAAAGCACTAAGAAAGTCTCAGTAAATACTCCCTTAACAGGTATTAATTATAGTACAGTAATAACTTATTATTATAGGGAGATAAAAGATTAAGAAGAAAAGAGAGAGATAAGAAGACTCTAGTTTCTTTGTTTAAGTAGCTGTCAGAGGGTTTATATGGCTAATAAGGCTAAAAGGAGATTAGAGTTACCCATCAATTTTAATTATACCCTACTCCAAATCCCATATGCTACAGGTAGTAAGAAGTTAGCTGAAATCCCCAAATTCATGTTTGCAGGTAGTGGGAAGAAATTTGAACATTGCTGAAAACATTTTTCAGGCCCACTCTGCAATGGTAGAATGGCAGAAATTCTTTACATTGGCATTGGACTGGTACATATATGAACACAACTCACTGGCCATCCCTCATCCAGTACACTGGGCCCCAGTAACTGGTACCAGTTCACTCCACCCTTGCTGGCCCATCTACTTGTTCACACCTTGGCTGCTATTTTCTGAAAGCAAAGGCAAGAACCAAGGATGGCCAAAGAATAGCATTAACATGTGAAGAAAACAAGGTTGAGCAGAGATGATTCTGGGCTGGAATCTCCTTCCCAAATTAAGTGTCATCTTTCAGAAAACCTAAGATATTCCCTGACCCATGACACAAGTAAGCTGTACATTCTCTAAGGACTTTAGGTGACAATGATGTGTCAATGTATGTTCACCAATTATAAAAAACAGCACTCTGACCAGGCACAATGGCTCACGCCTGTAATCGCAGCATTTTGGGAGGCCAAGGAGGGTGGATCACTTGAGGTCAGGAGTTCAAGGCCAGACTGGCCAACATGGTGATACCCCGTCTCTACTAAAAATACAAAAATTAGCCAGGCATAGTGGTGTGCACCTGTAGTCCCAGCTACTCGGGAGGCTGAAGCAGGAGAATTACTTGAACCCGGGAGGTGGAGCTGCAGTGAGCTGAGATCGTGCCACTGCACTCCAGCCTGGGCGACAGAGCAGGACTCCATCTCAAAAAAAAACAAAGACAAAAACATACCCCTCTTGTAGGTGATGCTGATGGTAGAGGAGGCTGTGTATGTGTAGGCGTAGTGGGTACATGGGAAATCTTTGTATCTTCTGCTCAATTTCACTGTGAACCTAAAATTGCTCTAAAAAATAAAATCCATTTAAAAACAAAAAAGAGAAAAAAAAACTTCACTTACCACCTAGGCATTCTATAATACCAGATTTTTAAAACTATTTTATTACCATCATGCCATTTTGGTTGTTTTGATCTGGAGAGAGTATCTGTCCCCATAAATCTAGATACCATATATATGCTAATAACTTCCAAATTTATATCTGCAGCTCAATCTCTCCATTGTACACTGCCTGGCAGTTAACTATTCACTGCTGAATGATGGTCACCAGCATGATCAGATTGTCATGGTAACACTGCTGCTTCAAAAATCCTATTACAGCAACCGGTCACTATCATTGCTCAAGGAAATAGCAGACACTGTTCCTTGCCTATCAATTAGCCAGTCCTTCCTACTCACCCACAGAGCCCTGATTTTATATACATGTACCTGGCAAATCTGTCTTGACTCAGGGAAGCTAGGCTCCTGCCCCAGGCCTAGGGGATAAATCAAAGTTAGTACAAATCCACCATGGTAATCCCATTGCTTTTTGCTAGATACTGACTTTCTTAGCCCCCTTGGAGTTAAGGGTATCCATGTGACACAGTTCTGACCAATGAAACAGAAAAGGAAATACGGTAGAAGGCTTTGGGACAAAATTTTCCTCTGCTGATAAAATATGAGAGGCGCACAAATAAAAGGTCTTCCAGCTTCCTGCTCTTGAAAGCCTTAGCGCTATATGGCAACAATCTTGTTATATATTAAGGAAACAGGCGTGGGCGAGGAAGATTATACTCCAAAGTCGCTGGAAAAGAGCATGGATTTCTGCTGTAGCGCCTTGAAATTTCAACCTCCAGACTTCTTACATGAGGTAATTCAAGGTCATTATTCTTTAGGCCACTGTAAATGGCTGCAGCTCACTGAACTGACATAAAAGGTGTGCATCATCACCAAAAGCTTTCTAAGCTAAGCTTAAGCTCGGTATTGGTCAAAATGTGCTCTTCTTCTTTTGCTGAGGTTTCATCTATCAATCAATATTTCAAAATACTTACAGCTAATGCTTACTTGGAGGGAGACAGGAAAGGGACAACCTTCCATACTATTTTTCAAATTATTTCAGACACAATAAATCCATCTGGAAAAACATCCACTTTTACAAGTTCTTAATTCAGATCTATTTTGTTCTTACCATGCAAAATAGATCAAATGCTTTTTTATATGTGAACTGTACAACCTTTTTATATTTCTGTTTTGAGTTCTTGCTTTTAGGACCAAGTTCACATTTCTTATGCATAAGATTTAATATTAAAAAATTGTTAGTCCAACTTATACTCAATGCTTAGGAACATATACACCATTGTACCAGTACAGAAGAAAACCACTAGCCATATCACATATTTTTAACTTGGAAGAACAAAACTTTACTGTGTTTTATTCTTTGAATAATGATGTCTTAAGCTGATTTAAGTACAGGAAAAAAATAATAAGACAAGGAACAAAAAATGAAAGTGAAAAAATAAATGAAAGAAAATACTCTTAGGAAGGTTTTTCCTTAAATCAATGAAAAGCTTAATGACACAAAGTTAAAGAACTATGACTATGATTAAGTCAATTTTCCTCTTTATATGTTAATGAAACTAACTCCCCTTAATTGAGCACTTACAGAATGCCTGATTTGTCCTAAACGTTTGACATATATTATCCCAACTCCCCCCAACCCTATCCCCACCTTTTACATATGAGAAAACTGAATTTTATAAAAGTTAAGCTGTTTGCTCAAGAGGTAATAATCAGCTCCATATACACATGCTTTTGGCTACTCACACCTAAGACACATAGGTACATACTATGTGTTCTGTGCATGGTTCATAAGTAACTCAGTTGCTACAATTCAAACTAGCCAAATGACATAAAATTAAGTAATAGTATGTCTTCACAGCATTGGCTTTATTATTCAAACCAGTTGTACCAATATCAACTATTTACCAGAGACTGACAGTGTGGAAAAAAAAGCAGTTCATTAAAATATATCTATATATCCATTTATACCCATATATATTTTAATTTTATCCATATATATGGATAAAAAGCTTTAAGATGTCCTATTGGTAAAGAACAGAAAGGAATCATCTTCTGGTCCATCTGCTTTATATTTTATTTCTAATGTGGTAACTTATGTTTAATAGCAAATATTCCAGAGGTTAAGATAGGTTCTTTGGAAATTGAATATGAAGAACATGGACCATAATGTTTATAATCCTTTTTGTTATGGCAGACACATAACTTGACCATCCTCCATGCCCACCATGCATGGGATTGCTTTTGGCTGTATTTATCAGAGAGTATGATGTAGGAATTCTTAGTAATTCAAAATGGTTTTCCTATTATCAGTACCTCAAATAAGAAGGAAAAAAGAATCAGACATTTTAAGACATAAACACTAGTTCGTTTCCATGCCAATAAGGAAAATATTTTTCTCCTTCATAGAAAAAAAGAAGGCAGGAAACTATGCGTGATCAGAAAGTTACATATCTTTTTCACTGCAGAGTATATGTGCTTTTAAAGCAAGAGAGAAAACCAACAAACAGTACGAGAAAGACTAATGAAAGACTGACCGGGCACAGTGGCTCATGTCTGTAATCCCAACACTTTGGGAGGCCAAGGCAGATGGATCACCTAAGGTCATGAGTTCAAGACCAGCCTGGCCAACATGGTGAAACCCCATCTCTATTAAAAACACAAAAAATTGGTGGCAGATGCCTGTAATCCCAGCTACTTGGGAGGCTGAGGCAGGAGAATCGCTTGAACCCGGGAGGTGGAGGCTGCAGTGAGCTGATTGCGCCACTGCACTCCAGCCTGGGCAACAAGAGGGAAACTCCATCAAGAAAGAAAGACAGAAAGAAAGAAAGACAGACAGACAGAAAGGAAAAGAAAGAAAAGAAAGAAAGAAAGGAAAGAAAGAAGAAAGAAAGAGAAAGAAAGAGAAAGAAAGAAAAAAAGAAAAGAAAAGAAAAAAGATTACAGAGGCAGTGGAGTGAGAATAGCTAGAGCCTGGGAGGTCAAGGCTGCAGTGAGTCATGATTGCACCACTGCACTGCAGCCTGGGTGACAGAGTATGACCCTGGCTAAAAAAAAAAAAAAAAAAAAAAAAAAATTAAGATGAGTCTATAGAATACCTATAATGAAGTATAAAGAAAAAAATGCAGTCATTCAGTGGTCAAATCTTTTGGTGTTTAATTACAGTGATCTCATTTACCACTATCCACCATTTTGTTTTTAAATGCAAAATGGAAGAGTCAGTCACAGTCAAATATAACAATGCGGAATGTGGACAGACATCCCTACACTTAAGACTGAATTGGTCCCAACACACCTGTGACCTATGTCAATTAACTTCAGTTTGTGGCCTTGATTTCCACATCTGTTACAGGTGGCTATCACCCTAGCAGCTTAGTCTCTAAGACCCCTTTTAGCTAACATTTTATAACTCAAAACTGAATGTGTGTGTGTTTGTGTGTGTGTGTGTGTGCACCCAGGAGTTTGAGACCAGCCTGGGCAACATGGCAAAACCCCATCTCTACAAAAAATACAAAAAATTAGTACACACCTGTAGTCCCAGCTACTCCAGAAGCTGAAGTGGGAGAATCACCTGAGCTTGAGAAAGTCAAGGCTGCAGTGAGCTGTGTTCATGCCATTGCACTCAGCCTGGGTGACAGAGTGAGACCCTGTCTCAAAAAAAACACACTCAAAAAAACCAGGCTGGAGTGCAGTGGCGCAATCTCGGCTCATTGCAACCTGTGCCTCCTGGGTTCAAGCAATTCTCCTTCCTCAGCCTCCCAAGTGTGTGTGTGTTTTTTTGAGACAGGGTCTCACTCTGTCACTCAGGCTGAGTGCAGTGGCATCAACACAGCTCACCACAGCCTTGACTTTCTCAAGCTCAGGTGATTCTCCCACTTCAGCTTCTGGAGTAGCTGGGACTACAGGCGTGTACTAATTTTTTGTATTTTTTGTAGAGATGGGGTTTTGCCATGTTGTCCAGGCTGGTCTCAAACTCAAGCAATCCACCCATCTCAGCCTCCCTGCCTGTCCCCCCAAAAAAACTGTTTGAATGATTGATGGTAAAAAAGATTAATGCCAGGAGCAATAAAAGAGCAGATGCAAATCCCACTGGGACAACCCTTTGTCAATAAAACCAGTGGTTCTATAAGTATCTGTGTCAGATTGGTATCATAAAGTTTAACTTAATCTCAAGTAACCTCACAACTTAGAAGGGGAACAACCTAAGCTGCCTTTTCCTAGGTAAAGGAGGGCCACCTTAGATGCGGACCGCAGTCTAGACAAGTGAGCGATCCCTTAACTAGATCACTTGGTCTATCAGAGGCTGCAGGATATATATAGTAGACACATGACTCAGAGTGACTGATAAGCTCCACTCCCTGGAATCAGGAAAGTGTGCAAGTGACAGAATGAAGTCAGGGTACGTTTCTACAGCCCCCACTTATATTTCAGCTGCTACAAAAAGTAATTTCATTCACAATTTTGAAATTGTTTTAAAACTTCTGCCATATTAATTCATACTTCCCCAAAATTAATTGTTAATGTTATGAATCACCACTAAATACCTTAACATGTTATATTTGTATTTATACTTGTTTTAAATGCCATGTGAAAAAATTAAGTTGAAAACTGAGTCCTCATTCAAAGTCAGTCCTGAAAAAGAGAAGTCCAGGTCAGAAGGAGATGAGGGAGGCTACGACAGAAAGAAGGACAAATAGACTAAATCTCCAGGGCCTTCATAAAGAGAAAAAAAAAAGCTCATAAGGAACATTCCAGAATAGAGTATTAGAAATGAGATCCTCCTCCACAACTGCTTTAGAGCCCAGAAACTCTGATCATGAATAAATAATTTAAATCATTCATCTTATTTGCTTTTTAAAACTTTATTTTCTTTATGACACAGGCAAGCGGGCGAACCTTAACTGAAACGCTGGCTGTCATTATTTTACAAAATAGTCACAAGTTGTTATAAGGATATTTTTATTACTTTTTCATTTCTCCACAACACTTTCATCTTAAAAGAGTCCAGCACTCTTAGCAGTAATGTTAAGTGAAACAAGGACAGTAAAAAAGTTGAGGAAGGTTAAATGTTTAAATGCTTAAGATTTCAGATTTAAATTAAGTAAATTAAAGATTTAAATGTTTAAGTAAATTGCTTAAGTCACAGTTTGCAGAATGCCTGTTATATTTTTTATCCAAGTGCACATCGGCCAGAAGGCCACATTGGCTTGTGCTTCATACTACCCCAGAAGGCAAAGCGCAGGCATGCATTGCTCTGCTCTTCAACACTTTAACAAAGCACATATAGATCCAGAGAGAAAAGCTAGTGTAATGGGAACATAGGCAGCTCAGTAGAAAATACATCTGCTCTGAAGTTCTCATGAGTAAAAAAGAACAAAACATAATTACAATTTAAAAAAAAAAAAAAAAACCCACAAGAAAACAAATACACCCCCTACTAATGAGTCCAAGAAGAGAACTACAAATACACATCCTCCAGTACTGTTAAGGAAACAGCTCTGCTTCCAGTGACTAGCTGCAAAACAGAAAGTGTCTGTTCACAACTGTCATTCACACCACGGTGACTTTCTCAAAGTCTCCTCTGGGTAATAAACCTCTTTAGGAGTCTGTCAATGCACACCTTAAGCAAGTAGACTGCAACTCTTTTTAACTTGTGTTCCCCAGAATGTGTCCTCCCTTTGTGTGCTGAGCATCATTTAGCTAAGAGGATGCTGTTGCTTTTACTTGTGGTTAACTGTGTTACAACTCTTGTAGATATTTTCATTGTTTTTTTTCTTCAAATTAACCTTCTTGCCATCCCTTTCTGATCTGACCTCGATAGGGGTCATCCCCAAACATCTTCCCTTGAGATACTTGTCTCTTGAAACAGAACTAAAGGCAACGCTGCATCCCCTTAGGAAATCCAGTTCAGTGTGCCATTTTCAGGTGGCCTTGTGCTAGTAAAACAGAGCAAGCCTCTGCTGTCATAAGTCAAAGCTACATAACAGATAAGAAAAGTTGTTAGTAACATATTCTAACTAATGTCTACAAAACACAGTCAATGCCTATGTGTGCAGATATATGATTTGGGATGACAGTACCTTATTTGAGAGGAAAAATACACTGCACAAAGGTAATGTATTGACAGGGTCAACTGTTTTTTTGAAAGGCCTACATTTTTTAATTTTCATCTCTACATAAGGTGATGTTGTGTTTGTGGGACATTCAAAGAGCCACAAGGGAGGTAGCATAACGTAATCATTAAAAGCATGAAATTTGGAGCCAGATTCTTTGGATTTAAATACCAGTTTCATCATCTGCTAGTTGTGAGACCTTGATCAAGTTATTCAAATTCTCTTTCTGTGTTTCCTCATCTGTAAAAATGGGAATAATCATAGCACTTACATAATAGGGTTGTTCTGAGGATTAAATGAGCTATATTTGCAAAGCACTTAGACAGAGATATGTACATATCTGTTAAATAAAATGCTACACAGATTTCAGGAGTCATACAAAGAGCTAAATGCAATATAACTCTTTACACCAGCAGCAAAAGTTTAAAATGGGCTTGTGAGGACACACAGAAACTAAAATGACACATTACTGAACTGGGTATGAGATTTCAAAAGTGTTGTTAAAGATTAAATATATAGTGCTGGACTCTCGTCTTGAACTCCTGGCCTCAAGCAATCCCTCTGCCTCAGCACCCCAAAGTGCTGAGATTACAGATGTGGGCCATCATGCCCCGCCCCCTAAACATATTTAATCTTTCTAACATTGGCACTAAAATATGCCTAAATGTGCTTTACATTCCTGTGTAGTTCCAGACCAAGCCTGGCCTCTGTGTGACCTTGGGAAACACACTCCACCTTTCTCTGTCCCTGAATTGTCATTTTAAAACTAAAGGAACTGGACTACCTGTTTGATCTTTAAGGCCCAACTCTGATAGTCCCAGGAAGGTGGCAGCCCAAGTCTTAAGGAAAATATGAAATAAAAAGAGGAAAAGTAATAGACATTTTTATAGAATTTTAAGCAAAAAAGTTACTGGGTAGGACAGAAAGCAAACCTTCCCCTTTCCTTAAATAGAAGATAAAGTCTGAGTTTGCCTCACAATTCCATTTGTACAAAGGAGCAAGTACAGGACTAGGGCCCTGGCTCACTAGCGCCCACCCTGGAGGGACTGCACCAGGAGGACTTACTCACATATGAGGGTGCAGCACAGCATACACCCTCCAGAGGACTCTTATTTGTGCAATCCCATTAGAAGCAGGGCTGCACCAGACATTAAAGGCCATATATTGTATGATTCCGTCTACATGAAATGCTCAGAATAGGCAAACTCATAGAAACAGAATGCAGATTAGTGGTTTCCAGGGGCTGGGTAGGAGGAATAGGGAGTGATTGGTGATGGTTTCCCTTTGGGGTGATAAAAATGTTTTGGAATTAGACAGTGGTGATGGTTACACAACTCTGAACATACTAGCCACTGAACTGCATACTTTAAAAGTGTACAATTTATAAGTATCTAAATTATATCTTAGCAATGGGGGGAGGTCTATCTTTATAATAAACATTTCCAGTAGTCTGCCTCCTGTTATCAGTAAAAGAGGGAAGTAAGGAGATTAAGGTAATTATGTCAACAGTTCTTGATGAAAGGAAGGCTGGAATTAGATTCCGAATTGCCTATATAAGATGGCCAAAAATTCTAGAAACTAGAAGTCAGAGATGAAAGACCCTGTTCTCAAAGAGCTCAAAGGGAAATTATGCACACGGAAAGAACAACCAGTAGGAAGAGGGGTATACAATAAGGTACTGGTTGCTCCCCAGTGAGCACTGGGCAAGTCTTCAACCATCTACATGCTCCAACGTGCAGCAGACCCTGACCAGGAGCCAGGTGCACCTGAGCTTCACTCACAGACTTCCAAAGGGAGTCCAAAGGGAGAAAAGCTAGGAAGCCAAGTGAGCTTTTCCCAATTTCATCTTTGCATCCTGCAGTCTCTTGACCCAATACTGACACTACTCCCCTTCTTGTGATGGCCCAAGGAGAGGAAACAGCAAGAGAAAGGCTGAAAGGTGAGAAAGGAAGGAAGTAAATTACTGGCAATAGTTTGGCAAGATCGCGAACTCCTTACAGAGGTCACAGCAGCCAAAGTGACCTTAAAATATAAATCGTATCATGTCACCCCCTATTTAAAACCCATCCAAGGCAATCAGAAAATGCAAACTCCCTACCACCATCTGGAATGAAATGCACACTTCTACCACTGACCCTACCTGCTGGCACCTGCACCTCTCTGGTGCCTCCCCCACCACTCTTTGCTCACACAGAGCTAAGCTGTGTGCTGCCTCAGGGCCTGACACACTCTTCTCCCTCTCCCTGGCTCTGCTCTTGGCTGGCCCCTTCTCATTCCTCAGGTCTTCTCTACCAGAACTGTTTATTTACTTTAGAGGGCTTACCACACGGTCACTACTTTGCCTATTTCTTGCCTGGGTAGACTGCTCATTCAACAAGGACAGAGAGTATGACTACCTTATTTCTTGCCATATCTAAAGTGCTACCACAGTGCCACACATGTGACTGGCATTTGATTTTTGCTAAATAGATGAACCTGTATTTTAAAAAATAACTCTGGCTAGGGAGCATAAGAGTTACAAGAGGTATGGAGAATAGTTAAAATGAAGGTGACTGCTATGGTCTGAATGTTGTGTTCCCCCAACATCCATATGTTGGGACCTAATACCCAATGTATTAGTATTAAATAGTGGTGCCTTTAGGAGGCAATTAAGACATGAGGGCTTGGCCAGGTGTGGTAGCTCACGCCTGTAATCCCAGTACTTTGGGAGGCTGAGACAGGTGGATCACCTGAGGTCAGGAGTTCAAGATCAGCCTGGCTAACATGGCAAAACCGCATCTCTACTAAAAATACTAAAATTACTCAGGCGTGGTGGCACACGCCTGTAATCCCAGCTACTAGGGAGGCTGAGGCAGGAGAATTGCTTGAATTTGGCGGGGGTGGGGGCGGCCAGGGATGGCGGTTGCAGTGAACTGAGATTACGACACTGCACTCCAGCCTGGGCAATATAGAGCGAGACTCTGTCTCAAAAGAAAAGAAACAGGCATGAGAGCTCTGCCCTCATGCATGGGATTCGTGTCCTTATAAAAGAGGCTTGAGGGAGCCAGTTGACCCTTCTACCATGTGAGGAAGCAGTGAGAAGATGCCATCTTTGAAGCAGGGAGCAAGCCCTCACCGGACACCAAATCTGCTGGTGCCTTGGTCCTGGATTTCCCAGCCTCCAGAACTGTGAGCAATAAATTTCTATTGTTTATAAATTATCCAGTCTAAGGTATTTTGTTATAGCAGCCCAAGCAGACTAAGACAGTGTTCACAGGTCACACTTTAAGCAACATGGATTTTGATGCTACTAAAGACCACCATTTTCAAATACTTTTTCTTTCTTTTGGACAATTATACAATCATATTGGTTATGCAATGAACAGACTTGATTAGACTAATGTAACACCGACCGCCTGAATATTTGCTCACGGGGGTCTGTATGCTTTATTCTGTGCACACAATCCCGTTTTTCCTTGAGTCTCCTCCATAAAGCAGAGCCCGGGGTAGGCCTCAGGGCTATATGTAGCTAGACTTTCTGGAGTATGACTAAGTGTCTGTACCGGACTAACACAGTAACAACTACTAGGTAACTGCAATTTAATTGCTCAAATCAGAACTAACTTCTAAAACATGTTTCTTCCCTTATAGTCATAGACTAAATTCTAGCCTAACTAGTGACAGATACAAGCTGTAATAATGTGTTATCTGTGTCTTAGCCTCCTAGGTGAAAATTTTTTCTTCCTTTATTTTTATCCCTATGGTTGAAGAAAGTAGCAGAGACCAACTGAATGAAGGTAAAAACCACTGGCTTTCTTAGGAAGAACTGTAGAGCAAAACAAAATTCATTTCTGGAGAGGAATAATTCCTACTTGAACGAATGGAAAAATAAAATCGTAGAATTAAAAAAAATAAACACATTGTAGAATAAAAACAACTTTGGTAATAAATTCAGATCCTAATCGTAAAAATTCATTTTTTAAGTAGCTCAATTATATAAATGACTCACTTATATAACCAAGGAGCTATATCATGGAGCATTTTTAAAGGTTTTTGTTTTTACACTAGGGTAAGCATTTCCCAAGTTTGTCTGTAACATGTGGCTTTTTCAAAATAAAAGAAAATGAGAAAATTCTCCCTACTGTCTCAATTAACGTAATTATGAATTAAGGAAGACCTAATTGATAGGGTTTTACTCTCTAGGTGCATAAATATATGGTGAAATACTCATTAAAATAATTACTAGACAGAAGTGCTCAGCTCCCTGTACCTTCTGAGATCCTCCCACCAGTAAAGGGAGGACGACAGAGTGGTAGCGCTTTCCTGTTAGTGTGCCAAAGAGAGGGGACACTGGTCACCAGGATAATCTAATGAAAATACCTCTGGGCTAATCGTCAAGAGATAGGGATTAAGTTAAGGTTCCAAAATGGTGAATACTATCCCCACCCCTTATGTCCAACCTCATCCCTCCCCGCCGAGCTTTCACTTTTCTCCCGGGAATTGCGGATGTGCAGTCTACTGCAGCAGCCCTGCGGGGAGGAATGGAGGAAGGGAAGGGGACGGCTGCAGGGTGTGTCACTTACGAGATGTAGGCTGGGTAGCCAAATCCTATCAGGTTGCAGAGGAGAGAGGCTCCATAACCGAACACCAGGTACAAGGCCACCAGTCCGATGACACCTGGGGACCACAAGGAGAGAAGTGGGTCGGGCAGCATGAGAGCCGTTCACGCGGGACAGCCGCCGCCCACACCGCGAGGCTGGGCCTGTTGTAGGAGTTTTCCTCTCGACTCGATTAAAGGAGCGAGAAAAACAAACCACACGAAAGCTGGGCCTGCGCGTCCGCTGGGCTATGCCTTGAAGTCTGGGGATACCAGGCAGCCCCACCATTGTGCCTCTCCTACCTCCCGCAGGGGGCCCCGGCGCTTTGCGCAGCAACCCCCGGCGCCCGGGACGGTCCCAGGCACCCGCTTCCGCCCTCTCGCAGGGCCTGCTGGGCAGCGCTCCAGCCTGGGAAGCTGCGCTCAGCGGGGAGCGTCCCGAGAGGCCCGGACTCCCGCACACGCTGCAGTAGCAGCCCCCGCCCACCCGAGAGGCGCCCTCTCCGGGCGGAGCTCCACGGAGGGTCGGGTAGGACCGGGTACCTCCGTCAACGCGCCCGCCCGCAGGGGCCCCGCCGTCCGCGCCCACCGCGCAGGACAGCAGGAATAGGGCGCCGGGCCGCGGGGCAGACATACGTCAGCGCTGGCCCTTCCAGCTGCCAGCGCCCGGCGCCGCAGCTGCCCTCCAGCCCCGCGACCCTCAGCCTGGGCAGCCCCCGCGGGGTCCTCCGATGCCCACGCTTTCCGGGAGGCCAGCCTGATCCCTGAATATGCTGCTTGTCCCGTCTGTCTCCGACTCCACCTTTCCCGAGTCCTCTCCCTGCTTCCTTCCCCAGCAGCTGGGGCAGCGGCGGCTCCCGTGGCCCTACCAGCGGCGGCGACCCCCGGCCACCCACCAAGAGCGATGAAGCTCCTGTTCACGCCGGTTTTGGCCTCGAGCTTGGCCAGAAGGTCAGTCATGCAGTTCTTCTCGTGCAGGAACCGGTCGAACCTCTCCCTCATGGCCGCAGACATGGCGGGGACCGTCTCGCCGCTCGGGGCTGTTCCTAGTGCCGGATAGACTGGAGCGGCGACTGCGGCGGAGCAGCGGCAGGCGGGGACCGCGGCGCGTCTACGCGTCCTCCACTCGCCTCCGCTCGCCCCGCCCGGCCGCCGCGCGCCCCTCCTCGGCCGCCGCGCGCCCCTCCTCCCCCGCCCAGCGCCAGGGGGACAGCGCCACACCCTGGCGGGGGCGGGCCTGCAACTCCGCGGACGCTGCGAGGTGGCCTGCCTGTTGACAGTCTTAACCCATTGCGGGGTAAAAAGGATGTGGCGTGGGGGCGTGCATTTTGTGTCTCTCGTGGGTCCCCTTCTCAAATCGGACTATTGCAAAAAGCAGGCAGAAAGGAGGCAGGCGTCCTTGTTGCTCCCGCCTGCAATTCACTGCGATGAGTTTGGCACCTACATTGCTGTGCTAAACCTAAGGCATTTTTGACCTAAAAAATTGAAATGTTTGAGCATCGTGAAAGAACTCTTTGGAAGCAGTCCTGCTTTCTCCCTCTTTGCCTTAACTTGGCAGTTTTTCTCACCTACAGACAATCGTTGCCTTGTAAAGACCCTTGAAGAAATCTAACACATCCTCCCTGGGGTACACCTTTTCCAAGCAAAAACTGCATTAAATCTTTTCATGGTGGGCTTGCGTTGTCTTGGTGTCTGATACTGTGGCAAGTGTCCAAATTCTCTCTGTGGAGCCAATATACTCTGCACTTCCTACAGTCAAAATACTCTGAAGAAGACGGAGATTCTAAGGTCCAAGCCTTAGGGCAGGAGCTCATTTTTGCTTCCTTCAGAATGAGTTGGCCATGCTCTTCCTCCACCTAAACCTAGGCTCCTCTTATCTCACCCATATGACTTCCAGACACTCCTAAAATTACTCTTGTTGACTCCTATTCTGCACACTGCTGCAGAATTTTTGTCCGAAGCTCCGTATTATTATCCTAACAGACTAGAGCTCCCATTCCTTGGCAGAGCATTCAATGCCCTGCCCACAACTGGCCCCGAACATTCTGTCTTGGTCCTACACAACCCCTCTGTGCTTTCAAATCTACTTAATTACCCTACTGCCTTCCACTTCTGCAAAAAGTTATCTTGCCCACGCCTAGCTTTTTCCTTTTATGCTAATTCTCCTTCCTCCTTTCTTCCTCAGAGCTTCTTAGCTCAGCTTTCTCAGCTGTTCCTACCACCACCCAGCCAAATCAGTGAACAAGTGAAACAACCTGCTGTCTACTTCTGTCTTTTCACCTACAGTTAATTCTCAATGTGGCAGACAGTAGAATCTGTTTTAAAATGTGCGTCAAGTTGTGCTATGTTTTTGTTCTCAACCCTCCAGCAACTTCCTATCTGCCTGAAGGAGGGCATCAGGGTCACAGGTGACATGGTTCATCCCTCCCCTTTCTGATGTCTTCCCTTACTGCCTCCCTCCTTGCTGTGCCTCAGACAAGGTAAGCCCATTCCTGCCTCTGGGCGTTCGTTCACTTTTCTTCTATTTCAGTGGTTCTCAACCAGGAGCACTTCCTCTCCCCTTCTTCCTCCTGGGGGGAGGAGTAGCAATGTCTAGAGATACTTTCGTTGTGAAACAGATTGTCACACAAGGAGAGCAGGAGGTGGCAAGTGCAACTAGCATCTAGTGGTTAGAGACTAGGGGTGCTGCTAAACATCCTGTAACACACAGGACAGCCCCCACAACAAAGAATTATCCAGCCCCAAATGTCAATAATGTGACAGTCCAGAAACCCTCCTCTATCTGAAAGTATCTTTCCCCAGTTAACCATTTAACTGTCCCCTTCCATTATTCAGATATTTGTTCAAATGGTACCCCTAATCTCAAATTGCAACCCCCAGTGGTCTCTAGCTTGATTTTTCTCCATAGAATTTATTACTGTCTGGCATTATGTTCTACTTTTTTTTTTTTTTTTTTGAGACTGTCTCACTCTGTCACGCAGGCTGGAGTACAGAGGCGTGGTCACAGCTCACCGCAGCCTCGACCTCCTGCTGTGCTCAAGCCATCCTCCCACCTCAGCCTCCCAAGTAGCTGGGACCATAGCCGTGTGCCACCATGTCCGGCTAATTTTTTCTGTTTTTAGTATAGATGGGGTTTCACTATGTTACCCAGGCCAGTCTTGAACTCTGTGATCTGCCCACCTTGGCCTCCCAAAGTTCTGGGATTACAGGTATGAGCCACCACCATGCCAGACCATGTTCTATTTTTAAATTATCTTTCTTTCCTCACTAGATTATGAGCTCCGTGAGGGTAGACATTTTTGCTTATTTTATTTGCTTCAATATTTTAAGCACATTGAACAGTGCCTGGCACTTAGTAGTTGTTCAATAACTATTTGTTGAATTAATGAATGAATGAATATCTAACATGTGTTGTACCACCCAGTATTCCAAGTGTTACGTGGACTAGTTCATTTAATCCTCACAGCTGCATGAGGAAGATGCTACCTGTTTCATCCTCATTTAAGGAAAAAAAAAATGAGACATAGTGAGTTCCCATATCACAATAAGTGGCAGAGCTAGAATTCAGAATCAGGCTCTTACCCCTATATTACATTGCTATTATGGGTTGAATTGTATTCTACCTCCCTAAAGAAGACATGTTGGAATCCTAACCTACAGTACCTCAGAGTGTGATCTTATTTGGTAATAGGGTCTTCAAAGAGGTAGTCAAATTCAAATGAACTCCTTAGGGTGGACCTCAATCCAGTGTGACTGTTGTCCTTATAAAATGGGAAATTTGGCCAGGCGCGGTGGCTCACACCTGTAATCCTAGCACTTTGGAGGCCGAGGCAGGTGGATTACGAGGTCAGGAGATCGAGACTATCCTTGCTAACACGGTGAAACCCCATTTCTACTAAAAATACAAAAAATTAGCCGGGCGTGGTGGCGTGCACCTGTTGTCCCAGATACTCAAGAGGCTGAGGCAGGAGAATGGTGTGAACCCAGAAGGCAGAGCTTGCAGTGAGCCGAGATCAAGCCAATGCACTCCGGCCTGGGCAACAGAGCGAGACTCTGTCTCAAAAAAAAAAGGGGGGGTGAAATTTGGACGGAGACAGATGCATATAAAGGGAAGACTGTGAAGAAACACAGGGAGAAGATGGCCATCTACAAGCCAAGAAGAAAGTCCTGGAACAGATCATTCCCTCACAACCCTCACAAGGAACCAATCCTGCTGAGACCTTGATCTTGGACTTCCAGCCTCCAGAGCTGTGAGATAATAAATTTCTGTTTTATTTATTTATTTAGAGACAGGGTCTCACTGGGTCACCCAGGCTGGACTGCAGTGACACAATCTCCACTCACTGCAACCTCCACCTCCCAGGTTCAGGCAATTCTTCCACCTCAGCCTCCCAAGTAGCTGGGGCTACAGGTGTGTGCCACCATGCCAAGCTAATTTTTTTTTTTTTTGTAGAGATGGGGTTTCACCACACTGGCCAAACTGGTCTCAAACTCCTGACCTCAAGTGATCTCCCCATCTTGGCCTCCCAAAGTGCTGGGACTGCAGGCATGAGCCACTGCACCTGGCCTCAATTTCTATTATTTAAGCTACCCAGTTTGTGAGACTGTTACAGCAGCCCTAGGAAACTAGTACAGCTGCTTAGCAGAATAACTGAACTGTAAACTTCAAACCAGTTGTGAGTTTGTATAATTTCCTACTGAGTACAGTATGTATATTAAGTTGGGGTTGTTTTTGAATACTTAAAGTGATTCATAATTTGATTTTTTTTTTTTTTTTGAGATGGAGTCTGCCTCTGTCACCCAGACTGGAGTCCAGTGGCATGATCTTGGCTCACCGCAACCTCAGCCTCCCAGGTTCAAATGATTCTCGTGCATCAGCCTCCTGAGTAACTGGGACTACAGGTGCACACCACCACGCCTGGCTAATTTTTGTATTTTTTTGTAGAGATGGGGTTTCACCATGTTGGCCAGGCTGGTCTTGAACTCCTGACCTCAAGTGATCTGCCTGCCTCAGCCTCCCAAAGTGCTGGGATTACAGGTGGCCACAGTGCCGGTCCTGATTTTTTTTTTTTTTTTTTTTTTTTTTTAGACAAGGTTTGACTGTATCACCCAGGCTGAAGTGCAGTGCACAATGTTGGCTCACTGACCTCCACCTCCTGGGCTTACGCCATCCTCCCACCTCAGCCTTCCAAGTAGCTGGGACTACAGGTGTGCACCACCACACCCAGCTAATTCTTGTACTTTTTTGTAGAGATGGAGTTTTGCCATGTTGCCCAGGCTGGCCTCAAACTTGTGAGCTCAAGTGATCCGCCCATCTCAGCCTCCCAAAGTGCTAGGATTACAGGCATGAGCCGCTACACCCAGCCTCACAATTTGATTGTTTTATTTATTATTTATTTATTTTAGCAAAGGAGCAAAATCCTTTTAAGTTAGGTATCCAAATCAACCTAGGTTTTTGTCACTACATTTCATGCAGTGGCAACATTTGTACTACATTAACTATGCATGGAATATCTAGAAACATATTGTTCATTTGCATTTCTTCCTTTCTTCCTTTTTTTTTAATTTTTTTATTTTTCAAGACAGGATCTTACTCTGTTGTCCTGGCTGGAGTGCAGCGGCACCATCATGGCTCACTGGAGCCCTGACCTCTTGGGCTCAAGCAATCCTCCCACCTTGACCCCACAAAGTGCTGGGATTATAGATGTGAGCCACTGTGCCCAGCCCTTGGCTTTCTTTCTGTAAATATTGCTCTTTTCAATTTTCTCTTGACATAGATTCCAAATTTCTTCTTTCTTCAAGCATTCAACCAATGGTGAGGCAAAGCAGTATAGTGAGGCATAGTGTGGAGTTCTATCTCTGGATTCAGTCTGTATGAGCTAAATCCCAGCTCTACCATTTAGCTATGTGACTTTGGGCAAGTTGCATAAGCTCTCTGTGCTTCTGGTCTCTCATCTGTAAAACAAGGATAAAAATAGTACCTATTTCACAGAGTTCTCATCATGGTTAGGTGAGTTACTATTTGTAATGTTTTTAGAAGAGTACTTGATGCAAAATAAGTGTTTAAATAATTTAAGAAAGAAAAAAAACACAGCTAGGTGTAATTTTTTTTTTTTTTTTTTTTTTTTTTTTGAGACAAGGTCTGGCTCTGTCACCGAGACGGGAGTGCAGTGGTGTAATCTCAGCTCACTGCAACCTTTGCCTCCTAGGCTCAAGCCATCCTCTCACCTCAGCCTCCCAAGTAGCTGGGACTACACGCACATGCCTCCAAGCCTGGCTAATTTTTGTATTTTTTGTAGAGATGGCATTTCACCATGTTGCTCAGGCTGATCTTGAACTCCTGAGCTCAAGCAATCCTCCCACCTCAGGCTGCCAAGGTGCTGGGATTACAGGAGTGAGCCATCATGCCCAGCCTCTAAAATTGAGATAGAGAAATATTACATTATTCTTGACTTTAGTAAATTACAATCAGATTCGGGGAGTATGGGATCCTAGTTTATCCCATCAGCACTGTAAACCTTAGATTCTTTCATAGCAGAGGAAAGAGATGCAGAAAATAAGAACCCAGAACCCTGCCTAAGGTCTCAAACTATTCACTTACTCATATTTACTAAATATATCCTGTGTGCCAGATGCTGTTAGATCTGGGAACTAGATAGATGAGATCTGTTTTGGAGGCTGTGAAGAAGGTTGGCCTGGAACCGGTTGACACTGGCAATTTTTTTTTTTTTTGTCCCCCAGGCTGGAGTGCAGTGGCGCAATCTTGGCTCACTGAAAGCTCTGCCACCTGGGATCATGCCATTCTCCTGCCTCAGCCTACTGAGTAGCTGGGACTACAGGCACCCGCCACCACACCCGGCTAATTTTTTTTTTTTTTGTATTTTTAGTAGAGATGGGGTTTTGCCGTGTTAGACGGGATGGTCTCGATCTCCTAACCTTGTGATCCGCCCGCCTCAGCCTGCCAAAGTGCTGGGATTACAGGCATGAGCTACTGCACCTGGCCAACTTTGGCAGTTTCTAAGGAGGAAGTTGAACTGACTTGGGATGAGGCAAATACTATTATTATACCCTCTGTGAGCTAGAGAAGAAAATTCTGCTGGAGAACTCAGATCAGGTCACTTTTGTTCTACACAAACTGTTTCTTCAGGGTAAGAAAACAAGTTGAAGTCATCAAACACATTTGTTCTTACTCATGTTAGGAAGAAGAGGTACAGCATAATTTGTCAGGTAATCTCTTCCTTCCTTTCCCCCACCCCTGCATTTGTAGGGTACCCTGGTATGGCACCAATGAGACAGGCAGGAGACCCTCAGCCCCTGCAGACACAGCCCTGTTGGCACATACACCCTCCCTCTGCTGCAGGAGGCTTATGATGACATGTCATCAGAATAAAAAGGGAAAAAGACAGAGTAAACAAAACCTGAGACACGGACTTGCCAGACGATGGGAGGAAAATGTAGAGTCTGAATGTAATTTAAGAAAGAGCATTGAAGGAAATAAAATGTGAAAATCACCATGTTTCATTGAATATATTTGAATTACATTTTCTTTACCTCATTTGTCCTATTCTTAAACATTTTCTACTGAAAATATGGACAAAGCATTTTAATGTATTTCTCCCCTTATCAAACAGGAAGTTGATTTTTAAAAATTAGTGCTCACAGTTGAGAATAAACCAACATGGAAATATCCTTTAGTTTAGCAAAAGTATTTTTATGTGAAATTACTAATATGTCATTGCTATTGCACACAAATCTAGAGATTTCTCACCAGGTTTAAAAATGTCCTTTATGCCAGGTGCGGTGGCTCACGCCTGTAATCCCAGCACTTCAGGAGGCCGAGGCAAGCAGATCACGAGGTCAGGAGATGGAGACCATCCTGGCTAACATGTAGAAACCCCGTCTCTACTAAAAATACCAAAAAATTATCTGGGCCTCGGGGCGGGCACCTGTAGTACCAGATACTCGGGAGGCTGAGGCAGGAGAATGGTGTGAACCCAGGAGGCGGAGCTTGCAGTGAGCCGAGATTGCGCCACTGCACTCCAGCCTGGGCGACAGAGCAAGACTCCATCTTACCAAAAAAAAAAAAAAAAAAAAAGTGTCCTTTATTTCTCCTTGACGTTTCTCTAATAGTATCTGCACAGTGGACTAATAGGAGAAAACAAGTCACTAATAGGTTGTTTCTCTATGCTCAAGACCAGTTAGTCCAGTTCCAGATAAAGCCTGGGGTTTGGATTCCATACCAGGATAATACGGCGTTCACTCACCCTGGGGTATGGGTCCAACTATAGAGAACAATCCACATTTGCCTCCTAGCCTACAGGGTGGCAAGAAGTTTTGCTTTTCTTTTCATGTGAGAGAAGGACCAGAAGGAGTCAGACAATTTTGCCCACTTCCTTTCGTGATGAGACATCAGGTAAATATAGTTAACATAAATAAAGAAACTGACCAGGCCAGGTGCTGTGGCTCATGCCTGTAATCCCAGTACTTTGGGAAGCCAAGGCAGGAGGATCTCTTAAGCCCAGGAGTTTGTGATCTCCTCTCTATAAGAAAAATTTTAGAATTAGCCAGGCAAGTTGGCATGCTCCTGCAGTTTCAGCTACTGAGGAGACTAAGGCAGGAAAATGGCTTGAGCCAGCGAGGTCCAGAGTGCAGTGAGCTATGATCACACCAGAGTGAGACCCTGTCTCAGAAAAAATAAATAAAAATAAAAAAGAAAAGAAAAAGAAACTAAGCAGTTGTATTAAGTTTATATTGCTACTGTAACAAATTATCCCAAACTTGATGGCTTAAAACAACACAAATTTTTTATGTTGCAGTGCTCTGTGTCAATCTTACTGGGTTAAAATCAAGGTGCTGTCAGCAGGGCTTTGTTCCTTTTTGGAGGCTTAAAGAAAGATTCATGTTTTTTAGCTAATTGGGTTGTGGCAGAATTCAGTTTCTTGTGGTTATAGGACTCAAGTCCCCATTTCCTTCCTCATCTTCAAAGCCACTGCCAGCAGCAGTCAAATCCCTCTCATACTTCAAATCTCTGTTCCTTTTCTTTCATCTCATCTCTCTCACTCATCTGCCTTCTGCTTCTACTTTTAAGAACTCATATGATTAGATTGGGCCCACCCAGGTACCAGGATAATCTCCCAGATCTTTTTTTTTTTTTTTTTTTTTGAGACGAAATCTTACTCTGTCACCCAGGCTGGAGTGGAGTGGCGCGATCTCAGCTCACTGCAACCTCTGCCTCCTGGGTTCAAGCAATTCTCCTGCCTCAGCCTCCTGAGTAGCTGGGATTACAGGCGTGCGCCACCATGCCCGGCTGTATTTTTTTTTTTTGTATTTTTAGTAGAAACAGGGTTTCACCATGTTGGTCAGGCTGGTCTCGAACTCCTGACTTCGTGATCTACCCACCTCAGCCTCCCAAAGTGCTGGGATTACAGGTGTGAGCCACCACACCCAGTCAATCTCCCTGATTAGTCTACATAACTTTAATCCCATCTGTAAAGTCCCTTTTGCCATGCAAAGTAACATCTTCACAGGCTTGGATATTAGGGCATGGATATCTTTGGGTGGAGATGGAAGTCATTATTCTGCCTACTACACTAGCCTTACATGGGGGACCCATAACCAGCATCAAGTTCCCTGGAAAGAATGAACATATTGAGATCAGACAACTGGTGTAAGTCCTTTCACTCACATCAAGCGCCATCCCAGGACATGGCACAGGGTCAAAGCACAGGCCCTGGAGCAGATACCCTGGATCCCTTACTTACTAGCTGTGCACTTGTGGGAAAGTTCTCAACCTGCAAAAGCCCCACTGTTCTCAGCCTGTAAAACAAAGATAATGCTAGTATCTACCTCATATAATTGTTGGAATAAATGAGATACTCCACGTAAAGCACTTCACAGAGTGCCTATCTGAAGGGCACATACATCAATGAAGTAGACACTAACAAGAGTTTATGCCCAAAATTATACTATCTTCTCTTATTCTTTTGATTCAAGGATTTGGTATCTGTGAAAATCAAAATACTCTGGCAAAAATAAGAGCACATTGTCATCAACAATTTGACTATGGGAAAGAAGGAGGAAAAGAAAATGTATACTGAGCACCTATTTTGTGTTAGACAATTTGTATGAAGATGCTGACAGCATATTTTGTTGGAGTCAGGGGTCACTAAGTACCTGAGGATTAAAGGAGTAGTGTTTTCCAAGGTACAAAGTAGTGAAACAGAATTGCTTATTTTTCAGTTTTGTCTAGGATCCTTGGATTAACCCTTGGCCAAGTGAAAGGGACCCTCCAGGCCTACACAGATGTGAGCAAGGAATTGACCTACAAACAAATGTCAGGTCAAAGTCAAGCTGTTCTCTGACATGCAGCAAGCTGATTTATGCAGCTCTTTATCACTTAGCAGTCTCTTAATGCTTCCTGTCTCTCCTCAGTCTCTGACTTTCAGCCTATTTTGGATGAGTTTTGGCCCATGTTCCTCTAGCTCTTGGACATCAATCATGCTGTGACCACACTGGTTGACTCAAGGACGTGCGTCTTCCTTTCATTACATAGATAACTTTTGCTTTATGATGAGCTCTGTCATGCAGTTAGGAGAGAATTGATTGATGACATAGCCTTTTGCATTTTACCCAGTCTAGTCTCCCTAAAGTCCATGCTGATGGAGATTTATAACTAGTTAGTGTTGGGGGATTTGGAATAAGGTTTGGGAGGACAGGCTTGTTTTTGTTTTTTTCACACCATTGTTCCCAGCACATCTTTATCTGTTCACAGCCATAACAAAAACACCCTACTAAAAGTGAGAATTCATTAGTCTAAAAAAATTACAATATATACTCTTTCCAAACAGCACCAACTATTATATGCATCATCTTAACCACCTTTATAGAGTTTACTGAAAGTCATTGCTTCTCCGCCTTTTGGCTAAGATCAAGGGTAGAATTTACTGAAAGTCACAAGTGAGACTCTAATTTTATACTTTTGATGGTTTTTTGTTTTTTTTTTTAAGATGGAATCTCGCTCTGTTGCCCAGGCTGGAGTGCAATGGCGTGATCTCAGTTCACTGCAACCTCCAGTCTCCTGGGTTCAAGCGATTCTTCTACCTCAGCCTCCTGAGTAGCTGGGATTACACGCACATGCCACTACGCCCACCTAAATTTTGTAATTTTAGTAGAGATGAGGTTTCACCTTCTTCCTAGACTGGTCTCGAACTCCTGACCTCAGGTGATCCACTTGCCTCAGCCTCCCAAAGTGCTGGGATTGGAGATGTGAGCCACTGTGCCTGGCCTGATAGTCATTCTTATGCAAATAGTTTGGACTTGAAACATCAATAGTGATAACTGTAACTTCTAATTTTGTACAATAGTAACTGAGTTAGTGTTTAATACAATATACCCAGTCTATATCACATGTGTATTTGGTATGTTTATAACCCAACACACTGGCATATGAAATGGATTAAAGGGAGAGTCTCCATTTCTGGATTCTTTGGAAATGTGATTACTTACAACCTGTCTTTAACATGTAGGAAAACCGTTTTACTTCGATTATTTCACATCAAGTTCGCAACTTGCAAAATTAAGTGGAGGATAGGCAGTTTTCTTAATAAACTAATACAGAAAACAACATTGGCTTAATTTCAGAGTAATCTTTTTAAATACATTATTTTTATAGTTAACTGGAACCACTTTTCCAATTTGTATTTATTCAGAGGAAAAATTTTTAAAAGTCACCTTGGACTGAAGACCAGCATCAGTTTATATGGTGTGAGTTCTTTCCATTTGCCTTAGATTGCACCTACACTGACAGAAGAAAGTAAAAAGGTAAGCAATTATCTTAGGATTGTACTAGTAAAAATTATATCAATTATATCTACTTGGTGTAGACAGCCCAGCCTGTCTTTCAGCATAGGAAAATTGGTCATGGGTAGATTTTTCAGGGTGACTTAGTTTGAGACCAAGAAATAGTCATTGCTGTTTTTGTCAAGTATAAAATAGATTCCAGAATGCATTCCTTCATCCTCGAAGGCCCTTCTCATTAGCATTGGACCTAATTATCTAGATATAATTTGTTAAAGGTTTTACACTTCTTTAAAGAAGGCTACTGAGTCACCAGCATTTAATATTCATTCATTCATTCATTCATTCATTCATTTAACAACTATTCACTGAGCACCTACTATCTGCTAGGCACTGAAGATACACCAGGAACCAATATAGATTAGGTCCAAGCTCTATGGATCTCACAGATTATAACCACAGCAACATTTGCTATGTGTCATTAAGAGTTTGAAACTTTAATATCTTAACCTAATATTTATATTTTTCTTATCACTAAAGAAAAAACTATTATCAATAAATTTGATAACTGATAAACTCAATGTGATTATGTTTTTATCATATATCCTTTGTTCTCTCTTTACCTGTGACTTTGCTAGCAGTAAATTCTTTTTAACTTCATTAGCTTTTCTTTTCCCTTTCCCACAGATCCAGCAGTTGAGGGAGCACTGGCTTCATGGTTGAGTCATCATTTTGCTAAATTATGTAATAAATTCATAAATACTAACAGTGGAAAAACTAAACAGTGGAGGGAAAATCCACTGTTTATCTTCATCTCCCAGTCTCCCAGTATTTCACCAGTGGTATCAATTATGAAATGTCAGACTCATAGGGAATGGGAGACAGAGCTGGTCAATGATCTGACCAAGCATCTGATGATGATAATGTTTTTATTATATAAGGAGACACTTAAAACTGTATAAATAGACATTTTATTGTTTTCCTCTAAATGTGTTTAACTCTAAAAATGTTTTAGTGCAAAATGTGTTAGCAGTTAGCAATTGTTTGTTATACTAGTGATCCAACATCTGTTAACAATGAGGTTCTGGCATACCATCTGTATTAGTCCATTCTCATGCTGCTATAAAGAACTGCCTGAGACTGGGTAATTTACAAAGAAAGGAGGTTTAATTGACTCACAGTTCTGTGGGGCTGGGGACACCTAGAAAATTTACAAGTATGGTAGAAGGGGAAGCAAACACATCCTTCTTCACATGCTGGCAAGAGAGAGAATGAGAACCAAGTGAAGCGGGGAGTCCCTTATAAAACCATCAAATCTTGTGAAAACTTACTCATTATCATGAGAATAGCATGAGGGTAATCACCCCCATGATTCAATTATCTCCCACTGGGTCCCACCCATGACACTTGGGGATTATGGAAACTACAATTCAAGATGAGATTTGGGTGGGGACACAGCCAAACCATATCACCATCCCACATGAGTAATTCTGAAGAAAAGGAAGCCAGAGTAGCAGGGTAGCAGTCACCCCAAAATAACCCTGAGACTACAGCTTTGGGCAGAGCAACCCCTAGGCAAAAGCTATGAAGTGAGCAGAGCTGTTTATCCATTAACTCATCTGTTCTATACCCATCTATACTGGCTGTGATATTCCAACATTATGCACAAGGATAAACAAGATTTACTTCCTGCCCAAAGAAATTTACACATTTTAGCTTCCTTCCTAAAGTCAGCTTCCTGAATTTTCTACACTTACACACCCATAAGGCCAGTATCCTACTGTTCTTTGGCCTCTTGATTTCCTCCTCTTATCAAAAACTCTTCTTAATTAGCTACAAGTTGGGAGTAAACCAATAGTTAATTCATACTAAGGTGTAAAAGACTATATGGCTGAACACATTGTATTCTACTATCTTTCTCAGACGTGTTTGCATTTTTAGAGAAAGGAAGCCTTAAATTTGAAGCTGTGAAACTAATGGTGGAACTCCAGGTATTAGTAAAGCAATAGCAGAGACTTTTTTTTTTTGAGACGGAGTCTCACTCTGTCATCCAGGCGGGAGTGCAGTGGCATGATCTTGGCTCACTGCAACCTCTGCCTCCTGGGTTCAAGTGATTCTCCTGCCTCAGCCTCCTAAGTAGCTGGGATTACAGGCACACGCCACCACATTGGGCTAATTTTTTGTATTTTTAGTAGAGATAGCATTTCACTATGTTACCCAGGCTGGTCTCGAACTCCTGACCTCGTGATCTGCCCACCTTGGCCTCCCAGAGTGCTGGGATTACGGGCGTAAGCGACTGCACCTGGCCAACAGCAGAGACTTTTTCCCCGAGTGTATATAGTTTCCCAAGATCCACCATTCACAGATAAGGCCAGGCTTGATTTTGAGTCTTGAATGCTCAGTTGACTTTTAGATATGAACCCTAGATAGGAAACCAGGCTGACTACCTTTTTTTTTTTTTTTTTCGGTCCTAGCATAATTATACCAAAATCCTTTAGGCATAAGGGCACATTTCCTTTTTAGTCTCCAACTAAAGAAAAGTTTTCATGGCTTTTTAAAGTTTATTATCCACTTATTTGTCCAACAAATGCTTGTTGAGTGCCTGTAAAATGCCGGTCATAGTGTTAAGCAAAAATAAACTTTTTTTTTTTTTTCTCATTCACTCTGTCACCTAGGCTGGAGTACAGTGGCTCAATCTTAGCTCACTATAACTTCTGCCTCCTGGGTTCATGCGATTCTCACGTCTCAGCCTCCTGAGTAGCTGGGAATACAGGTGTGAGCCACCATGCCTGGCGAATTTTTGTGCTTTTTGTAGAGTCTGGTTTTCACCATATTGGCCAGGCTGGTCTCGACCTCAAGTGATCTGCCTGCCTTGGCTTTCCAAAGTGCTGGGATTACAAGCATGAGTCACCAGACCCAGCCAAAAAACTAAACATTTCTATTGGCATTAATAACACAAAACATAAAATGGATAAGTTTACATTTGACATGAATATGTGGTATACTTATTTATTTATTTATTTTGAGACAGAGTCTCACTCTCACTGTTGCCTAGGCTGCAATGCAGTGGCATGATCTTGGCTCACTGCAACCTCCGCCTCCCGGGTTCAAGTGATTCTCCTGCCTCATCCTCCGAAGTAGCTGGGATTACAGGCACGTGTCACCACACTGGGCTAATTTTTTTGTATTTTTAGTAGAGATAGTGTTTCACCATGTTAGCCAGGCTGGTCTCAAACTCCTGGCCTCAAGTGATCCTCCTGTCTCAGCCTCCCAAAGTGCTGGGATTACAGGCATCAGCCATGGCACCCAGCCTGTGATGTACATATTTAAAGAAAACTGTATAACCTGACTTGGGAACATAATAGTCTAAGGACATATTCATATTATAAATAATTTTCCTCAAATGTATATGTAAGTTTAACACAGTCTTAACATTTGGGATTTGACAAAATGATTCTAATTACCAGTAAGAATAAACAAACATGTGAAAGGAACTAGTAACATTTCAAAATAGAAAAGTCTGAGCAAAGCGTGCCTTACCACATATATAGCTACAGTAATTAAAACTATGGGTCCTGGTGCAGGGATGGACAAACCACAGAAATAAAATAGCACATGGACAGTCCAATATATACAGGAAATTAGCGTGTGATATGGTTTGAATTTTCCCCTCCACAATTCAGGTGTTGCCAATGTGGCAGTATTAAAAGGTGGGGCCGGCCAGGCACGGTGGCTCACGCCTGTAATCCCAGCACTTTTGGAAGGCCGAGGCGGGCGGATCACCTGAGGTTGGGAGTTTGAGACCAGCCTGACCAACATGGAGAAACCCCATCTCTACTAAAAATACAAAATTAGCCAGGCATGGTGGCACATGCCTGTAATCCCAGCTGCTCAGGAGGCTGAGGCAGGAGAATTGCTTGAACCCGGGGAGCGGAAGTTGTGGTGAGCTGAAATCGCGCCATTGCACTCCAGCCTGGGCAATAAGAGTGAAACTCCATCTCAAAAAATAAAAATAAAAATAAAATTTAAAAAAGTGGGGCCTTTGAGAGGTGATTGGGCCATCATGAGGCTCCTTCCTTGTGAATAGGATTAAGTACCCTTATAAAGCGGCTTGATGAGGGAGTCAGACCTGTTTTTTGCCCTCCCACCTTCTGCCATGTGGGGACACAGCATTCCTCCCCTCTGGAGCATGCAGTTTTCAAGGAATCATCTTGGAAGCAGAGACTGGACCCTCAGTAGACAACAAACCTGCCAGCACCTTGATCTTGAACTTCCCAGCCATCAGGACTGTGGGAAAATAAATTTCTATCCTTTATAAATTACCCAATATCAGGTATTTTGTTATAGCAGCACAAATAGACTAGGACAGCAAGTGAGTTAAAGCGGAGGAGAATGGCAAAAAAAGAGAAAAAAAAGGCAAAAGAGACATGAATCTAAAAATGGAAAAGCAAACTGGAAAAATACTTTATATATGTGTACTGCAGATGGGATTAATAACTTTATATATAAGCAGTTATCTAAGAAAAACATAAAAATTCCAAGAACAGTGGACAAATTATATGAATAGGAAAATCCACAAAATAAACAAAAATAAAAAATAAATAGATAACATGCATGGGAAATATGTTCAATTCAGTTGTCATTAAAAACTGTTGATTAAAATAAGAACTTATTTTTGGCTGATGGGTGAAAATATAGTAAAATTGGTAATACTCAGGGCTGATGAGAGAGTACAGAAAACATATGCAAAGCTATCCTATCAACATTGTTTATAATACCAAAAGATTGGAAACATCCTAAAGCTGTTAAGTAGACAATTCATTAAACACTATACTGTAGCCAAACGAGATAGTAGAGAATGATTAAAAATGATAACAAATAATGTTGATATAAAGAGCTGTTTTTTGGCCGGGCGCGGTGGCTCACGCCTGTAATCCCAGCACTTTGGGAGGCCGAGGCGGGTGGATCATGAGGTCAGGAGATCGAGACCATCCTGGCTAACAAGGTGAAACCCCGTCTCTACTAAAAATACAAAAAAAATTAGCCGGGCGCGGTGGCGGGCGCCTGTAGTCCCAGCTACTCGGGAGGCTGAGGCAGGAGAATGGCGTGAACCTGGGAAGCGGAGCTTGCAGTGAGCCGAGATTGTGCCACTGCAGTCCGCAGTCCCGCCTGGGCGACAGAGCGAGACTCCGTCTCAAAAAAAAAAAAAAATAAAAAAAAAAAAAAAATAAAGAGCTGTTTTTTATGTGTACTTTGATTACTTTCTGAAATAGTATGTGTATTTTTTTTAGAATAGATATCGCAGATATATATAAACAAAAATTTGAAGTTTCCCCTACTTACCTGCCCTTCCCTTCCATCTCATTCCCTGTTGTTAAAAATCTGAGCCTGGGCAACATGGCAAAACCCTGTCTCTACAAAAAAAATACAAACATTAGCCGGGCATGGTAGCATGCATCTGTAGCCCCACCTACTCAGGAGGCTGAGGTGGGCAGGTCACTTGAGCCTGGGAGGTCTAGGCCGCAGTGAGCGGTGTTTACACCACTGCACACCAGCCTGGAAGGCAGACCAAGACGCTGTCTCAAAAAAAAAAAAAAAAACTGGTTTGTATCCTGTCAGATAATTTTTTTTGAGATGGAGTTTCACTCGTTGCCCAGGCTGGAGTGCCATGGCGCGATCTTGGATTACTACAACCTCCGCCTCCCAGGTTCAAGCGATTCTCCTGCCTCAGCCTCCCGAGTAGCTGGGATTACAGGCATGTTCCACCACGCCTGGCTAATTTTGTATTTTTAGTAGATGGGGTTTCTCCATGTTGGTCAGGCTGGTCTCAAACTCCTGACCTTAGGGAATCCACCCACCTCAGTCTCCCAAAGTGCTGGGATTACAGGTGTGAGCCACCACGCCCGGCCCCTGTCAGATAATTTTCTGTACAAATAAAATCATATATCCATGTGTCTACATAGGGATTTTTATTTGTGTCTACATATAAACATACAGGATTTTGTTGTTGCTGTTGTTGAGACAGAGTCTCACTCTGTCGCCCAGGCTGGAGTGCAGTGGCGCGATCTCGGCTCACTGCAACCTCTGTCTCCCAGGTTCATGCAATTCTCTGCCTCAGCCTCCCAAGTAGCTGGGATTACAGGCACCCACAACCACATCTGGCTAATTTTTGTATTTTTAGTTAGCCTCCCAACGTGCTGGGATTACAGGCGTGAGCCACCACACCCTGCAGACTTTTTTTGTCTGCAGGTGCGCACACGCACACACACACACACACACGCCCCTCCCTCTACCCCCACTTATGTGTGTTTTTTTGTTTGTTTGTTTTTTGAGTCAGAGTCTCACTCTGTCACCCAGGCTGGAGTGCAGTGGTGCGATCTTGGCTCACTGCAGCCTCTGTCTCCCGGGTTCACGCAATTCTCTGCCTCAGCCTCCCAAGTAGCTGGGATTACAGGCACCCACAAGGACGCCCGGCTAATTTTTGTTTTTCAGTTAGCCTCCCAAAGTGCTGGGATTACAGGCGTGAGCCACCATGCCCGGCCAACATACAGGAATTTTAAATGAAATATGGGTCATACTATATATATATAATTAAATAACTTGCTTTTTCATCTACAATATATCAAGAATATCTATGATATATTAAATTAAAAAAATAAGTGAGGCCGAAGTGGGTGGATCACGAGGTCGGGAGATCAAGACCATCCTGGCTAACACAGTGAAACCCTGTCTCTACTAAAAATACAAAAAATTAGCCAGGCGTGGTGGCGGGCACCTGTAGTCCCAGCTACTCGGGAGGCTGAGGCAGGAGAATGGCATGAACCCGGGAGGCGGAGCTTGCAGTGAGCTGAGATCATGCCACTGCACTCCAGCCTGGGTGACAGAGCAAGACTCTGACTCAAAAAACAAACAAACAAAAAAACACACTTAAGTGGGGGTAGAGGGAGGGGCGTGTATGTGTGTGTGCATGCGTGTGTGCACCTGCAGACAAAAAAAGTCTGGGCAAATAGATTCCTTAGTGGAGAGAATACTGATTTTTTTTGCGGGGGGGTGGTCAGGGTCTCACTCTATTGCCCAGGCTGGAGTGCAGTGACATGATTGTGGCTTACTGCAGCCTCAACCTCCCAGGCTCAGGTGATTCTCCTACTTCAGCCTCCCTAGTAGCTGGGACTACAGGTACATAATACCACGCCTTGCTAATTTTTGTATTTTTTGTAGAGATGGGGTTTCACCATGTTGCCCAGGCTGGTCTTGAACTCCTGAGCTCAAATGATCTTCCTGCCTCGGCCTCCCAAAGTGCTGGGATTACAGGCATGAACCACCACACCTGGCCAACTTTTATGTTTTTGATATATATTAATATATTCCTGTTGTTTAACTTTTGAAAATAATGAATATATATTACTTTTTAATACTACTTTTACAACCATAATCAAATCTGTTTTCATTACAAAGGGAAAAAATAACCACAACTCTACTGGAAAACCTGTAAGCCAGAATTTGGTTGAGATCTCACTGATAAATGGTTATTACCCTTATGACCTCCTGCCATCTCATAGTCTGCAAGTTAATTTTAATATTCTATATTGTTGTAAATGAAAATGTGAACTACATAAACTATACATATTTAAAGTGAATTGTGACTACATTTAGGATGTCTAGATGAGATGGAGCTTGCATTTTTCTGGTTTATTGACTTGGATAGTTATTTCTAATAAATCCAGCAATAACAGGACAAATGAAAGCTACCACAACAGGAAGGAATTAAAAACCGCAATCATTTTGTTGCCATTTTTGTTATTGCCATAGGTGGTAAGATTGATTTCCTTTTTGAATCCAAGGAACTGAGCTATAAATGACCCTTCCAAGGTGAACACGGGGAGAAAGCCTTCTATGCACAGTCAGCATTCTCTACCATCCATTTTGTTAGTCTGCAGGGCTGCAAGAAAAAGGGCCTTCATGGTGTGTAGATTGAGTTGTGGCTAAACTGGAGCATTTACTTGGGCACCTCTACAGCCCCTTCAGTGTCCTTTTTCCTCTGAGGATGAATACTCTTCTACTCCCACACTCATTTTCTTTATAATATCTGCTTTCAGAAAAAGTCTGAAATGTACTTATAATGTGCCACCACCTAAATAGGGAACAAACCTAGGGAAGTGTTGGGGCTGGAATGATCAAGTCTGGCACAGTCTCTAGACCTTGACTAAATAACTGAAGATGAGAGCTCCAAGACAACCTGCCCCTATATCTATATAGAGTGATGAATTTGTAGCTATAATAAAATATTTTACCCATAAAGTTCTGGCCCTATGGATGTGGGTGTTTTTATGCCTTTGTGGGTGTCTTTCTCTTCTATGTTTGGACTTGCTTTTTATGCCCCTATTTCTTTTTCTCTCTTCATTTCTTTTCTTTTCTCTTTACTTTTTCCTCTTAATTGGCCATAATATATTGTGAAAGCTGATTTCTTATTGACCTTATCAAGTAATTATATTTTCTATGTACTCTGTGTTAAGAATGAAACTCGGCTGGCACTTATTTGGAGGCTAGGGGTCAACTATGTTTTATATTCCATTATCACTAATTGACATTGCATTATTCATTTATTGGTTTATTTCTCCTATTGTGTAAACACCCTGAGAGCTGGGCCTTGGTCTCATTCTCTGCTGTATCCCAATGGGGTCCACTCTGCAGCCACAGGAGAGGTCCTTCATTTACCCTGTCCCAATCCCAATCCTTTCCTTTTCCCCTGAAAGTAACTACATCTTGAGTTTTATGTTCATTGCTTTCTTGCTTTCTTTATAGTTCTGTCGCCCATGATGCACCTCTAAACTCTGAAGCTTAATTTTCCTTCTAACTATATACATCTTTTAAGTCTCTTTTACCTACCCCTTCAATCCCCTTTGCCCCACCTTTTTCAACTTACTTCTGAAAGAAACTGGGTTGTTTTATCTGACTTGTAGAGTTTCCCACATCTGTATTTTGCTGATTGCATTCCCATGTAATTTACACTTGTCTGTTTTCTGTATTTTCTATAAATTGGTAGTGAGATTATGGCCTTGATCAGATTCAGGTACAATTTTCAGGCTAGACTCCTTTGTAGGTGACTTGTAGAAAATATGTAATAACTGATTGTCTCTCTCTGTGTGATGTTGGCAACCACTGATCCATTAATTCATCAGAAATTGAAAACTTCTCTACTTCTACTTGCTTACTTTGTATAGAAAAGACAGAATAAATGCTTAATGAAAGTGCATCTTTAGGTGTACAATATATAAAACAAATATATACAAATAAGAGAACTTACTAACCACAGACCTACAGTGAAAGATCTACTAAAAAGACATACTTCAGTTAGAAGAACAGTAAACCCAGGAAGAAAAAATTAGATGTAAGCAAACATGAAAAGCATAGAAATTGATAAGTTGGTAAGTACAATTAACTATCAATATAAAAAATAATTTGAGGGTTAAAAATAATATGGGGGCCAGGTGCAGTGGCTCACGCCTGTAATCGCAGCACTTAGGGAGGCCAAGGCGGGCAGATCATCTGAGGCCAGGAGTTCGAGACTAGTCTGGCAGACATGGCAAAACCCCGTCTCTACTAAAAATATATAAATTAGCTGGGCGTGATGGCATATGCCTGTAATTCCAGATACTCAGGAGGCTGAGGCAGGAGAATTGCTTGAACCGGGAGGTGGAGGTTGCAGTGAGCTGAGATTGCGCCATTGCACTCCAGCCTGGGCGACAAGAGTGAAACTCCACCTCAAAAAAATAAATTAAAAATAAAAACAATAATGTGGAAGTACTTACTAGGTAATTAAAGCTTGTTTAGGTTTGTGTCTTGTTCAGGAGAAGGAAAAAACACTGTGTATGTAATTGGAGACTTTATAGGAAAAATGTAGAGATATTCATGTTAAAAAAAATAGAAATGCTATGCATAGCCTTAAAACCAACAAAGAAGGAAAGAAGAATATAGAAAATTTCATCAGTCCCAAAGAAGCAACAGGAATAAAAAGAGAAAAAGAAAAAAAGAAAAAGGGTAGTAAAGCAAAGACCTAAATTAGATGGTAAAAATAAATTTAAATATACCAGGATGACTGACTATATAAGTTTATTAGATAGAATTCATTTACTAATAGATAAAAATCATCTCATTTGATTAACAAGCAAGCAAACAATAGTGTAAATAGTTCAAGGAGCCCACTTAAAACCATCCAGAAATTTCAAGATAAAAGTAAAGAAAAATATAACAATCAAATACTAATAAAAAAAAGAGTACGCAGAAATGCTAATAACATAATGGAATTAACAGCAAATGAATAGAATTATTATTATTATTATTTTTTTTTGAGACAGAGTCTCGCTCTGTCACCCAGGCTGGAGTGCAGTGGCACGATCTCGGCTCACTGCAACGTCTGCCTCCCAGGCTAAAGCGATTCTCATGCCTCAGCCTCCAAAGTAGTTGGGATTACAGGCACCCGCCATCACACCTGGCTAATTTTTGTATTTTTAGTAGAGATGGGTTTTTGCCATGTTGGCCAGGCTGGTCTCAAACTCATGACCTCAAGTGATCCCCCCAATTCAGCCTCCCAAAGCGCTGGGATTACAGGCATGAGTCACGAATAAAATTTAAGATGAAAAGCTTCATTTGGGGTAAAAATGAAAACTTTTTAATGATAGAATAATTTAAGTCAGGCGTGGTGACTCGTACCTGTAATCCTAGCACTTTGGAAGCCTGAGGTGATCGGATTACTAGAGTTCAGGAGTTGGAGACCAGCCTGGGCAACATGACAAAACCCCATCTCTACAAAAAGTACAAAAATTAGCCAGACGTGGTGGCGGGTGCCTGTAATCCCAGCTACTTTAGAGGCTGAAGTGGGAGGATTGTTTGAGCCCAGGATGCAGAGGTTGCAGTGAGCTGTGATCAAGCCACTGCACTCCAGCCTAGGGGGCAAAGTGAGAGTTTGTCTCAAAAAAAAAAAAAAAAAAGAAAAAGAAAGAAAGAATAACTTAGTATGAACCAGCACATCCCCAGCTGTGGTGGCTACAGGAAGAAACTCCTGTTTGAGAAAAGCAGAGGGAAAAGTAAAGGGGACTTTGTCTTGCACCTTAGGTACGATCTTGGCCACAGTGGGTGTAGAGCAAATAAGAAGGCTCTTAGAGTCCCTGAGTCCAGGCCTAGGCTCTTGGACTGCATTTCTGGACCCACCCTGGGCTAGAGGGGAGCCTACTGCCCTGAAGGCTGTTTTTTTTGTTTGTTTGTTTTGTTTTGTTTTGAGATGGAGTCTGGAGTGCAATGGCGGATCTCAGCTCACTGCAAGCTCCGCCTCCCAGGTTCACACCATTCTCCTGCCTTAGCCTCCCGAGCAGCTGGGACTACAGGCGCCCGCCACCACGCCTGGCTAATTTTTTGTATTTTTAGTAGAGACGGGATTTAACCGTGTTAGCCAGGATGGTCTCGATCTCCTGACCTTGTGATCCGCCCGACTTGTCCTCCCAAAGTGCTGGGATTACAGGCTTGAGCCACAGCGCCCGGCCTTGAAGGCTGTTTTTGTCTGCTTGTTTGTTTTGTTTGTTTGTTTTGAGATGGCGTCTCACTCTGTCGCCCAGGCTGGAGTGCAGTAGCACAATCTCTGTTCACCGCAACCTCCACCTCCTGGGTTTAAGCCATTCCCCTGCCTCAGCCTCCTGAGTAGCTTGGATTACAGGTGCCCACCACCACAGCCAGCTAATTTTTGTATTTTTAGCAGAGATGGGATTTCCTCATGTTGGCCAGATTGATCTTGAACTCCTGACCTCAAGTGATTCTCCCGCCTCAGCCTCCCAAAGTGCTGGGATTGCAGGCGTAAGCCACCACGCCCGGCCTGAAGTCTGTATTTTTAGTAGAGTCAGGGTTTCACCATGTTGGTCAGGCTGGTCTTGAGCTCCTGGCCTCAAATGATCTGCCTGCCTCAGCCTCCCAAAGTTCTGGGATTATAGGCATGAGCCACCGCACCTGGCCTAATCATTTCAATTGATTCTGAAAAAGCATTTTGTAAAATTCAACATCCCTTCATGATAAAACCCTCAAAAAACTCGGTATAGAAATAACATACTTCAACACAATAAAAGCCATGTATGATGGACCCACAGCTAGTATCATACTGAACAGGGCAAAATGAAAAGCCTTTCCTCTAATATCTGGAACAAGACAAGGATCTCCACTTTCACTACTGTTATTCAGCATAATACTAGAAGTTCTAGCTAGAGCAATAAAACAAGAGAAAGAAATAAAGGTCATCCAAACTGGAAAGGAAGAATTCAAATTATACTTATTTCCAGATAATCTGACCTTATATTTGTAAAAGCCTTAAAAAATGCACCAAAAAAGTATTACAATTGACAGACGAATTCAGTAAAGTTGCAGAATAAAAAAAAACAATATACAACAATCAGCATTTCTATATGCCAACAGTGAACAGTCTGAAAAAGAAATAAAAAAGTAATCCCATGTACAATGGCCACAAACAGAATTAAGTACCAAGGAATTAACCAAAGAAATGAAAGATTTCTATTATGAAAACTATAAAATGCTCATGAAAGAACTGAAGAGGATACCAAAAAATGAAAAGATATTTCATGTTCACGGATTAGGAGAGTCAGTAGTGTTAAAATGTTCACACTACTCAGAGCAATCTACAGTTTCAATGCAATCCCTATCAAAATACCAGTGACATTTTTCAAAAAAACAGAAAAAGGAATTCCAAAATGTATATGAAACCGCAAAAGACCTAGAATAGCCAAAGCAATCCTGAGCAAAAAGAATAAAACTGGAGGAATCACATTATCTGGCTTCAAATTATACTGGATAGTAACCAAAACAGCATGGTATTTGCATAAAAACAGACAGACCACTCGAACAAAGTAAAAAACCCAGAAGCAAATCCACAAGCCTACAGTGAAGTCATTTTTGACAAAGGTGCCAAGAACATACACTGGAGAAAAGGCAGTCTCTTCAATAAATGGTGCTGGGAAAACTGGATGTCTATACATGGAAGAACAAAACTAAACGCCCATCTTTTGCCATATACAAAAATCAAATAAAAATGGATTAAAGAAAAATCTGAGATCTCAAACTATGAAACTACTGCAAGAAAACATTGGGAAAACTCTCCAGGATATTGGTATGGGCAAAAATTTCTTGAGTAATACCTCACAAGCACAGGCAACCAAAGCGAAAATGGACAAATGGGATCCCTTCAAGTTAAAACGCTTCTGCACAGCAAAGGAAACAATCAACAAAGTGAAGAGCCAACCTACAAAATGGGAGAAAATATTTGCCAACTACCCATGTGACATGGGGTTAATAACCAGAATATAGAAGGAGCTCAAACAACTCTGTAGGGAAAAATCTAATAATTCTGTTTAAAAATGGGCAAAATATTTGAATAGATATTTCTCCTAAGAAGACATACAAATGACAAATAAGTATGTGAAAAGGTGCTCAACATCACTGATCATCAGAGAAATGCAAATCGAAACTACAATGAGATATTATCTCACCTATGTTAAAATGGCTTTTATCCAAAAGAGAGGCAATAACCAAATGCTGGAGAGGATGTAAAGAAAAGGAAACCTTTGTACACTGTTAGTGGGAATGTAAATTAGTACCCCCGCTATGGAGGTTCCTCAAAAAACTAAAAATAGAGCTACCATATGATCTAGCAATCCCACTGCTGGGTATATAACCAAAGGAAAGGAAATCAGTATATCAAAGAGATATCTGCATTCCCATGTTTGTTGCAGCTCTGTTCACAATAGCCAAGATGTGGAAGCAACCTAAGTGTCCATCAACAGATGAATGGATAAAGAAAATGTGGTACATATACACAATGGAGTACTATTCGGCTATAAAAAGGGGTGAGATCCTGTATTTGCAACAACATAGATGGAACTGGAGGATGTTATGTTAAGAGAAATAAGCCAGGCACAGAAAGACAAATGTCACATGTTCTCACTTATCTGTGGGATCTAAAAATCAAAACAATTGGACCAGGCGCGGTGGTTCACACCTGTAATCCCAGCACCTTGGGAGGCTGAGGTGGGCCGATCACTTGAGGTCAGGAGTTCAAGACCAGCCTGGCCAACATGGTGAAGCCCCATCTCTACTAAAAATACAAAAATTAGCCAGGCATTGTGGCAGGTGCCTGTAGTCCCAGTTGCTCAGGAGGCTGAGGCAGGAGAATCACTTGAACCTGGAAGGCAGAGGTTGCAGTGAGCTGAGATTATGCCACTGCACTCCAGCCTGGGTGACAATGAGACTCCGTCACACACACACACAAAAATGCATACGTAAAAATAAAAATAAAAACAATTGAACTCATGGAGAAAGAGGGTAGAAGAATGGTTACCATAGGCTGGGAAGGTAGTTGGTTGGGAGGAGGTGGGGATAGTTAATGGGTCAAAAAAATAGAAAGAATGAATAAGACTTAGTATTTGATAGCACAACCAGGTGACTATAGTCAATAATAAATTAATTGTACATTTAAAAATTTAATAACTAAAAGTATAACTGGATTGTTTATAACACAAAGGATAAATACTTGAGGGGATGGATACCCCATTCTCCATGATGTGATGATTACACGTTGCGTGTTTGTATCGAAATATCTCATGTATACCATAAATATGTACATCTACTATATAACCACAAGAATTAAATATAAAAAAATTTAAAAGAATTTATCAGAAGAGATAGGAATAAAGAACCATAGTTGTAAAATAAATAAAAGGGAAAATGATAGAATTAGAAGGATGATGAACCAAATCTCAATCAATGAAGAAGATGTTAACCCTCCTCTAACGAATAGATCAAGCTGGCTGAAAGAAATAAAATTAGTAAGCTAGATTGAATTGATATAAAAGAAATAGAACAGAGCTTGCCACCTGATGGGCCACAAGGTACTGATCCCCATAAGCAATACAGTGGGCAGGGCAGGATCTGGGTTGCTGAAGCCTCTGCACCGTGACAGACTATATTAACATTAATCAAGCAAGGACATGGGGAGATGGAACTCTCATGTATTACTTGTGGAAGTCTAAATTGTTATAACTGTTTTTGGAGAGCTCTTTGGCATTATCAAAGTTGGAGATATGCGTTCTCAGCAATTCTACTTGTAAGTCTATACCCTAGAGAAACTTGCATGTGTGTGCATAAGTAGATATGAACAGGAACATTCCTTGCAGCGTTATTTTCAAACCTGGGAAACAACTGGAAGTAACTAACATGTCCATCAACAGGAAAGTGGATTTACTAAAATGAAATTCTAAATAGCAGTTAAATGATGTAGAGTAATGTATAAATATGAGATAAACTACAAATATATAATGTGATGAGAAAAGAGAGACTGCAGAATGTAATGATAACACTAAAAATTTTTTTTATGTGCTGTATTTTATTACATAAAATTACAATCAGTAAAATAATATACTAAATTAATTTTAATTTAATTTTAACTAAAATTAAAAATGGTTTTCTTTTATGATAATGCAGAAAATTACTCTGAACACTTAACTCATGCGTCACTCAATATTATAAGTTAAACACTTATAAACATTATGCAACTTACATTTTAATGTCCTTACTGTTCTAAAGGTCTTAAATAATGCTGACCTAATAAAATATTTCATATCTCTGATGTAGCAACAATTGATGCTATCACATGTGAATACAATAGAAATGAAAAAACAGCATGAAGTAATTTGTGAGTTCAATTACATCATTTACTTTTCAAAAAAATCTGTTATTTTTTTCAAGAAAAAAAGTGTACTTTGAATGTGATTATAACTCTCCAAACAACCTTCTACTCCTTTTAAAGTTATATACAAATAGGCCAGGCATGGTGGCTTCTGCCTGTAATCCCAGCAGTTTGGGAGGCTGAGGCCGGTGGACCACCTGAGGTCAGGAGTTTGAGACCAGCCTGGCCAACATGGCAAAACCCTGTCTCTACTAAAAATACAAAAATTAGTTGGGCATGGTGGCATGTGCCTGTAATCCCAGCTACTCGGGAGGCTGAGACAGGAGAATTGCTTGAACCCAGGAGGCTGAGGTTGCATTGAGCCGAGATTGTGCCACCACACTCCAGCCTGGGTGACAGAGCAAGACTCTGTCTCAAAACAAAACAATAAATAAAGTTATATACAAATAATTGATCTAACAGCTTTAGATTTGGGTTATTTTCTATACTGAACACTCTGATTTAGTGTAATAGCTGAAGTGTCAGGACCACATGTTGATTTTAGCTGAATTGTCCTTCACTTTGTTTTTCATTTATAAATACATTCAAGTCAAGCCAGGTTTGCATGACTTAGGTAGAATTAATCAGTCAACAATTGCACCTTTATTGAATATTATCTCTGCAAGGTACTGTAGGAAATTCAAAATAAATATAAGACATTTTCCTTATTCTCAAAGAATTTAAAATCTAATCCCAGGCTGGGCATGGTGGCTCATGCCTGCAATCCCAGCACTTTGGGAGGCTGAGGCAGGAGGACTGCTTGAGCTCAGGAGTTTGAGACCAGCCTGGGCAACATGGCAAAACCTCATCTCTATAAAAAATACAAAAATTAGCTGGACGTGGTGACACATACCTGTAGTCCCAGCTACTCGGGAGGCTAAGATGGGAGGATTGCTTGAGGCTGCAGTGAGCCATGATTGCGCCACTGCACTCCAATCCTAGAGGTAAGACCAACAGAGAACAATAAAACCATGTGTGGTCTACCTTGTATGCTATGTGTTATGAGAATTTAGAAAAGTTGGAGATCAGGGTGGGCTCTGGTAGCAGTTGATAAAGGATCATGAAGTGAGTGAAATCCGAGCTGGGTTTTTAAAAATAAGAATTTACCCTGGTGCAGAGATGGAATTTAAAAGTAAGACTTTCCTTGAGTTATGTTCTTGTTCCATATCTGAGGAATATGCACTTCTGTCAACCATTGTACTGGATTTAAAAGCAACTCAACCCATTAAATATTGGTCCAGTGGGGAACCTTGGGATTGGGTAACTCAGTGCTTGGTTCTTTCTCTGCCCCAACTCTTTACTAGGTTGGAAACCTAAATTGGAGTAAAGATCATTCCATCCTTCTTTCTCTCCCCTCAGAATCTGATATAACTTATGGCAAGGAGCTATACCCATTCAGATGTACAAAAGTGAAAACAAGAATTTACTAAACACATGTTGAGGTTTAGTAGACATGGACAGTCAGGATTCAGAGGGTCCGTAAAATGGAACGTCAGGCTTGAAGTCTGTTCTCTCTGGCTTTCCCATCTCTTTCTTCCCTTTCTTTTTCTGTGTCAATTCCTTGTCTTTGTTGTGTGGCTTCCTCTGTTCGCTTGAAGATAACCGAAAATGTCAGCCTTGATCTATCTAAACTTTATTGATTGATTTTTTTTTTTTTTAAATAGAGACAGAGTCTCCCTATGTTGCCCAGGCTGGTCTCGAACTCCTGGGCTCAAGGGATCCTTCGGCCCTGGCCTCCCAAAGTGCTAGGATTACAGGTGTAAGCCACCACACCCAGCCAGATCTATCTAAAGTTTAGATGCACATTTCTTTTGCTTTTGCAAGTTCACTTCTTGGAATTTGTACTGTAGATGCTCATACAAATGTGCAAAAGCTAAAAGTATCAATATCTTTGGGAAAAAAACTGAAAGCAGCCTAAATGTCCATTACTGAAGGACTATGTAAATAAATTATGTTATACATATTATTATTTTTTTTTTCTGAGATGGAGTCTTGTTCTGTCTCCCAGGCTGGAGTGCAGTGGTGTGATCTCGGCTCACTGCAAGCTCCGCCTCCCGGGTTCACGCCATTCTCCTGCCTCAGCCTCGCGAGTAGCTGGGACTACAGGCGCCTGCCACCACGCCTGGCTACTTTTTTCTATTTTTAGTAGAGACCGGGTCTCACCGTGTTAGCCAAGATGGTCTGGATCTCCTGACCTCATGATGCGCCCGCCTCGGCCTCCCAAAGTGCTGGGATTACAGGCATGAGCCACCACACCCAGCCTTTTTTCTTTTTCCTTTTCTTTTTTTTTTTTTTTTTTTGAGAGGGAATCTCGTTCTGTCGCCCAGGCTGGAGTGCAGCGGCGCGATCTCAGCTCACTGCAACCTCCATCTCCTGGATTCAAACGATCCTCCCAAGTAGCTGGGATTATAAGCATGTGCAACCACGCCAGCTGCTTTTTTTTTTTTTTTTTTTTTAGCAGAGATGGGGTTTCACCATGTTAGTCAGACTGGTCTCAAACTCCTGACCTCAAGTGATCTGCCAACCTCGGCTCCGAAAGTGCTGGGATTACAGGTGTGAGCCACCGCACCCAGTCAAATTATGGTACAGTCATTCAGTACATTTCTAGTGGTCACCAATATTTCTTTTCTTTTTCTTTCTTCTTTCTTTTCTTTTTATTTTGAGACAGGGTCTTGCTCTTTCACCCAGACTGGAGTACAGTGGTGCGATCACAGCTCACTGCAGCCTCCGCCTCTCAGGTTCAAATGATCCTCCCACCTCAGCCTTCCGAGTAGCTGGGACTACAGCCATGAGTCACCAGGCATGGCTAAATTTTTTTTGTATTTTTTGTAGAGATGGGGTTTTGCCATGTCGCCCAGGATGGTCTTGAACTTCTGGATTGAAGCGATCCTCCTGTCTCGGCCTCCCAAGGTGCTGAGATTATAAGGCGAGCAGCACTGTGCCAGGGCACTGGTCACCAGTATTTCTCGATTACCTCTTCTGAGTACATGGGGGGAATATACATGTCTTCCCCTTTGAGGTTTAGCTGCCAATGTGATTTGCTTTGGCCCCTGAAATTTGAGAAGCATTTTAGCAGCCCATTGAGATTCTCCATGCTCTCTTCTGCTGCAGCAATTGTAGAAACACATATTGGGATGGAGGCCCATGAGATGCTAAGCATCCCAGACCACTGATAGAGGACAGCAGATTTCACATGCACAAGAAATAAACTTGTATTCTGTTAAGCCACTGAGATTTTGGTAGTGTTTATCACAGCATAACCTACATCATTTTGATTGACACGGTATACTGTGCAGTCAGTAAAATAAGTGTGTGAGATATATATGTATATAAATATATATGTTGTATATAATATATAATATAGAGATATATTTATATAATATATATGTTATATATAATATATATTAATATAGATATATATTTATATTTTTATATATGTTATATATAATATATATTAATATAGATATGTATTTATATATAATATGTATATATAATGAAATGGAAAATGTCCAAGGTATTTTAAGTAATAAAAAACAAGGGACATAGCTATATAGAATTATTCTATTTGTAATTTTTTTCAAAAAAGTTATCTATAGAAAAAGAAAGACTGAGGAACTCTTGCAAATCAAAGGGACCTAAAGAGGCTGACAAATAAATGGAGCATATATCTTGGATTGGATCCTGGACCAAAAAAAGTTCTTTCTCTTTTACTGTAAAATATGCTAGTAGAGGCTACGTGCAGTGGCTCGTGTCTGTAATCCCAGCACTTTGGGAGGCCGAGGTGGGCAGATCACAAGGTTAAGAGATGGAGACCATCCTGGCCAACATGGTGAAACCCCATCTCTACTAAAAATACAAAAATTAGCTGGGTGTAGTGGCACGTGCCTGTAGTCCCAGCTGCTTGGGAGGCTGAGACAGGAGAATCGCTTGCACCTGGGAGGCGGAGGTTGCAGTGAGCTGAGATCATGCCACTGCACTCCAGTCTGGCAACAGAGTGAGATGCCATCTCAAAGAAAAAAAAATGCTAGTAGAGTAGTGAAATTTGAATAAGGTCTGTAGATTAGGTAATATTACATTGACGTTAATTTCTCGATTTTTATACTTGTGCTGTGGGTATAAAGGAAAATGTCTTTGTTTTTAGGAAACACACTGATGTATTTAGTGGTAAAGTGGCATCATATTTGCAGTTCAATCTCAAATTGTTCAGAAAAAATATATATAGAGAAAGGATAATGAAACTAAAATAGTAAAATGCTAATATTTGAGGAGTCTGGGTGAAGGGTATGTTTTTTGTGCAATTTTTGTCATTTTTCTATAAGTCTGAAATTATTTCAAAACAAAATCCAAAAATATCTCTCTACATACATATATGTGCTTATGTATGCTTAGAATTTGTTTTAAACTATAGAATATGGTTATCTTTGGATAGGTAAATGGGTAGATGAAACTGAAGTCATGGGGCTGAAAGTAGACTTTTACTTTTTTTCGGGTTCTCTTGTATTCCACTTGAATTCCCTAGAGACAATAAACGTTTATTGTGTTCAGGCACAAAGTTTTGAGGTGATTTGTTTTGTAGTAGTAGATAACTAATATACCAGATGACTCCTTGCAAATTATAAACTGTTGTCAGAGAAAGACAACAACCTAAACCACAGCCAAAAGAGTAAGAGAATTTATGAAGATTCAATTATAGCAAAAAACAGAATTTCTGGAAACATTAAGCAAAAACAAAATTAGTTTTCTAATTTTATAATTTAGTAGATAAATTTTAAAGAAAGGCTGGTAATGGTGAAAACTGAATTAGTGGTCTAGAAAATTAAATGGAAGTAAGATTTCAAAACACAGGGTAAAATAGTAGAAGAAAGATTTTAAAATACAGAGAGGAAATAAGCAATGGAAGTGGTGAAAAAATATAAAAGACTTGGATGATAGATAGTGAAGCTGCAACATGTAAATATGGTTATCAGAGGCAGAAAATAAACAAATGGAGGAGAGGCAATAATTAAACAAAAAAAAGAAGAAAATGTATCTGAGTTAACGAACAATTTGAATTAAAAGATTAAAGGTTTAACTGAGTTTCAGTTAGTTGTTTTTGTTTGTTTGTTTGTTTGTAGACAAGCTCTTACTCTATCATCCAGGCTGGAGTGCAGTGGCTTGAATATGGATCACTGCAGCCTCAACCTTCTGGTCTCAAGGGATCCTCCTGTCTCAGCCCCCCCTACAGCTGGGACCATAGGTTTGTGCTACCACACCTGGCTAATCTTTTTTATTTTCTGCAGAGATGGAGTCTTATTATGTTACCCAGGCTGGTCTCAAACCCCTGGGCTCAAGTGATCCTCCCACCTCAGCCTCACAAAGTGCTGGGAATACAGGCATGAGCCACTGTGCCCAGCTTTCAGTCAGAGTGATTAAAAAATAATGGCAACAGCCCGATGGTCTCCCTCTCCCCATGGTCTCCCTCTCCCCATGGTCTCCCTCTCCCTCTCTTTCCACAGTCTCCCTCTCATGCCGAGCCGAAGCCGGACTATACTGCTGCCATCTCGGCTCACTGCAACCTCCCTGCCTGATTCTCCTGCCTCAGCCTGCGGAGTGCCTGCAATTGCAGGTGCGCGCTGCCACGCCTGACTGGTTTTCGTATTTTTTTGGTGGAGACGGGGTTTCGCTGTGTTGGCCGGGCTGGTCTCCAGCTCCTAACCGCGAGTGATCCGCCAGCCTCGGCCTCCCGAGGTGCCGGGATTGCAGACGGAGTCTGGTTCACTCAGTGCTCAATGGCGCCCAGGCTGGAGAGCAGTGGCGTGATCTCGGCTCGCTACAACCTCCACCTCCCAGCCGCCTGCCTTGGCCTCCCAAAGTGCCGAGATTGCAGCCTCTGCCCGGCCGCCACCCCGTCTGGGAAGTAAGGAGCGTCTCTGCCTGGCCGCCCATCGTCTGGGATGTGAGGAGCCCCTCTGCCTGGCTGCCCAGTCTGGAAAGTGAGGAGCGTCTCTGCCCGGCCGCCATCCCATCTGGGAAGTGAGGAGCGCCTCTTCCCGGCCGCCATCACATCTAGGAAGTGAGGAGCATCTCTGCCCGGCCGCCCATCGTCTGGGATGTGGGGAGCGCCTCTGCCCTGTCGCCCCGTCTGGGATGTGAGGAGCGCCTCTGCCCGGCCGCCACCCCGTCTGGGAGGTGAGGAGCGTCTCTGCCCGGCCGCCCCGTCTGAGAAGTGAGGAGACCCTCCGCCCGGCGGCCGCCCCGTATGAGAAGTGAGGAGCCTCTCCGCCCGGCAGCCACCCCGTCTGAGAAGTGAGGAGCCTCTCCGCCCGGCAGCCGCCCCGTCTGGGAAGTGAGGAGCGTCTCCGCCCGGCAGCTACCCCGTCCGGGAGGGAGGTGGGGGGGGTCAGCCCCCTGCCCGGCCAGCCGCCCCGTCCGGGAGGGAGGTGGGGGGGTCAGCCCCCCGCCCGGCCAGCCGCCCCGTCCGGGAGGTGAGGGGCGCCTCTGCCCGGCCGCCCCTACTGGGAAGTGAGGAGCCCCTCTGCCCGGCCACCACCCCGTCTGGGAGGTGTACCCAACAGCTCATTGAGAACGGGCCAGGATGACAATGGCGGCTTTGTGGAATAGAATGGGGGGAAAGGTGGGGAAAAGATTGAGAAATCGGATGGTTGCCGTGTCTGTGTAGAAAGAAGTAGACATGGGAGACTTTTCATTTTGTTCTGTACCAAGAAAAATTCTTCTGCCTTGGGATCCTGTTGATCTGTGACCTTACCCCCAACCCTGTGCTCTCTGAAACATGTGCTGTGTCCACTCAGAGTTAAATGGATTAAGGGCGGTGCAAGATGTGCTTTGTAAAACAGATGCTTGAAGTCAGCATGCTCATTAAGAGTCATCACCACTCCCTAATCTCAAGTACCCAGGGACACAAACGCTGCGGAAGGCCGCAGGGTCCTCTGCCTAGGAAAACCAGAGACCTTTGTTCACTTGTTTATCTGCTGACCTTCCCTCCACTATTGTCCTATGACCCTGCCAAATCCCCCTCTGTGAGAAACACCCAAGAATGATCAATAAAAAAAAAAATAATAATAATAATGGCAACAGTGACAACAATGTATACCTCCATAGAGGCATATTCTGGTAAAAATCTAGAACTCCAAGAATCAAAAGTAATAACCTTAGAGTCTGTTGGATATAGAGATAATATTAGTCTAAAAGGAAAAATATCAGCCCGGCTTCACATTTCTCATCAAAAACCTGAAGCTAGAGAAAATAAAGTAAAATTCACAGACTACGGAAAGAACAAACAGTGCTACCCAAGTATCTTTACCCAGTTGATCTATTGTTTGTCTATCAGAGTAAAAGAAAGGTCTATGAGGATCTACAAAGATTCAGAGATCACAGAAGTGCCACCTTGATGATACAGACAACAACTGAATCAGAACTTCAGTAAGGAGGGCCAGCACACTAATTTACTGTTAGGTAAAAATGAATCTGACTGTGTTCCAGAACCCCTTGTGTGTGCATTCAAGATAAAATTAGTAAAGATGAATACATAAAAATGAATTGATAAAGATTAATACCATGAATAGAGATAAAACCCAATTATTGGATCTTTTATCAAGATGCAATAACTAAAAAGAATAGTAACTCCAATGACTGGGGGCAATAGAGGTGACTACAAGAGTGGACATGCTCATCTGTTAAGTTTGGATCTAGAAGTTCAATACAGTCCATTGGGAACACAATCTGGCAGTACCTATTAAAAAGTATTTATTTGTTTCTATTTTCTTTTATTTTTGAGATAGGGTCTTGCTCTGTCACCCAGGCTGGAGTGCAGTGGCATGATCTCGGCTCACTGAAACCTCCGCCTCCCAGATTCAAGAAATTCTCATGCCTCAGCCTCCCGCATAGCTGGAATTACAGGCATGCACCACCATGCCCAGCTAATTTTTGTATTTTTATTAGAGTTGGGGCTTTGCCATGTTGACCAGGCTGGTCTCGAACTCCTGGCCAGAAGTGATCCACCCACCTCGGCCTCCCAAAGTGCTGACATTACAGGCCTGAGCCATGGCATCCAGCCTAAAATTTAAAGTCTGCATTCCTTTGCTCCTCTAATCTCACTGCTGCTAGTTCTTGGAAATAAGGGCACCAGTACATAGGAACTTGCATACAAGGATTTTTACTGCAGCACTTTTTGTAGAGACAAAAAACTAAAAGTATATACCCTTCAAGAAGTAACTATTGACTAAGTTATGGTATATCCACCTCATTGAATATTAAGCAACACAGAATATTAGCTACTTAATAGAATGAGTGAACTCTCTATCAATTGACTTGGAGAGATGTCCACTGTGTGTTTTTACCAAGAAAGGGAAATGCAGATAAATTTATAGTATTTTATTTGGTAAAACAGTGAGGAGAAAATCCCTATGTATATATGTTTGTTTAGAGAGTAGGGAGAAGGTATGTGAAGATACACACTGGGTTTGTTAACATTTCTAGGAGTAGGGGAATGGGGTTAGAAGGAAGAGGACAGGAGAGGTAAGTAAGATTGGGGACATAAGCAGGGCAGGGGAAATGAGCAGTAATCCAGTATTCTTCATAAGCAAAGCACCTGTTAGAGTGGGCTGATGCTTTGCAAATAAAACTTTAAATTTGTGAAAACTAGCATTTTTTTTGTAGTTTTTATGGTTGTTTTCTAATTATAGAGCTCTGGCAGAATGGATGTTTTACCTAAATTAGGGATGCATGCTGTATTATTCAAGTTTAGCAATGCAAATTTTCTTCTGTAGGAAATTTAACGAACAGAATATTTTAATATGGGTACTGAAACAATGCCAAACCAGCAGTTCTTTTGCAACCTGGCAGTCTGCCTGTTGGTCATTATTTGCCATTCTTTCCCAAACAAATATCTCTGAAGAAATGGCATTCCAAAGCCAGAGGTAGATAATCTTTAAGATTTATATACTTTTGGTTCACATAAGCTCACTATCGTGAAAATAATGGTATATGTGGGCAAATGTATGGAAATTGACAGTCCACTTTTACATATTAATAATAGAAAGGCTTGGACTTTTTAAGCATAAAAATTGCCTACATTTCAGAGCTTGCAGTGAGCCGAGATCGTGCCACTGCGCTCCAGCCTGGGAGACAGAGCGAGACTCCACGTCAAAAAAAAAAAAAAAATTGCGTATATTCTTTATTTCCAGCGGAGTCCTTTCATTGATTTGTATTAATTTTTCATATTCAAAGTTAGGAAAATTAACTTTTAGAAAGTCATTTACTACTAAAAATAATGAAACTCTTTTAAGTAGTAAAATAGAGTATACTGATTTTTGCTTAAAAAAGAAATTTCTTGGCCCTGTTGCTGGCCACCTGGCTCTCTGTCCTTAAACCAAATCCATCCCTCAGAGGCCACTAGCCAGCAAAGGCCAGATGCAGACCCTCCCAGTTTAATCAGAACAGTTGCCAAAATCTTGTTCATTTCCAACCTGATCTTTTATTACTCTGTCTCTGACTTGGACAGTGTGGTCTCCTTACCCCACACTTCCATTCCAATTCCGCATCCCTTCCCAAAATTCTGATTCTGCTTAAGACCATCTACATGTGCTGTTTGTACTTGGCTTCCAGGGTGCAGTTTGACTTTCCAGTCTCTCAAATATTTTTGATCTGGACTGTTTCCATCTCTTTTGCAGGGTGCTTAGTCGTGCTGACAGAAAGTTACATGGGATATAAAAATGTAATCTCAGGGTTGCTTGAAAAGTGTTGAATTGAAATGAAGCCTAAGCTGAGTGATTTTCAAGGTTAAAGGTCCTATTAGAGCCATTATATGGAAGTACTGCCAAGCAGATGGTTAAGTTGGTTACTCAGTGTTTCTTTAGTCTGTGGGACTTGAGGCGCAGTGCCAAACCCTGCAGCTCAGATCTCTTTCAGGCTTTCCCTGTGTACCCTGGTGACTCATTGTTTTTTTAAAGATGCAAATAATGTTAGCGAACTGTCTAATTCAACTCTTCCCCCTTGGACCCATGAGACAGTTTTCTGCAGATAGCATATTTTGCTCATGATATATCAATTTTATTATTGTAAATCAGAGTGTTCTCAACTTCTCTAAGTGTTGGTGGCCATTCTTGTTTGTGCCAAATTAGCAGGGTCTAAGCTTCTGTCTCTATTTCCAAGGTTACCGTCCTGCCAATCATCTTTTGCTCTCATCACTTTTTTTTAATGCTTCTTTGCTTTCCTAATAACCATGTATTCCAAATGTAGGTACAGACCTCTCCCTTGACTCCCCCAAAACATAGTGAGAGCAGACTTAGTGTGTTAGTTAGGACTCTTGGTTGCAAGAGACAAAAATTCTATTCAAACTGGTTTTAAAGAACAACAACAATGACAAAAAAGAGAATGTATTGGCTAAGGTAATGAAAGATCCAGGGAATATATGTAGTTTGAGGCTCGGTTGGATTCTAGGGCTCAAACAGTAAGATAAGAAATTACTCCATTACTCAGAGTAATGGAGTTTGAAAAAGAAAATAGAAAAGAAACAGAAAGTGGCTTCTCTTCATCTCTTTCTCCTGCTTTCTTCTGTTTTGGCTTCATTCTTATGCAGGCTTTCCTGAGTGGTAGCAGAGAAAGCACTGGAATCCCCAGGCTTATGTTCCTAGCACTTTAGCAAGCCCAACAGAAAGAAGAAGCATTTCTTTTCCAATCAGTTAAGAAGACATCCTCATGTTGGGTCTTTGGCAATTTGGCTTGGGTTCCTAGCTTTTTTTTTTTTTTTTTTTAATGGAGTCTCACTCTGTCACCCAGGCTGGAGTGCAGCAGTGTGATCTCTATAGAATGAATAAGACTTAGTATTTGTTTTTTGTTTTGTTTTGTTTTGTTTTTTTTGAGACGGAGTCTTGCTCTGTCGCCCAGGCTGGAGTGCAATGGCACGATCTCGGCTCACTGCAACCTCCGCCTCCTGGGTTCAAGTGATTCTCCAGCCTCAGCCTCCTGAGTAGCTGGGATTACAGGTGTGTGCCACCACGCCCAGCTAATGTTTGTTTGTTTTTTTAATAGAGACGGGGTTTTGCCACGTTGGCCAGGCTGGTCTCGAACTATAATTTTTTGTTGTTTGTTTGCTTGAGACAGAGTCTCACCCTGCCACCAAGCTGGAGTGCAGTGGCAGGATCTCGGCTTACCGCAACCTCCAACTCCCTGGTTCAAGTGATTCTCCAGCCTCAGCCTCCCGAGTAGCTGGGATTACAGACACGTGCCACCATGCCCAGCTAATTTTTGTTAGAGACGGGGTTTCGCCATGTTGGCCAGGCTGGTCTTGAACTCCTGACCTTCGGTGATTCACCTGCCTTGGCCTCCTAAAGTGCTAGGATTACAGGCGTGAGTCATCATGCCTGGCCTCCTGGCTTATTTCTTAAATAATCATGGTGACAAGTGCTCTTGGAGGTTGGAGTGAGGGTGGAGGGGTTAGAAATGAGGAATCAAACCCACTCAGAGTACATGAATGAGAATGGGGGAGGAGTTGCTCCTGAAGGAAAAACAGCTTTATGCTTCCAGAGAGAAAATGAATGCTGAGAAGTTTTTTTGTTTGTTTGGTTTTTGTTTTTTGTTTTTTAAAGAGGCAGATGCTCACTGCACTTGGACTTTAGCAAAGAAAATTACTTTTCAGAAAAGGAAAAAGAATCCCCCTTAAAATGAAAGCATGTTGATATTCTGGCTCCTAGATCCATCTGTGCAGGGGCCTGCTCTTCCAGCTGTCACCCTCCTTAGGCCTCTGGTGCTAGGAGCATCTTTGAAATCATAGATGACAGATGGGGATTCTCTGACCTGGAGCCCTACCCAGGCTGCAGGCCCTCAACTATAGCCTTTTTTTTTTTTTTTTCCTAGAAAGAGGAAATCCTTCCTGCCTGCTTCTTCTCTCTTCTTCCAACATCATAATCCTCTTTCTGCAGTGCCTCAACTCTGCTCAGAGGAAGATAAAGCTTCGCATCATTCTTCAGAGCTGTTTACCTTCAATTGTCTCAAACTCTTCTGTCTGTAATAGTTTTGGAGCTTTAATTTTGTATGCTAAAAGGGCCTATTAAAATGTTTTTATCCAAAGAAAAGTGCACTCTCAAGCCTTAACTGAGAACTACCTTTGCCTCTACATGAGGAGAGGATTACTTATGTCAGTTTGGACTACTGTCTACATATAACAGAAAAAAACCAGTATCATCGCTTAAACAAAGTAGACATTTATTTCTCTCTCTCGCTCAGTAAAAGAATTCTAGAAATAGGCACTCCAGAGCTGGTTTAGTGGCTCCAAGGTCATCAGGGACCAGAGAGTTCTATTTTGCTACTCTGCTCAGGTTACCGATTGCTGGCGACAGGAAGGGACAAAGAGGAAGGGGTGGAAAAGAGGCTTCTGCTTTCTTTTAACAACTTCCCAAGGGTTCTAGACCACCGTTATGCTTGTATCTCCTTGGCCAAATGCAGTTTCACATCTAGCAGCATATGGCCGTGAGACAGACAAGGACATGTAGGCTTTTAAATGAGGCCTTTAACTGAGAGGAGGGAGGAGATTGGACATTGGAGAGGGCAGCTCCCAGTGATGGTGTCTGTCATATTGTTGACTTGCCAGTCAAGGGCTCTGTAATACTGACTGGCCTGGAACCCACTGTGCTGCTTTGATCTTGGAGGACCAGGATGCCTTTTCACTACCCTCTTTGCTGCTCTCAAGCCCTTATTTCAGCTGATATTTTGGTAGTCTATCTATGGCTCCTAAGATTTAGTCAATATAATTTTAGGATCATATCAGAAAATAGATTCAGGCAGTATGTATGAGAGCTCTGAAAAAATAGGTTTCAGTAATTTTAAGCAGTTGCTCATAGTTCCTATGTAAAGCTAAGAGGAAGGCATGTAAAAGTCATAGAAAAGTTTTCATTTGGAATATACTGTAAATATTGAACACCCAGACAGAAAATGGTTATAAAAGGGCAACATGAAGGAACCTGTGGTAATTAAATGTTCTGTGTCTTGACTGCATTGATTTCAATATCTTGGTTGTGATACTGTTTTGCAAGATGTTACCATTGCGGAAAACTGGGTAAAGTATATACCAAGTTTCTATTTTGAGAAAATTCATATCCAGTTGTAGGAAGATCTCTCTTCTACAATTTTCTCAAAATAGAAAGTTTAATTTTACAAAAAGTGAACGGCATATATTTTTTAAATATATGAGTCTGCTGTGTTGCCAGGCTGGAATGCAGTGGCTATTCACAGGCTGGACCATAGCTCACTGAAGCCTTGGACTCCTGGGCTCAAGTGATTCCCCTGAGTAGCTGGGACAGGAGTGTGCCACTCCATCAGCTAACAGCATTTTATTGTATTTAAATTATATCTCAATGAAGTTTTTTTTTATTTTAATTTTTTTTGAAGATGAAACCTTGGCCAGGCGTGGTGGCTCACGTATGTAATCCCAGCACTTTGGGAGGCCAAGGCGGGTGGATCACCTGAGGTCAGGAGTTCGAGACCAGCCTGGCCAACATGGTAAAACCCTGTTTCTCCTAAAACTACAAAAACTAGCTGGGCATGGTGGTGGGTGCCTGTAAGCCTGTAATCCCAGCTACTTGGGAGGCGGAGGCATGAGAATTGCTTGAACCCAGGAGGCAGAGGTTTCAGTGAGCTAAGATCATGCCACTGCTTTCCAGCCTGGGCGACAGAGCGAGACTCTGTCTCAAAAAAAAAAAAAAAGATGAAATATTGCCGTCCCCCAGGCTAAAGTGCAGGGGTACAGTCATAGCGTAAGTGCTCAGTCTCGGACTACAATCATGTGCCATCACTCCCAGCTAATCAAGTTTTTTAAAAAGTCAATTGCATTTTGAATTTGGGCATTTAATAATGGTATTTTGGTTTGCAGTTTCAACTGTTATCATCAATTGTTTTTCTCTCAACTACTCAAGAAACAAGAAGAGGAAAAGTCCATTGACTTCTCAATAGGGTCTAGATTTTTTAAAAAACTTTTTATTCTAACTACTTGAAACTGCACCCAACTTCAATAATTACCATCCTTTTGCCTTATTTTATCTATTTGCCCTGTAATTCCCCCCAACGGATCATTTTAAAGCAAATCCCAGATATCCTGTTATTTTACCAACAAATAAGGATAATTTTTAAACTGGGTAATCCCATGCAAGAGGAACAAAAAAGATACAATTCCATAAATTCAAGTTAATGAAACTAGCAATTACCAAATGATAAAAATTTATGTCAGTGATTCCTGGAGATAGGAAAGTAAGGAGATGGGTAGACACAGAGAAGGGGCTACTAAACAAGGACACAGAGAGTATGGCAGGCAGAATAATGTCCTCCAAAGATGTCCACGTCCTAATCCCTGGAATCTCTGAATGTGTTAATAGCAAAGGGGAATTAAGATTGAAGATGGAATTAAAGTTGCTAATCAGCTGATTTTAAGATAGGGAGAAGACCATGGGATCATGAATTATCCAGGAGGGCCCAATATAATCACAGGGGTTCTTAAAAGTGAAAGAAGACCAGAAGGAGTGAATCAGAGGGAGGTGGAATGATGGAAAAGCTCAGAGATACAACGTCAGAAGGAATCACTTGTCATTGCTGCTTGGAAGATGGGGGAAGGGGAGCATGAGCTGAGGAAGTAGACGGCCTCTGAAAGCTGGAAAAAACAAGGATACTGATTGTTCCTTATAGCCTTCACTAGGGAGCACAGCCTTGCCAACACCTTGATTTTAGCCCAGTGAGATCTGTGTTGGGCTGCTAACCTACAGAACTGTGAGAACTTGTTTGTTTGTTTTTTGAGAGAGTCTTACTGTGTTGCCCAGGGTGGAGTGCAGTGGTGCAATCTTGGCTCACTGCAACCTCTGCCTCCCAGGTTCAAGCGATTCTCCTACCTCAGCCTCCCAAGTAGCAGGGATTACAGGTATGTGCCACCATGCCCGGCTAATTTTTTATATTTTTTGTAGAGATGGGATTTTGCCATGTTGGCCAGGCTGGTCTCGAACTCCTGACCTCAAGTAATCTGTCCGCCTTGGCCTCCCAAAGTGCTGGGATTACAGGCATGAGCCACTGCACTTGGCCATACGTTTGTATTGTTTAAGCCATCAAGTCTGTGGTAATTTGTTATAACAGCAATAGAAAACTAATTACAGAGTGAGATTGTATCACTGTTTGGCAGTGCTGTGATGACTAAAAGAAGTAACTCTAAGGGGGAGGTTTCGTTGTGTGAGAAAGGGTTTCTTCAGAGTTCTGAGTCATTTAACCAGAAAACACTGCCATTTCCCAGTTCCATTACAGGACTCCTAAGAAGTGGAGTCCTATGTATGTCAAAAGCTGCAGTTTTAAAGTCATGTTCTTGTACTAAAAATATTACTCAGCAGTATGATGCAAAATTTAAAAATGGAAAAAAGGAATGAACACCCTCTGCTGGTAGCAGATAAAACATACTTGGCTTCCTTGTGTATTCTGGAAATAGTTAGGTCTACCCAGGTGGGGCCTCTGGAGAGTGCCACACAACTGGGGACTTAGGAGGTACATGAAGACCAGCCAGCACAGAGTTATGGGGCCAAACTTAGCTGATGAGTTTACCAGTGAGTGATTGGAGAGGTGCTTCTTTGTATTTCTTTGGGTTGGTTTGTTCATCATTGTTTTTAACAAAACAACTTCTTTTAAAGAATTCATTGTAAGAGGCGCTATAAGACAAACTCCTTTTTCCGGTTAAGATGCTTACAAGGTCATTAAGAAAATAAACACCAGCCTTGGCCAGCCATGGTGGCTCACGCCTGTAATCCCAGCACTTTGAGAAGCCGAGGTGGGTGGATCACCCTAGGTCAGGAGTTTGAGACCAGCCTAACCAATATGGTGAAACCCTATCTCTACTAAGAATACAAAAATCAGCCTGGCATGGTGGCATGTGCCTGTAGTCCCAGCTACTCAGGAGGCTGAGACAGGAGAATCACTTGAACCCAGGAGGAGGAGGTTGCAGTGAGCTGAGATCGCGCCACCACACTCCAGCCTGGGTGACAGTGAGACACCATCTCAAAAAAAAAAAAAAAGAAAAGAAAGAAAAGCCAGCCTTTAGGATACTTACTCAACAACAAAATTTATTCAAAGATTCAACATAATAATTAGTGTGTATTAATAACTTAGTTTTGAAATTTTAGTCAATGACAGGAAATTAATAAGCAGATTCTTAAGAACCGTTATAGAAATTGTATTTCTGATTTTTAAAGTTAAGATTTTTTTTTAAAGTTCAAAAATAATTTTACTTTTTCTAATTTGTTCCTCATGCAAAAGAAGGTTGTTAATCACTAGCTTAGAGCTTTTTTTGTTTTTTTTTTCGAGATGGAGTCTTGCTCTGTCACCCAGGCTAGAGTGCAGTGGCGCGATCTCGGCTCACTGCAACCTCTGACTCCCAAGTTCAGGCTATTCTCATGCCTCAGCCTCCTGAGTAGCTGAGATTACAGGCATGTGCCACCACGCCTGGCTAATTTTTATGTTTTTAGTAGAGTTGGGGTTTCACCATGTTGGTAAGGCTGGTCTCGAACTCCTGACCTCGTGATCTGCCTGCCTCGGCCTCCCAAAGTGCTGGGATTACAGGTGTGAGCCACCGTGCTCGGCCGCTTAGAACTTTTTTACTTGGGTCTGACAATTCCATTTGTCCCCTTTCAACTGCCTCCTCCCATTCTGGGCAAATACATCAGTGCATGGGAGTTAGACATGACAGGGAACAGGAAGGGGAGGGCAAAAGAAAAGAGGCATAGTCTAGAGTTCAAGAGTTGTTTTATGTGCAGTGTACATTTATACTTACTATGTTTATATTTCACATACATTTATATATTATTATACACTTATTATATTTATATTTGTTTTATATATCACATATATTTGTTTAACATATACACATAGAGCAAGCGAGCTCTGTATTAGGACTCTGGTGAAAGTAACAAAAACCTAACTGAGCTAGAATGAGTTCATCTTTTCCGACATGTTAGGAAGATGAGATTCACTCTTAGAAAGCAGAGATTCACTCTGATTTCATTTTATTTTGAGCCACGGTCTTGCTTTGTTGTCCAGGCTGGAGTACAGTGTCACTATCATGGCCCCCTGCATCCTTGACCTCCCAGGCTCAAGCAGTCCTCTCTCCTCAGCCTTTCAAGTAGCTGGGACCACAGGCGCCACCATGCCTAGCTAATCTTTTTGGGTTTTTGTAGAGATGGGGTCTCCCTATGTTGCTCGGGCTGGTCTCGAACTCATAGTTACAAGCAATCCCCCTGCCTCGTCCTCTCAAAGAGCAGGGATAACAGGCGTGAGCCACCACGTCTGGCCTCTTTCTGTTTTTTAAAAAGTAATTCTCTCTTACTCATTTTGAGATTTTGCGTCTCATCACCTCCTTCCTAGTCACCTCAGCACATATTTGGTGATAACTCATTCATTTTCCTATTCTTTGGTTAACAAATGTTTATAGAGGTCATAGATATGACTGAGGTATTCTAAGCACTGGGGAATTAGTGGATAAATTAGAAAAGATCCCTGCTTTTTTGTAACATATAGTATAATGGGGGAGAGGCATTGAAAATGTTTCAAATTGAAGAAGCATAGTATGAAGGAAACAAAGACATGTGATAGGTAATGACAGTAGAAACTATTTATTTATTTATTTATTTATTTATTTAGAGACTGAGTCTCATTCTGTCACCCAGGCTGGAGTGCGGTGATGCAATCTCAGCTCAGTGCAACCTGTGCCTCCTGGGTTCCAGTGAGTCTCCTGCCTCAGCCTCCCGAGTATCTGGGACTATACGCACGTGCCACCACACCCGGCTAATTTTTTTTTTTTTTTTAGTAGAGACAGGGTTTCACCATGTTGGCCATGAACTCCTGACCTCAGGTGATCCACCTGCCTCGGCCTCCTGAAGTGCTGGCATTACATGTGTGAGCCACCACACCCAGTCGAGACTATTTAAATAGAGCGGCCAGGGAAGGTTTTTTGAAGAGGTGACATTTAACCCATACATAAAGGTGAAAAGGAGGGGATCATGGAAGGTAGGTGCAACATTCCAGGCAGTGGGAATGGTATTTGGAAAGAGCTTGGGGTATTTGACGAATTTCAAAAAGACTAATATGGCTAGAGTGTAGCAGAGACAGATGAAGATGGGACATAGGATGAAGCTAAAGTGACATTTAGTGCTCCGTCGTGTAAGTTCTCTTAGATAGCAAACTAGAGTTTACTCTGAGGGTCATGAAAAATTTTAAGCAGGAGAGTGATGTGATTAAATTTATGTCATTTTTTCCTTTATTTTTGTAGAGACAGGGTCTTATAAAGATAAGGCCTTGCTATGTTGCTCAGGCCAGACTGGGCTCAAGGGACTTCCTGAGTAGCTGGGACTAGAGGCACATGCCACCATGCCCATCATTCAAATTTGGGTTTTAAGATGATCACAGGCCAGCTGCAGTGGTTCGTGTCTGTAATCCCAGCACTTTGGGAGGCCAAGGCAGGAGGATTACTTGAGCCCAGGAGTTTGAGACAAGTCTAGGCAACATAGTAAGACTGTCTCTACAAAAAATATGAAAATTAGGATGGGCATGGTGGCTCATGCCTGTAATCCCAGCACTTTGGGAGGCCAAGGTGGGCAGATCACCAGAGGTCAGGAGTTCAAGATGAGCCTGGCTAACATGGTGAAAACCCATTTCTGCTAAAAATATAAATTATTAATTTTAATACAGATTAAAATTAGCTGGGCGTGGTGGTGCATGCCTGTAATCCCAGCTACTTGGGAGGCTGAAACAGGAGAACTGCTTGAACTCGGGAGGCGGAGGTTACAGTGAGCGGAGATCAGGCCATTGCACTCCAGCTTGGGCGACAAGAAAGAAGCTCCATCTCAAAACAAAACAAATAAACAAACAAAAACAAAAATTAGCAAGGCATGGTGGCACATGCCTGTAGTCCAAACTACTTGAGAGGCTGAGGCAGGAGGATCACTTGAGCTCAAGGGTGTGAGGCTGCTGTGAGCTATGATCACACCACTGCACTTTAGCCTGGGCAAGAGAGTGGGAACTTGACTCTAAAAAAATTACAATAAATAAATAAATAAAAGATTATTACTCTTTTTTGCTCAGGCTGGAGTTCAGTGATGCAATCATAGCTCACTGTAACCTTGAACTCCTGGGCTCAAGGGATCCTCCTGCCTCAGCCTCTGGAGTAGCTGGGAGTATGAGTGTACACCACTATGCATGGGTTTTTTTTTGTTTTTTCCTTTTTACTTTTGTAGATACGGGATCTTACTATATTGCTCAGGCTGGTTTCTAACTCCTTCCTGTCCAGGAGCGATCCCCCAACCTCAGCTTCCTTAAATGTAGGGATTATAGGAGTAAGCCACCATCCCCAGCCTGATCACTCTTGCTGCTCTGTGGAGGACAGATTAAAATGGAGCATGGGTGCAAGACAGGAGACCAGTTAGAAGCCAGTTGAAGTAGTCTAAGTGAGAAGTGCTGTGGCCTGGACTAAGGTGGGGAAAGTTAAGGTGGAGGAAATGGGGATGGATCTTAGATATGTTTTGGTGGTAGACTAGTTAGGAATTGCTGATGTATTGGGCATAGTGATATATGAGAAAAACAGGAATCAAGATTCACTCTTAGGTTTTCTGATTTGAGCTACTGGATGGATAGAGGAACATATAAATTAAAATGATTTAGGCTCAAATAACAGCTTCGGCTTAAGAAATATTTGGTTCATGTAAGTTCAGAGGTAGGATAGGCTTTGGGTTTCACTTAGTTCTTGAGGATTCCAGCTCCTGGTTAAAAACCTACGTGTGGTTTTTCAGGTCTGTCTGATTGCAGGTGATTACAAAGCCTCTACCTGGCAGCCCTCATGGAGGAAAGCTGCTCTCCCTTCCACAGACTTGGTGCACAGCTAGTGTGCTGCAGGCTCTGATACAGTCACGGGTCACATAACAGCATTTCAACCAACAACATATTCGAAGGTGTTGGTTCCATAAGATTATTATACCATATTTTGACTGTGCCTTTTTTGTGTTTAGATATTTTTAGATCTATAAAGCCTTACCATTGTATTACAATTGCCTATAGTATTCAGTATAGTAACATACTGTACAAGTTTGTAGCCTGGGAGCAATAGGCTGTACTATATAGCCTAGGTAGGTTATGCCATCTATGTTTGTACCAGTATACTCTATAATGTTCACACAATGACAAAATCGCCCAACAATGCATTTCTCAGAATGTATCCTGTTCTGAAGCAACTCATGACTGTAAATATTTGCATTCCTATCCCTGGTGCCTCCTTCATTCCTAGGTTTCTTTATCTGAGGCCTTGTGCAGAGGATTTTTTTTTTTTTCTTTTGAGAGAGGGTCTGGCTCTGTCACCCAGGCTGTAGTACAGTGGTACAATCTCAGCTCACTGCAGCCTTGGCTTCCCGGGCTCAAGCACTCCTTCCACCTCAGCCTCCTGAATAGCTGGGACTACAGGTGGATGCCACCATGCCAGGCTAATTTTTCTGTAGTTTTTGTAGAGACAAGGTTTTGCCATGTTGCCTAGGCTGGTCTCGAACTCAGTAGCTCAAGCAAACTGCCAGCCTTGGCCTCCCAAAGTGTTGGGATTACAGGCGTGAGCCACTGTGCCTGGCTGGGGAGAGGGTTCTTTAGGCTTCTCTGCTGAGGCCTCCTTATGGGGAGGGGAGGGGAAACCTTGACATTCTTTTCCAGGTTGCCTAGGTACTCAGTACTTTTCCACTCTTAGCCTTTCCCCCTTGCCTTCCCCTACTCCACCTCAGAGTCCATAAAACTGCTGGAGCTTTTTCTTCAGGGATCCCTTAACAGTGATATGACTCCATGACCCCCTACATCCGTGCTGACTCATGTGACCTGCAGCTAGTGCGCAGTTCCATGGGGGAAATGGAACAGAAACTGTGGGTACTTTCTCTGTTTCTTGTTTGTATCATTGCAGTAAACGCTACTCTCATTTTTGGCTCGTTGGTCTAATTGGCTACTCTGATACCTGTTAGCTCAGCTAGTGCTCTCTGTCTCTCTCCCAGCCCGTTTCCTGACAATTCTGGGTCCATTTTCCTACAGATCTTTCAGCTTTGCCCCATTCCACACATTAGCTTCAACCTCAAAGTGATAGTGAGTAGTAGTATATCAGTCACTGAGTACTGGCTGTAGAAGTTCCAGACATCATATCCTGACCTGATGACATCCAATGAAAGAAGAGAGACTTTTTCATCACGAAGTTTTAAGCAAGAGTTCTATGGTATACACTGACTGGACTATGTAGGTATGTACCTGTCCAGAGAATGGGTACATTTCCAGGGAATGGAGTGTGGTGTTTGATTTACCAACCAGATTTTGGCCTTTGAGCCAAAAGTGTTTCTGGCTTCCCCAGAGTCACATGTGCTGTGTGAGGGAAGCTAAGGGATACATGTCTTAATCAGGGTTCTGTTAGGAAAGAGTAAGGGGTGAATTCAGGGCCTGCTATTAATACATAATTTGCAGAGCCTGTTCCTCTCATGAAAATATAGAGCTCCTTATTCAAAAGGCAGGAAAAAAGTGTCACTAAAGGTGCTAGAAAGCCAGGCGAGGTGGCATACACTTATAGTATCAGTTACGCAGGAGGATTGCTGAGCCCAGGAGTTTAAGTCTGGCCTGGGCAACAAACTGAGACCTCATCTCTTAACTACAACAACAACAAAAATACTAGAATATAAAGGCTTTTTCTTTCTTTCACAGTTTCTCTCTTCACTTATGGTGTTTTTGATATTTAATGTCATTCTAAATAAAGATTAAAATTAAAATTAAGTAAAATTAAATTCATTCTAAGTAAAATTAAAATCATTACAAAGACTTTTTACCATCTTTATATTATGCAATGCTGGCTTTTTTTTTTTTTTTTCTTTTTTATTTTTTTTTTTGAGATGGAGTCTCGCTATGTCGCCAGGCTGAAGTGCAGAGATGCTATCTCAGCTCACTGCAATCTTTCCTCCCGGATTCAAGTGATTCTCCTGCCTCAGCCTCCCGAGTAGCTGAGATTACAGGCATGCACCACCACACCCAGCTAATTTTTGTATTTTTAGTAGAGACAGGGTTTCACCATATTGGCCAGGATGGTCTCGATTTCCTGACCTCATGATCTGCCCACCTCAGCCTCCCAAAGTGCTGGGATTACAGGTGTGAGCCACTGCGCCCAACCACAATTTTGGTTTTAAATGCAAATATAAGAACATTTAACTTGTACGTGGAATCACTGAAATTACATAATTCTTATTTCATACTTTGTACATGTATGATATATTTCATTGTTACCAGAACAGTCAAAATGCTGTACGAAAGTCAACTGTTTTTACGTCACTTCTTGATATGCACATACATATTCTACCACACTCTCTACCTTCTTATTGATGAGGAAAAAACTAAAAAGAAAAGGAAAAGATGGGTTGCTCGATCTTCCCCTTTCCTTCTATGTCATCATTTTCAGCATAAGGGGTTGGCTAAATCAGGAAAGCAATAGGAAAGGATATGATAGAGTTTCTTGGTTCTTTGTGTTTTTAGACTGCCATTGTCTTCTTGCATTAGAACAAGTTCTGATACACAGGAAGCTTGACCTCCTAGGGCTGACAGCGACCCCACCTACTCAGTTCCTATGTGCCTATGTTGTTCTTACTCTGAATCTTGCTGAACTTTCATGCATTGTGAGTTCAGTGAAATTCTATTTAAATAGGACAATGCAAATGCTATATGCAAATGGCATGGCAAAGAGTGAGTGGACATGCATATTGCACGTCTCGGCTCTGCTCATGCTCTATTGTCCCTCCAATTTTACTTACAAAACACAAGTTCAAAAACAAAATTGAGAATTTCAAGATGGTAACAGCAGAGCATTAAACCAAACATGGGGCCTTTCTGAGTGTAGGGTTCTGTGCAACTATACGGTTTATACATACACACACATGCAGCTGGCCCTGGGTAAATGAGTGCTGGGCATGCAAACAAGAATGACCACTACAACCTGCATTTACTGATTATGGAAAAGGGTTTGTGTGTAAAGAGAAAAAAAACCCAACAACAAAAAAACAAGATACTTTATGCAGCAAAAGTTTATTTTTTGCTCATGCAGAATCTGGAGCAAATGCTCCAGGGTAGCTCTCCTCCAAGCAGTACACTCAAGGGTCTGTGCTTTTTCCAGTGTGACTCCACTATCTAAAGAGTTCTTTGCTTTCAGCTGGGAAGAGAAAAGGGAGAAATAAAAATTATGTGAAAATTACATAGAGCATTTCAGGAGCTGTGCTTTGAAGTTGGGTATATCACGTTTATCTTCATTCCACTGGCCAGAACTCAATTGCGTTTTTCCATCTAAATGCAAGGAGGCCTGTGAATCCAGGAAGAGGAAACGGGATTGGTGAGTGACATGGTTTGGCTGTGTCCCCACCCAAATCTCATCTTGAATTGTAGCTTCCATAATTCCCATGTGTCATGGGAGGCACCTGGTGGGAGGTAATTGAATAATGGGGGTGGGTCTTTCCTGTGCTGTTCTCATGACAGTGAATAAATCTCACAAGACCTGATGGTTTTATATAGGGGAGTTCCCCTGCACATGCTCGTTTTGCCTGCTGCCATGTAAAATATGACTTTGCTCTTCCTTTGCCTTCTGCCATGATGTGAGGCCTCCCCAGCCATGTGGAACTGAGTCAATTAAACCTCTTTCCTTTATAAATTACCCAGTCTCGGGTATGTCTTTATTAGGAGTGTGAGAACGGACTAATACAGTCAGCATCTAGTAAGACTGCCATAGAGATCAAGGGAGATTTTTGTTTCTTGGTAGATGTTACTAAAACATATTATATGCTGTGGGAGATATTATACTAGAAAGAGTGTGGGACTAACAGAAGGGGCAATTATGTATTACTCTATAAACATTGAGTTGAACCATAAGAACTTTGTAGGGATGTGAAGAAGCTTTGACAGACTTAATTTAACCTCACTCTATTTAATTATTTATTTATTTTTATTTTTATTTTTTTTGAGTCAGAGTCTCGCTCTGTCGCCCAGGCTGGAATGCAGTGGTGTGATCTCTGCTCACTGCAAGCTCCGCCTCCTGGGTTCACGCCATTCTCCTGCCTCAGCCTCCCAAGTACCTGGGACCAAAGGCGTCTGCCACCACACCTGGCTAAGTTTTTGTATTTTCAGTAGAGACAGGGTTTCACCGTGTTAGCCAAGATGGTCTCGATCTCCCGACCTCATGATCCACCCGCCCTGGCCTCCCAAAGTGCTGGGATTACAGGCGACCTCACTCAATTTAAAAGGCCAATAAGCAAGTTAAATATTTTTTAGGATTCAGTGACAGCTTATTTTGTTGTGAGATTATTATATTTGAATATTATAGTATAATATGCTGTACAGGCATAAACAATAGTTTTTGTGTCATTCTCCCTAAGGCAGAATTCCTGCTATGAGTTTAGAACTGAATGCTAGTCCTGACTCAATTATATACTGTTGCTTAATCATTAATCTTTGAGTCATTTAATCTTTATAAGCCTCATTAATCTTTGTCTATTTCATGTAGTAATAAAGACTAAATGAGGCCAGGCACGGTGGCTCATGCCTGTAATCCCAGTGCTTTGGGAAGTTGAGGAAGGAGGATTGCTTGAGGCCAGGAGTTTAGGACTAACATAGGCAACCTAGTGAGACCCCTGTCTCTACAAAGTTTTTAAAAAAATAATTAGCCAGGCCTGGTGGTGCGCACTTGTATTCCTAGCTACTTGGGAGGGTGAGGTGGGAGACTGAGCCCAGGAGTGAGCTATGCCACTGCACTCCAGCCTGGGCAACAGAGTGGGATCTTGTTCCAAAAAAAAGACTAAATGAAATAGCATATTTTAAAACTATAAAGGTTTTAATCAACCTAATTATTTAAAAATCAAATCAGTATTATAATTTAAGAACCCTAGCATCTCCTGTTCTCCTGTTACCTCAACTCTAAGCTCCCCTTTGTCATTCTCAGCTGGGTCCTGTGAACAATTAGATGGAATTGAGGCCTTGGTGTCCCTATTCACTTTAACAGGGATGGCACTAGGTTCAAGAGGCTGAAGAAGAGACCCAGAGCCAGCAAATGAGGCATATGGTTTATTGAGAGGAACTTGCATACAGAGCGGTCCACTAGAGGTGAGCTGGACATGAGAACAACATCACCTGCAGAAAGCATGCAGTTTATATAGCATTTTCATTTTGCACCCTCTCCCTAACAGCTTCCACCTGACAACTTTCATTTAGCCCAAAACAAAGGGCCTAGCCCTCCTGTGCAGCCTGCATTCCACAGGGCTCAGATGTTCCTCATAGATAAGGAATGAATCTTGGTTGTAACTGCAAACTCATTCAGGTTGTCTGCCACACAGGGTCATTCCCCTGGGTCTGCTTACGTTACTGCTGTCAGGTGCCTCTACCATACAGTTGGCTTCTTTGGAAGTCATGGCTTGGGGGGCTGCTATAAGGGTTGCACTAGTCCAGCTCCTGGAAATCTGTGTGTGAGGAGGCAGTGGAGGGATGGGGCATGGGCAAGATAATATCTTGGACCACAGACATCTCAGAAACTCTTAATAAGGCAGATTGGTTTAACACCATGTGAGAGTTTGGGGACTTCCTGGCCTCTAAGAGCCCAAAAGGGGTTGTATAGCTGCCCCTAAACTGGGAGACTAGAAAGCTAGTAAGAAGAATTCCTCCAGGTGCTTCAGCAAGTGCTTGGTAACCTGCTTGTTTCTATTAATATACCATTGGCCCATGTGGGTGAGCACCACTTTGCCTTGAACTGTTGTTCCACTGCCATCATTTAGAATACTCTAAAAACTAGACTTGAGCTCTAAGTGAGACAACTAAGAAAACCACTATGGTGCCTCCCAGTCAGAGAAAAGACATTCAGTCAGAACAGGTAGAATGCACACCCAGCAAAATAGAACTGAAGGGGCTCACTCTTACCTTTACCAATCCATCCACTACACTGGCTGGAGGTCCAACTGCTAGTATCTGCATTTCTTTGCCGTAGGACTTTTTCTGGCCACCAGAGCCCATCTTGCTGCCCATGTAGCAGGCTAGAGTGCAGACCCCAGGAGCTGCCTTCAACCAATGAAGGAAGTTGGTATATAAATCCCCATCTCCCTCACCCCTTGAGTGGGATAACTCTGAGGTATATGTTTTATACTGGCCACCAGAGTTCTCCAGTGACAGTAAGCTCCAGTTAACCACAGTGCTAATTTCCTTGATAATAAACCTTTTGGCTTTCCTCCCCTCCTTGACTCACTTTCCTGCTCTCCTACCAATGTTTCCCAAGATCACCTCCCTCACAGGCTATCTGCACTCAAAATCTTGTCTCAGTGCCTGCTTCTTAGGAAATCTAAAATAAGACTTGGACTGTGCTGGGAGTACTGAATAAAGCAAATGGAATACTGCAGCCTGTGCTTCTGTACTGGACTCCCAGAATACATGAAGCTGTGCCTGGAAGCATTTTCTCTTTAGGGAATTTCATCAGCAGAAAGAATTACGTACAGATACTGATACCATGTGTTTCCAACCAACAGCTCAGCCAGATCATCCTACAGTGAAGCTCTCAGGAAACAAGTACCATCTACAAGGTGAGAGCTTCCAATTAGCTTTCAAGGCACTTGACTCCAGGTTAAGGCCTTACTCTTAAGTGTGAGTGAATAGTCAAGGACTACAGAGGCTTCTAATAGGATAGATGAGATCAAGATAATAGCAAAAAGCAGCTGAGAGGAATAAGACTACTCAGGGAGAAGAAAACGTCAAAATCTATTATTAATATCCTCAGAAGGATAAAATAAAATATACAAAGCAAGAATGTGACACCACAAGAAAGGGGCATTTGAAGAACAAAACAGAACTCTAAATAAGTAAAAACTCTGTAGTTGTCAGGAAGATAAATTTGAGGAATTCTCCAAGAAAGAGGGGAAAAAAAAGATGGAAAACGGGAGCAAAATAGATGGTGACGGGCCTCTTATGCCAAAGGAACTTGGGCTTGATCATACAGCAGAAACTGAAAAGATAACTTGTTCCTATCTGAGTAAAACAAAACAAAATGTAGGCAGTTGCACAGGCCAAGAATGGAGGCAGAGTCAGTGGTTAGGCAGCTCTCACTGTAGTATGGAGAAATGATGCAAAACTGAAGTACACAGTGGCATGTGACAAATTTAGACAAAAGATGGGAGATTAAATGGTAGAACAGACTAAACTTGTGACGGAGCAGGTGTGTGTGGGCCTGTGGGTCTGATGTAAGAGGAAAAAGAACAGATGGATCTAGTTTCTCCAAAGATCCCAAATGGATTGGTCTCCATTAAGCAAGACGAGGAATGAATAAGGACGAGCAGGTGGGGATTGCTTTGTGCAGAGGGTGGAATACAGATCAGAGTTCAGCTTAAATCAGTATTTTCTAAGATTTTGCTAGGTGCCAGATACTGAGATAAAGTCCTTGTCTTCATGTTTGGAACCAGGTGCCTAAGGAAGCACAGAGGAGAGCCACCTCCAAAATGGATACCCTCTCCAAGGGTTTGTAGTGAAAGAGGCACAGCTCTTGGCCTGGAGTTGGTGGGGGCTGCGATAAGTGCAAGATACTTGGTGACAGGAATCGCGAGCATACTCTTGTGTTGTACGGATTCTCAGGGTCGGCCCTGCAGAGGAAAGAGCTCAGTCACCGCGAGGTCCTGCACAACATGCCAAAGTCCCGGATATGTGTCCGGGGTCTACACCTAAGCCCCGACCCCTCTGAACTTCCCAGAAGCGCGCAGGAGGCATGGTGCGCATGCGTGTAGCCACCTCAAAGGCGGCGGGAAGTTGGTTTTCTGAGTAGCAACTGAGCAGCTTGAAGACGGATTGGAAGTAGCAGACCAATAAACAAACGTCTCATTGGCTTAGAGTGCTTAGAGTCCCAATTCTTCAGCTTCCCATTGGGCCTTTCAAGCGAGCAGGGGCGTGACTCCGGGGGCTCCGCCCCGAGCCTTGGCCCAGTCTTGGGGTCCAAGGCTGAGGGAGCGGGACGGAAGTGAGCGGGTCCCGCCCCTTCCCCTTCTCGTCTCCGTTGGAGTCGTCTCTGCCGCGGCTTCCTCGGCTGCCAGCTCTCCGGCGAGCCGGAGTCCTAGTGCCGTACCGTCAGTCCCCGGCCGCGCGGAGCCGGGATGCACTGTTCCTGCTGTGGGTCCTCATCATGGAGACCAAACGGGTGGAGATTCCCGGCAGCGTCCTGGACGATCTCTGCAGGTACCGCGCTACCCGACCCCCTTTCGCCCCCGTCGGGTTTTCTCAGTTTCGCGGACCCCCAGAGGCCTCTGGGTCTTCTTCCCCGCCCACGTCCATGTCCTCGCTTTCCGCTCCCGCCGCTGCTCGCTTTCCATCGTCGACCCTGCTCTCCGACGACACCGCCCCTCTTTCCGCCGCAGCCTCCCTGTTTCTCAAGGCCCTCCGTCCTTCCCCGCAGAACACCCGGAATTTCCTCATTTTTTAAGTTACTCAACTATTTTGCTTTCCCGCAGGCGTAGCCGCTTCGCCGGAGCCTGGGTCTTAGCGTTTTGCCGCCGCCGCCGCCTCCCTCTCCCATTGTTTTTTCTGCCTCTGTGACTTTTCCACGCCGTGCACCCCCTCCTCCCTGTGTCTCATTCCCCGATTCTGAAGGAAGACCCCCAGGGTAGTAATTTAAGGCTTAGGATCCCAGGTACGCGGACCTGCGCAAGGAGCAAATTTTCGGACTTATTCTGACGCCTGCGTGTTATTTGTCCGTGGCGTTCTCTGTAAATTCCTGTAAGGAATTACTTTTTTTTTCTCATCCCTGGACTTGTCTTTGGGGGAGAGAGGGAAAAAGTGTAGCGCTGCTTTTCTTTTTATCCTTAATAATCCTATTTTAAAGGAAATTCTCAACCGCGGGGTTTTAACTCAGGGTGTATACTTCAGATGAGAAATTTTCTGCATTCTTCCCCCTTGTCAACTCTGATTTCAGATAGCCAAACACGTGTAGGATACTTAAAAATGCTTATTTTCCGAAGGTAAAATTTGGAGTGCAGTGATACCCGGAGTTGTCGCCAAGTGTGTGTGGATTGTGATTACAAGTGATAACACCTTTTCGTTCACAGTTACTGTGTTTATGTTTTAAAAGGCAGGCTTTTAGTAGTTGTATCTCCTTCATGCAGTTTTTTTTAATGGAAAGTAAAGAACTGGTGTTTGTGGAGTTTTTTGGGGTTTTTTTTGTTTGTTTGTTTTTTTGTTTTTATTTTTTGAGACGGAGCCTCTTTCTTTTGCCCAGGCTGGTGTGCAGTGGTGCGGTCTTGGCTCACTGCAACCTCTGCCTTCCGGATTCAAACGAGTCTCTGCCTCAGCCTCCCTAGCAGCTGGGATTACAGGCACCCGCCACCACACCCGGCTAATTTTTGTATTTTTAGTAGAGACGGGATTTCACCATCTTGGCCGTGCTGGTCTCGAACTTCTGACCTCGTGATCCACCCGCCTCGGCCTCCCAAAGTGCTGGGATTACAGGCGTGAGCCATCGCGCCCGGCCTGGAGTTTCTACTGTGCACCAGGCACTACCTTTACATGTATTGTTTTATTTAATCCTCAGTCAGCCGTGTTTGGTAGGTGCAGTTAGTATATTTCCATTTTCATCTGCGCAAACAGATTCAGGAACTTTGTAATTTACATAAGGTCACATTCATCCTAATTCACAAAATCAAGATTTCACACCTATTCCTTTTTCTTTCCAGTGCCTGTGCTTTTTCTCTCATACCAAGGAGAAGTAATAAGCCTAACGTTTTAAACCTCACAAAAGTACATACAGAAAAGTAAATAGCCTAATTTTGCAACTAATACAAATGGCGCTGTACTTCTTTGGTGATGGTAGATTTATAATTTTTGAAGTATGGTAGATTCAAATGAACCACTGAAAAGGCATTTAGTTTCTTGTCCCAAATAAAAAAAAAAAAAGGAAAAAGAAACTGAATTTGATATGTGTATGTGGGTTAATGACTAGACGCACATCAACCAATAGTGGGATTATGAGATTGTGATCTTTATTTTTTGTTTCCAATATTTTTTATGCATTTTATAGTTAGAAAAAAATTGAAGATAAGTATTTAGAAAGGTGATCAGTAATTAGCTGTGTGTTAATAGGGTTAAGAGTTGATTTAGAAAAAGATGTGGTAATCTTAAACATTTTACAGACATCAGAGCTAGTCTTCCTTCTAGTATTGGGGTTAATTTGCATATTATCTAGGATTACATCATTTAAATAAGTGATGTCAGCTGTTAACGATTTTATGTATGGAACCTATTCACAAAATAATTACGTTGTATTTTGTAAACAATATGTTAAGCACCTGTCAAGTGTTAAAGATAGTTGGTTTTCCAGTGAGTGTATTTAAGCTGTTAAACAAATATTTTTGAATGGAGTAACATTTTTTTCCTTTCAAGAAATTTCTTTTTGCAGTTACTGTTTTTGGCTGTATAAATAAGGATATGATATATTTAAAAATTAGGGCTGGCTGTAATAATGAAACCAAATAAACATTTCTCAAAACTTCAGATTTTAAAATAAATGCCATTTTCAAGTTAATATTTATAGCTTTGATTAATTGAAATATTTTTAATGTTACAGATTCAAGCTTTTCATTGTAGACTAAAACTTTTTTTTTACACTTAGAATTTGGTAAACTTCTGTAAAAATAAAGCTTAATTTGAGGTTAATTTTTCTGAACTTCTTTGCTCTCTTTTATGTACGTCTTGATTTATGAATTCAAGCTAGGTGCTTGTTTTTACTCCCTTCATTTTTTGCCCCAATTCTGTTGCTTATTATTAGTGTATATAGGAAGTTTTCTTTTGTGTTACTTTGTTTTTTGATAAATTACATGTTTCTGTTAAATCTTGCCTTTTGATGTGGAGAGCAGCAGACTTAAATTTTCAAAATGTGACTTTGTAACCTTTAGACTGCTCATAACCTAAGGCTGATGCTTTAGTATGTAACATTCTATTTATTGGAATATTGTGCAGCCATTCTAAGTTCCTCAGGCAATTAGCACACAGTAAACTGAGGGAAAATATTTGTGTGTTGAAAAGATGTACACAGTATACTGAGTGAAATACTTATTTAGTCCCTTGGTGCCTTTTGTGAAAACAAATTTTTAAGTGTGTGTGTGGGTGGGGAAGGGGTATATGTATTCGTATGCCGAAAGAATATGCGCCAAACTGATAACACTGGTTACTTTCTGAGTGGAGTAGAATTAGAGGAGAGGAAGGGAAGAGTTTGGTCTTAAAATATTCTAGTGAACAAAAAATGCTTTATAATTTAAAATGTATGTGTAAAGGTGAATCTGCAGCATTTTATGGTGATACTTGTTTTTGATGAACCATGATTTTTGATATTAAAACTCAAATACAGAGTTTTTCAGTACTGTTTAAACTAGCTTATTAAAGAATTGAAAAGCAAGTTTTTAAAGTAGAAACTGAAAAGTTGGTTGATTCAAATAAATGCTTAGAATTTTTTTAAAGCCCTTTTTAAGAGTTGGGTATAGTAAGGCCACACTAGTGTTAAAAGAAGAAAGGTATTTTCTGGCAACTAGTGTTGCTGCTATTTTGGTGATAGCGTAGGTTAATTAAATAATTTGTGCTCATCTTCAGCTAGCCGTGTTAGTGTTGAATTCAACCGGAACATTTTTCTACTAATTGCAATCCTTGTGCTAATGTCCTGTTTGTAGGAACACTGAGAAAATAACATTTCGTGTGATGCAGTTTTTTCCGTAACAAATTGTAATGGAAAGCATTTTATTTCAGCTATTACTATATACACGTCCATACACATATGTACACGTACTTTTGAACTTTAAAACAGATCAAAAGCATTCACAGAATGAACGCATTAAATGTTTAATTTTCGTACATCAGCTCTTATAAACTTAAGTCAACTTTTTACTATTAAAAATATGTAATCATGTACATGGTTTTGAAAATTAGAGTACAGACAGATTTATAAATGACAGGCAACAGTCTTAGTTTCTTTCCCTACCCTTTTCTATTCCTGTTGAGGCATTGACTTTTACTTGTTTTGTTTTGAGTTCTTCTGGTGGATACCTCATATTTTAAAATATACTTGTGCCAGTTTCTTGTTTTATCAACTTTCTATATTGAATTGAGGATTTGGTTCAATTTCGTAGATACTAGATGAGAGTTCAGTTTACCACACCCACTATTGCCCCCATCTTACTTCCAGTATGTCTCTATCAGTATTTTAAATTGTTCCATTGTTTACCTTTGTGACTTTATGATTTTTTTTTTAGAGACAGGGTCTTGCACCATTGCCCAGGCATGATCATAGCTCACTGCAACTTCCAACTCCTGGACTCAAGCTATCCACTTGGCTCAGCCTCCTGAGTAGCTAGGACTATAGGCATGTACCACCATGCCCAGGTATTAAATACATTTTTTTTTGGTAGAGATGGGATCTTTGCCCAGCCTGGTCTCAAACGTACTTGTAGCCTCAAGCAATCCTCCTGCCTCAACCTCCCAAAGTGTTGAGATTACAGGTGTGAACTACCATGCTGGCCCCTTTGTGACTTTAATATACTTAAAATTATATTTGTTTTACGAACTTACAGTATTTCTTGAGTCTCTGATATGGTGAGATGATTAGTGCCTCATTTTTTCTTGCCCATTCCCTCGGCTTCTATCCAGATTAACTTGAAAAAAATTAGGGTTGATAATATTTATATTCTATTTTGTAAATCTACGTCTGTTATATTTTGTGCTATTTGTTGATTGTAAAAGCTGAACAATAATGATACAGTGTAAATAGATATGTAGTTTTTACAGTAGAGGCAAGTCTTCAGCGGCTAGTTTCTTTTCCATCGGGGCATAGTCAGGAGCCCTTTGTAAGTGTCTTGCAGAATATCTGAATGAATTCTCCGTTCTTATATCCTACAAATTGGTCAAAATGATGGTACCATTTAGTTTTTTCTTTGGGGAAAGAAATATATGCTTTTGTTACTATTGCTTGATTCCTTCTAGCCTTTTTGTTTGTTTGTTTTTGAGACGGAGTCTTGCTCGTTTGCCCAGGCTGGAGGCAATGATGTGGTCTCAGCTCACTGCAACCCGTGTCTCCTGGGTTCAAGCGATTCTCCTGCCTCATCCTCCCGAGTAGCTGGGATTACAGGCACCCTCCACCACACCATTTTTTATATTTTTAGTGGAGACGGGGTTTCACCATGTGTTAGCCAGGCTGGTCTTGAACTCCTGACCTCAGGTGATCCGCCTGCCATGGCCTCCCAAAGTGCTGGGATTACAGGCGGGAGCCACCATGCCAGGCCCCTTCTGGCTATTCTTGAAATCCATTTTTTTGAGGGGAGGGGACAGTTGGCTTTCTGTTCTAACTTTGGTGTTTTTGCTTCACATTTGGACTATGATTCTGTTGTACATGTACTCCTCTCTAATATGTCCAAAGTTTCTAGCTGCTTTTTTCAACCCTTCTCATCCGCTTCCTTATCTTATCCTCAATCATACTTTCGACAGAATCCTTTTTTCCCTTTAGACTGCACTCTTGGGGACCTCCATCCTCCTAATCCAGTCTGGACTCGTTGCTCCTCAGACTTGCCTAGCAACTAGAATACTAGAATTCACTTTCACAACTCTCTGAGATGGTACTTACTCTTTCTTGAATATCATGTTTCATCCTTTCTTGGTTTTCATTCTTGTTTTGCTTGTGCGCATTTTAAGTTAATTTCTTTGAGGGGGTTCATTAGGAAGTAAACTGAGTCCTTTAATGTGTAAAATACCTGTTTCTGTTTTCACACTTAGTTCCCACATGGTCTAGCGTCCACATTTTGAGTACCAGTGTCTAGGTGATATCCTTAATACTACCTTCCACTGCTTCCGTTGGTTATAGTAATAATAGTTTTTTTTCCCCCCGAGGGCTCTTACTTAGTTACTGTACATTTAAAGAAAAATACAGTTGCTCTGAAAAAGGAATACTCTTTTAAATTTCTTTTAGGATAATAATTCCATCTTTCAACCCTCACTCCTGTTTTCTTCTGGTTCCTCAATTATGTTTTCTTCAGCGTCAGTTAAAAAACTTTCTTGTCATGCTTCACATTTTCCTTAGATGGTAGGTGATTTTTGGATGCCTTTTTATATTAATGATGAGACATTTGGGAGGTTTATTCATTAATACGCTTCTCCTTTATGTGAGTAGATAGGGAGCTGGCTCTTACACTTGAGGGTTTTTCATTTTTTAAAATACAGATAAAGCAGACTTTAAAGGATAAAGGTGGTGGTTATCAGTGTTGATTAATCAAGTTGGGCTCAAGGATTTCACAGGTCTTAAATGCCATCACACAGACTGCCATGCCAAGGGCATTCTGAATGCCAATTACAGATTGAAGTTCCTTCAGAAACCAAGATGTTATCAAAAACTGATGAAGTCTGGGTTTCTCTTCAAGTAAGACAAACACATTTCTTACATAGAGAAAATAGACTACTTGGTTCTGAAAGTTAAAACACTACGCTGAATAATTCCCCTCCCCTTCCCCACAAGTCCCTAAGGCAATATTACGGTTGCCTCTGACAGTTAAAATTTCAGCATTTCAACAGAGCGGGCTGAGGAGAACTGGGAAAAATGAAAAGCAAAATTAATGTAATTGATATGGGGGGTATTTTTTTAAAAAAATAGAGACGGGGTCTCACATTGTTGACCAGGCTGAATTTGAACTCCTTGGCTTTAGTAGCTGGAATTTCAGGCATGTACTACCATGCCTGGCAAGGCAGTATAGAAACATAAAGACTCACAGTAGGATTGACTTACGAGACCTTTCAGCACTGAAGGATATGAGTTTCCAAGTATGTATAGTCTATGGAATGACAGTGTAGTGGATCAAAAATAGACACTGCAAAATTTCACAACACTGGGGATGGAAGGAAGATATTAGAAGCATCCAGACTGGGGAAAAAAAAAGGTCATATACAAAACATTAAGAATCTGAATGGCTTTTGTCCTTGGCACAAATTAGAAGTAAAAAGAAAAAAAATCTGAATGGCTTCGATCTTCTCAATATCAAAATTGCAAGTTGGAATTAAGAACACTTTTGAAGATTCTGAAAGAAAATCATTTCCAACTTAGAATTCTTTACCCAAATTATCAAGTATGAGGATAAAGACATTTTAGATGTGTAGTATCTTAAAATATAGTATTTACCTCCCCTTTGCATCCTTCCTTCACAGGATATGTGAGGATTACTTCATGAAAACAAGGAAGTGAATTAAGGAGGATGAAAACAAAAAGACAAGACACATGACCTCTGTGGGATAAAGGCACAGGGAACTATAGGATGCTTGTGAAAGGGCAGTGTAGAGTTGACAGATGTGTACCAGGTGTAGAGGACAGCTGATCCAGACTAGAACAGATCAGAAGACTAGAAGTCTTAAAGATGAAACTGATGAATCTGAATTGTGGGGAAAAAAAATCCAAAATGAAACTGATGGATCTGAAAAGAAAATTCACAATGGAGATGATTATGTCAGAATATCCAAAAAGGAGCCAGGAGGGCATAAGGAGTTGGATCCTGGTCACATACACATCTAGATGGAGTTTCACCTGCTGAACTGGGCCAAAGTGTAAAACTAGCTGCATTTGACTTGAGTTGTATATACTGGGCCTGATCAACCGCCTGGAGAGATAACCATACCCAACTATATTGATCATTGACTAGAGACATCCTGAGCTGACAACCAGCCATCATTTATCATGGACTGTGCTAAAACCTTCCAGATACGTAAATTTACAGTAGCCCTTAAAAGCTCTGCCTAACCTTGCCTGAATGCAACATGATTTAGCTGCTTGCTAGACTTGTGTCTCCCAAATTGCAATCTCTAAAAACCTGATTAAAATGCCTTTTGCTACTCCAGTGTTGCAGTGTTGTTTTTATTTCTTAATTAAAAAAAAAAAAAAAAAATATATATATATATATATATATTTGAGACAGTGTCTCGTCACCCAGGCTGGAATGTAGTGACATGATCATAGCCCACTGCAGCCTTGAACACCTCGGCTCAAGTGATCCTCCTGCCTTAGCCTCCCAAGCAGCTAGGACTACAGATGCATGCCACCATATCTGGCTAATTTTTAAATTCCTTTGTTGAGAAGGGCCTCTTGTAATTGGAGAAGAGTATTCTTATGCTTATTTGAAACTTGGAAACAGCCAAGAATTATTTACTATGATAGTGATTAAGCAAGTGATCAAACTGGGTGGTACTATTTTTAATTTTAAAAAATGACTCTAAAAACCAGTGGACTTGAATCTGTCTCTAATGGTTACTGGGAAAAAGGATTACCAAAAATGCTTAACATTGGAAAAAATAAGTGATAGCTGCTTAATGACTGCTCTGAATTACAACATTGACTTAGATTGATGAATTTTAACTTGTATGTTTCATAATAAAGGGGTTCATTATCCTAATTACATATGTGTACATGCAATATTAGTGTATATTAATATAAATGTATATTTATATGTAAAAGAAATATGTCTTTCCTTTCCCCAATGTACATGGAAAAGACAATTTAGGGTTTTGAAAAGTGAGTGTATTTGAAAGTTTGAACTGAGGCTGTGCAGGTGAGGCTTTTTGGGAAGTCCTAGTATATTAATGAGCAACAGAATATTGGTTTCTTTTCCAATATTTCTTGGTAATATTTTGTATGTGAAGATTATGTAATAGCAAACATTTTAAAATTGTATGAATATATTTACCTGTATTCTTGGAAATGTTGCCAGACATGGGAGGAAGCGGAGGTTTTCTTGCTCACTTTTGTTGTTAGTGAGCTCTTAAGCTGATCTCTGTACTTGTGAACAGAGGGTACACAGGCTCAGAACAAACTGTATTAAAAGTGAGATACATGTGGTGTCTCCTCTCTAAGACTCATCTTCCCTATAGTATTTCTCTCAAATATTAATTGCTTCCTTGAACAGTACTGCTCTTGGTCCCTTTTCTCAGTTGGTGGGTCAGGTATGAAGCACTTAAATAGCTTAAGATAAATCGTTATAGTTTGTAAATGTAATTTTTGTATGTGTTTTGTTTTTGACAGCCGATTTATTTTGCATATTCCCAGCGAGGAAAGAGACAATGCAATCCGAGTGTGTTTTCAGATTGAACTTGCCCATTGGTTTTACTTGGATTTCTACATGCAGAACACACCAGGATTACCTCAGTGTGGGATAAGAGACTTTGCTAAAGCTGATATCCTTTTTATTACTATAATGACTGACTTTCTTGTTAGCAATATATTTTAGCACAAATTTCTTTTTGCTTGCCTTTTCAGATTTTAAAACTATTAGAGAAAAACATACTTGATTGCTAAAATTTGTCAAACATAAATAGTAGACACAATTTAGTAATAATCATATTAATAATCATAATCATTAATACTCATAATAATCATACAGAGGACGCCCTAAAATGTACACTGATTAAATTTTATTTTTTTCCCATGCATAGCTAGCCTGTTTGTACAACTTTACTCTTGCTGCTGCATGTAACCAGATGATCTTTTAATCAGATTACTGCCTTTCTGATTTATTTAGAATTTTTTTTCTTTTTTTTTTTTAAGAGACAGGATCTTATTCTGTCGCTCAGGCTGAAGTGCAGTAATGTGATCCTAGCTTACTGTATTCTCGAGCTCCTGCTTAAGCAATCCTCCTCCCTAGCCTCTCGAGTGGCTGTGACTACAGGCATGCGCTACCATTCCTGCTAATTTTTTTTTTATGTTTTCTAAAAATGGGGGTCTCTCTTTGTTGCTGAGGCTGGTCTTGAACTCCTGGCCTCAAGTGATCCTCCTACCTTGGCCTCCTAAAGTGCTGGGATTAGAGGTGTGAGCCGCTGTGCCCAGTGACATTTATTAAATAATTATTGAATGTTTACTATGTTTGAAGCAGTGTTTTCAGTTGTGTGGCAAATACAAAGAAGCCCTTGGTGGGTGCAGTGGCTCACACCTATAATCCCAGTACTTTTGAGAGGCCGAGACTGGTGGATTGCCAGAACTCAGGAGTTTGAGACCGGCCTGGGCATCATGGCGAAACCTCATCTCTACCAAAAGTACAAAAACAGTTACCTGGGCATGGTGGCACTCACCTATGGTCCCATCTGCTCGGGAGGCTGAGGCAGGAGGGTCTCTTGAGCCTGGGAGGTGCAGGTTACAGTGAGCTGAGATGGCACCACTGCACTCCAGCCTGGACGGCAGAGTGAGATTCCGTCTCAAAGAGAAAAAAGTCATCTTTGCCTTCAGAGAAGCTTCTTTCCCCATGTACATATCAGGCAGAAACTTGTCGTGATTTATTAGTTATAAAAGATTCACATGAATATTTAACATTATAAAAGAAGCTATGTCATAAGGCAAATAATTGAGTAATTGCTAATGGTCCTGATAGTACATGTTTCTAGAATTTGGAAAAAAAAGTGGAAATATTTTAGGGAAAGCTATATTTTTGAGGGAATATAGGATTTTCTCAGTAGAAGTGGGGAATGTGTTTTAGGTAAAGAAAAATTGGAGATTTGAAAAAGGATAGCTCAATAAATAAATTAGTTTGAATTGAACAGCGTCCTCTCATGGGGCCATAATAGCAGATATGGTTGGAAAGTCATATGAGGTGATGATGGCATCGTATGGGTTCTTAAATCTTGAGCTAAAGCACTTTGATTTTTATTCCCCCCGCCCGCCCGACAAACCGAGACAGCCTCACTTTGTTGACCAGGCTGGAGTGTGGTGGTGTGATCTTGGCTCACTGCAGCCTCCACCTGCAGGGTTCAAGTGATTTTCATGCCTCAGCCTCCTGAGTAGCTGGGACTACAGGTGCAAGCCACCACACCTAGGTGCCTTTTTTTTTTTTTTTTTTTTTTTTTGTATTTTTAGTAGAGATGGGGTTTTGCCATGCTGGCCAGGCTGGTCTCAAACTCCTGCCGTCAAGTGATCCACCTGCCTTGGCCTACCAAAGTGCTGGGATTACAGGTATGAGCAACTGTGCCCAAACTGATTTTTATTCCATAGGTCTTTTTTTTTTCTCTCCTTTTTTGAGATAAGGTCTTGCCTTGTTGCCCAGTCTGGCTTGAATTTCTGGGCTTAAGCAGTCTTCCCGCATTTTTCCCAAGTAGCTGGGATTATAGGTGCTACCGCACCTGGCCAGGTTATTGTTTTTGACCATGACGTGTATGTTTAATGGATTTGTACCCACAAGTTCGTGTACTAGAACTAGAGTTGGAGTAGGGATAGGTGAGCTGAAATACCCTCATTCTCAGCTACCTATCACTTTCCTTTAGCCTCATGAAGTATGGAATCCTTCGGGCTCTGTAGAAAATGGATGAAACAGTGATTGTTCTGTAACAGTTAACTGTTAACCATAGCACATTTTTGAGCAACGGTAAAGAATATTACTCTGATCATTTGAAAACGGTATCCAAGGCCGGGTGCGGTGGCTCATGCCTGTAATCCCAGCACTTTGGGAGGCCAAGGGGGGCGGATCACTAAGTCAGGAGATCGAGACCATCCTGGCCAACACAGTAAAACCCCGTCTCTACTAAAAAAAAAAAAAAATACAAAAAATTAGCTGGGCGTGGTGGCGGGCGCTTGTAGTCCCAGCTACTCCGGAGGCTGAGGCAGGAGAATGGTGTGAACCCGGGAGGCAGAGCTTGCAGTGAGCCGAGTTCGCGCCACTGCACTCCAGCCTGGGTGACACAGCGAGACTGTGTCTTAATAAAAAAAAAAAAAAAAAAAAAAAATGGTATCCAAGATTTATTGGTTGGTCTGTTACATCACTTGACGTTCAGGGCAATAAATCCCTGAGCCATAGTAGTGGGACTACAAAGAAAACACTGATGGGAGACAGATTTCAAAGGAAGAAATGATCAAACCGTTTGATTAAATGTGTAGAAGTTAATGAGAAATCAGAGGGAAATAGAAATATATTGAGCACTATCTTTGTTAAAGGCCTTGGTGATAGGTTCTCTGGAGAAATCTTAGTAGCCTGGTTTTCAGGAGTTACAATCTAGTTAAGGAAACGTAACTAAGATAACCAAGTCCTCTTTTGCTTTGGTCATTTTGTATGGACTTACAGCCCTTCTAGGGCAACTTTACATACTTTAGGGTTTTGGATAACATTTTGTGTGTGTTTGCACATGAGTTTTACACTTTGCCTGCTATTACAAAACACCAACAACCTTTGTTTTAGGTATGTTTCATTTAGTTAACTAAGAATAGCTACATGGAGAAGGAATGTTTAATGTGGTACACTTCATTAAGTAACTTCATGGTTACTCTGTGCCAGGCCTTATGCAGTGAAGAGAGTAGACTCAGTATCTTCAAGAAGATGAGAAAAGACAGGAAAGGAAATGATTACAGTGCAGTGTGGTAGGATGTGATACAGAAGCACAGTGTTCAGTGGGAACAGAAGAGGGATACCCACTTACGATTTGGAGGCTGTGAGTTTGATTCCCATCTTGGCCACTCGAAAATCTTGGGTAGGTTATTTAAATCATCTTAGATGAGGATCCCAGTTTCTTCCTGACAAAGTTATTAATAGTGCCTAATTCAAAGGGTAAGTTTAAGAAACACATATATTTGTACATGTAAGTCGTTTACTTGGCACAGTGATCAATAAATGTTAATGTAATAAATGTTAACTATTACTCCAAAAAAAAAAAAAGATTTGGGAGCTAAATAGAAGCCTTCTCTGAGATAGTGATTTATGTGAGGAAAATCGGAGGAAATGAAAAAAGTTACTGTATTTTAGACTAAATGGGAAAGATAAGAGATGATGCTACAGAGTAATTCAGAGGCTAAAACATGTAGGGGTCTTGTAGGCCATATTTCTTTAAAAAACAGATTAAAAAAACTTATTTTGGGAAAAAACTTTCGGAGATGGCCAAAGAACATGACAACTGCCATCATACCCTTCATCTGTATTCATTCATTATTAACGTTTTCCTACATTTGCTTATTTCTCCGTATAGGGGTATTTTTCAAGACTGCTGTGAAATAGTGTGAACAGTGAACTGGGGGAAGGCAAGATTGGATTCTGAGAATCCAGTTAACATGCTATTTTATTAATTTACTAGAGAGAGAAAACCTGTGGTAGTAGAAATGAATAGAAGAGATCAAATTTGAGAGCTATTTAGGAGGTAAGATTGGTGATGATTTGGATATCTGAGGAGAAGTAGAAGAAAGGATGGTACCCAGGTTTCTAGTATGAGCAGTTGAGGATCCCAGTTTCTTCCTGAAAAATAAGGTTACTAATAGTGCCTAATTCAAAGGGTAAGTTTGAGAAGCACATATATTTGTACATGTAAATCGTTTACTTGGCCATCTCATTGGCAAGAAAATGAGAAATGTAGGGAATTGATGGGTTCTGTTATGGGCCAGTTGAGTTGATGGTACATGTGGGATATTGCAGTAGAGAAGACTGCATACTTTGATAAGAGCATACGTTCTCGAGCCACATCCTTTGAGTTAGCATCCTTTCTCTGCCACTTACTAGCTATGTATCCTTGGGTAAATTGTGGAACTTGTCTATGCCTCTGTTTTCTCTTTTGTAAATTATGCATAGTCTTTGATTTTTTTTCCTTCAGTAAGCACTCAGCAACGTGGATACAGACAAGAGTATCCCACATTTGCTCCTTGGCTGAAGTTCTGCTAGGGATTTTACTAAACATGTAAAGCCAGAATTTTAATACCTTTTAGAATCTTACCAGGCCCTTATAGAACCATAGAGCTTCATGGAATGGTTAATGTTGTATCCAAGCTTTCATCTTTTTTTTCCCCTCCCCAAATGAAGGCATGCACTAATTATATTGAGATTAACTTTGCGCTTGTCTTAAAAAAAAAATTGTAGGGACAGGGTCTTACTATGTTGCCCAGGCTGGTCTTGAACTCCTGGGCTCAAGCATTCCTCCTGCTTTGGCCTCCCAAAGTGCTAGGGTTACAGGTATGAGCCACCACACCTGGCCAAATTACAGTGTTGTTATATATGGCTGACTTGACTTGGGCTCTGAGGACCTATTTCATTTGTACTACAACTATGAAACAAATTTTAAATTACAGAATTGTAGAACATGTAAAATTCAAATTAATAAAATGAATTTAATGTGATTTTTTTTTTTAAACCAGACTTTTCATCACAATGTGAATGAATATAATGCCGACTTCTTTGAGGGTGTTTTGAGTTTGGTGTACCTGTACTAACACCACCTTTCTCTGCTCTCTGTTATGAAACATTCCTTTCTATATTATGTCGTATGTCATTTGATTGTAATGCATCATTTGTAGATTAGCTTTATTTCTGTTTTTAATAGCCTGTAGCAATTAAAGTAGTACTAGTACCAATATGGTCTCTGAAATCAAGTGGTAGTATTTGATACATATGGTCATCTAGATAATTGAATATATGCTCAGATTGCATGTTAGAGTAATATCAAAATGAAAACACAGTATACAAATTTTTATTGAAGAATTGAGAACCCTTAAAAGTATGACCTCATTTTGAGAGATACTATCATAAATTATCATTTTCTCTATGCTTTTTTAAAATTAACAGTATTATAGTGATGGGGCATTCGATAGCATGGAGTGTTGGAAGTCTGAGCATATAATTTCAGGGTTTGGATTTTACTTACTTTACTATTAATATTTTACACTGCCCAGTTTTGGGGGGAGGCATGCCTAGTTTCTTTGAAACTGGCTATGTTTTCCTTAATACCTGATTTGCCTTTCTCTGTAATCCTTAAAATAAAATTTGTTAAAAGTGTTCTTCATTATGGAAACAATATATATGTGGTAAACAGTATAGAATGGCATACCTCATTCATACTTCTCCTTCCCAGAATTAAGCACTTTATTCTTTTTCTGATGTGATAGTTTCTTTCTCTTAGCAATATATTTTCTTCTGTTTCTTGCTATCACTTTATATATGTAATTCTATTTCTTGTTATTACGCTAATATATATAACTACCTGGCATTATGAATTTGACTCACTTAACGAGAAATGTTCTAGGTGTTTACATGGTCCAGAATTAGTTTGTGTTAGGGATCCAGGACTGTGAGTACTAAAAACTTGATTTGTGTGTAGGCTACAAATGAAAAAGTTAACAATGACTTTTTAAGAGAAAACAAATGTAGAAAAAACAAAAACACAGTCTGCCTCGGCCTCCCAAAGTGCTGGGGTTACAGGTGTGAGCCATGGTGCCTGGCCAAAATGCTACACTTAAATGAGGGAAGATTTGAATAATTTCACATGAAATACACTATTGATTTAAATGGGTCTCTTTCTGTATATAATTTCTCAAGCCATATTAAAGGAGAAAGTAACTTCCTTGACACTATTTATACTCTTCAGTCATTGTCCGTTTTTGCTGCCTCAAGGTGAAGATGTGGAAAAAGTTTTGGATGAATGGAAGGAATATAAAATGGGAGTACCAACATATGGTGCAATTATTCTTGATGAGACACTTGAAAATGTGAGTGTAATGAAATAAAGATTTTTAGTGAAATGGTGATCGTTAATCTGTTAACAAAATTTGTTATTGATGTAGTGTTTCTAAATTGAGGTTTTAAAATATACTTAGATTTTTAGTGCTAAAAGGCCAAGCTTTGTATATTTTATCCGCATGCTATGTCTGCAGATTTTTTACTTGTTGCAGTTACGGTGTGGTACAAAAAAGTGTCGCTTAATTGTTGAAGACTTTTTTTTTTTAAATGGGCAGAATGCTTTCACACTGGTGGTGATGTATTCAGACTCACTGAAGATACTTTAAGAAAATACTCTGTAAAATTATTGGCGATAACAGTTACCTCAAGTAAGGAGAAAAATGCCTTTGATTTTTAGAAAGGAGCATGGAAAAGGAGGGCAAGTTTGATTTTTACTTCTGCTTGTTTTGTAGGTACTACTAGTTCAGGGGTACCTAGCAAAATCAGGCTGGGGATTTCCAAAAGGAAAAGTAAATAAAGAAGAAGCTCCTCATGATTGTGCTGCTAGAGAGGTAAGTTATTCCATTTTGATACACAGTAAATTTGGCTATTAGGGTCTGAATGTATTTTTTTTAGCCATATAGACTTACTTCTTTGGACTGTCTTAACCCTTTCCAGAACTTGAGTGCATGAAGTAACTTACTTTTTTTTTTTTTAAATCACTGTTGATTGTTTTATCCACATCTCTTTTCATTTATTCTTATCTGTTCCCATTTTTTTTAATGGTCCATTTTGTATTATCTCTTGTTCCTTTCTTTGATGATATTTTTCCCACCTTTCCCTTTAGAATTAGATTTCCTATTGGTAAAACATTTTGGCTGTTATAATCCTTGTTTTATGTTTATAGCCTTGGCTTCCTGACAAGTGCACAATTTGGGATTTTCTAAGAAGTTGACATTTGTTGCTGAAAACCCAGTAAGGCTTTCCACTGCCTATAGGATAAAGTTTAATTCTTTAAGTATTTAAACTCTGTCCCCTCTCCCCCACACAAATCTTAACCATTTCTGAATTTATCATATTTTCAGTCAAAACAATTTATTTTCTCTCTCTTGAACTTGATTGATTTGTTTCGGCCTTTAAATTTTTGCTGTTATGGCCAGGCACGGTGGCTCACGCCTGAATATGGGAGGCCGAGTCAGGCGGATCACCTGAGGTCAGGAGTTCGAGACCAGCCTGACCAACATGGAGAAACCCCGTCTCTGCTAAAAATACAAAAAATTAGCTGGGCGTGGTGGTACATTCCTGTAATCCCAGCTACTTGAGAGGCTGAGGCAGGAGAATCTCTTGAACTCGGGAGGCAGAGGTTGCGGTGAGCCGAGATCACCATTGCACTCTAGCCTGGGCAACAAGAGTGAAACACTATCTCAAAAAAAAAAAAAAACCAAAAAAAAAAAACCAAAATTTTTTTTACTGTTATTTTCCTACCTGGAATGTCCTCTCTTGTTCCTTCTGTTCAGCTCCTATCTAGATATGTTTCTAAACCCAGCTTAAATCCCTTTTCCCTGAAGGACTGCCACTGCCACCGCCACCAACTAACTCTGTGTATAGGGCTTAAGTTTCTTTTCTGTCTCTCTCTCGTGTGTGTGTGTATGTGTATCTATGTGTGTGTGTTTATAAATATGAACACATACACATACAATTATTTTTGGTGTAGGATCTCGCTTTGTTGTCCAGTGGCAACATCATAGTTTTAATTTTTATTTATTTATTTATTTATTTACTTATAGAGGCAAAGTCTATGTTGCCCAGGCTGGGTTTGAACTTCTGAGGTCAAGTGATCTCTCCTCCTCGGCCTCCCAAAGTGCTGGGATTAGAGACACGAGCCACCGTGCTTGACTGGGCCTTAGTTTCTTAAAATGAAGTTTAGAATGGATGTTCTTTGAAGTTCATTCCTTTTTTTCTTTCTTTTTTTTTTTTTTTTTTTTTTTTTAAAGACAGGGTCTTGCTCTGTTACTGAGGCTGGAGTACAGTGACATGATGATAGTGCACTGCAGCCTCGACCGCCTGGGCTCAAGCAATCCTCCTGCCTCAGCCTCCCAAGTAGTTGGGACCACAGTTGCATGCCACCATGCCCAGCTAATTTTTTTTTTATTTTTAATGGTGGGGTCTCACTGTGTTGCCCGGGCTGGTCTTGAACTTCTAGGCTTAAGTGATCTTCCTGCCTCAGCTTCCCAAAGTGCTGGGATTACAGGCGTGAGCCACTGTGCCCAGCCTTCATTCTTACTTAAAATTCTATTTTAAAATCTTACCAGTCAGCTCTAGCAAACAGTAGTGTTAGTCTCTGAACTTCAATAGCAGTTATTGTCTTTACTGTTCACTATTATATAATACCTTGTGATGGATTGTTTGCCGTATTCTTATTTCTTACCATTTATCACACAATTTATCATGTATCACACAATTATTCTTGAGATTTGAGAAGTTGAACTAATAGGAAGTATGATATAAGGGAAAGCAGATTGGCCTAGGAGTTGAAAGATTTTTGTTCTAGCATACATTTTGTTACCCAGTACCCTAGAGACTTTAGTCACTTAACCTCTGTAAGACATAAAGACCTTTAAGAAGATTCACTCAAGTCCATTAGAAGTAATATCTTTAAGGAAAAAATTCTAAGGTGGTAGTGATTTGATGAATTTAAGACTGTTTGAAATGGTAGTATGGATTTTGTGGCACATTTCATTAGAATTCATTGCCTTGTGTATGTTTGACTCGATTTCCTGCAACAATGTTTACTGCCTACTTTAAGTTTGGGTGTAACTATTAATGAGGGATAATAGTTAAAATTTTTACAAACTGCTGGTGGTGGTTTATTATAGAAAAACCATTAGTGGTTATTCACTTTGTAATAGAATCAAAAAATGATTGAAAATGCTGTATTTTAAATTTGATATGGAACAGCTTGCCCAAGCTATTATTTACAACAGCCTATAGACAAAGCTGTTGTGTATGAGTAAATGAAGGTTAATACACAACTCTTAAAATTGGAAGCAGTTTGGTGAGAATGTGAGGAATTGCCATATCACCTAAGAGCTTAGCTTTTCTTTCTGTAGATGGTAGGAAATGAGACGGACCAATTGTAAAAGTCCTCCCTTTTATTTCCTCAAACTTTGTAGTTCTCTTGCTTATAAGGAAGGAGAAAATAGAAATCAGCAGTATCCTGCTTAGAGGAATTGATTGTAGCTCTGTACATGGGATTAGACTGGTCTAACGGCAGTAAGGTGGTTGTCCAGGTCAGGAAGAGGATATTACATTGGTTGGAATAACAAAACAGTTCCATTTTAGGTTTTTGTCTTGGTTTGAGGGAAGCACAGGCATCCTGAAGAGCCGTAGTCTCTTAATTTCAGGGAGAATTTTTTCGTTTTCATAATAAAAATTCTAACCTCTAAACATTCTTTTTGATCTCTATGATGTCCTTTTATAGCTGACTAAGGAACTTTAATTTCAGTAAATTTTTGGATTAGGATTTTTAAAGGCAAGTTTGACTTTTGATTTTTAAATGACCGACTTTGTCGTAAAGTTTGGGATTAGGGTGAAGTGTTGCTGTTTTAGTCTGTGAGGGCTACCATAACAAAATATCACAGATGGAGTGGCTTAAACAAATTTATTTTGCAACGGTTCTAGACGCTGGGAAGTCCAAGAGCAAGGTGACTTATAGATTAACACCTTGCTGAGCACACTTATACCCTTCTTGTGTACATGCAGAGAGAGATCTGGTGTCTCTTCCTCTTGTAAAAATGGCACCAGCCCTGTCAGATTAGGGCCCTGCCCTTATGGATCTCATTTGACCTTTATTACTTCCTCACAGCCCTATCTCCAAATACAGTTACATGGGGGGTTGAGCTTCAACATATGAATTTTTTTGGTGAGGGGACATAATTTAGTCCATAGCAGTGGCCTTTTTTGAATGATGAAAGTATTCAGCTAGAATTGCAGTTTGTCCTTCTGCCACTTGGTGGTGCTGCGGTATAAAAGAAGCTGCACGGCTTGACCGAGTGACATTACCAGTTGTAAACCAGATGGTTATTCCATTCTTCATAGTTTATTAATGCCTCGTTTTTCCTTTTCATTTCCACTTGTATTAACAGATGAGGAGAGATTTTGTTCTAATTTTCTAGCTACTGATTAGACTTAGGCTGATGTTTTGAGCACTTTTTTTTTCTTGCATTTAAGTTACATACATTTAAGTTCTACCATGGGTGCTTACAATTTTAAGTTGCTAATAGCATTTTTATTTAGCTTATTATGGCATTCATACAGTTATATTAATGTTGTTATTTTAGTATAATTGGCATTCCAGAGGTGTTTTGTTACACTGTAGCAGAATTTGACACATCCTCAAACAGGGAAGGGTCTGTGGGCTAAGCCTAAAGCAGCAGTGGCAGACAAGCTACTTAGGGAGAAGGTGTAAGTAATTATCAATAGAGAGCTAAGAACAGACCTCTTTTTAGCAGACCTTTTTTTTGGGGGCAATCTTAATTAGTAATTTCCAATCTTCTATTTGACCTTTTGGCTCACCTTTGTTAATTTGACTATTTCTGGATAGTTTATTCAGTGAAATAGATTTAGGACTGTCAAAAGACAAAATCACAACAAATTTAAAGATTGCAATGGGTTTATTTGCAATTTTAGAATTATGCAACATTTTATTCCATAAAATAAAATGAGCATTCCAATGGCTGAGCAAAGGAGGTAGGCTTTAAAGACAGAAAAGAGCTGAGGAAAGCAGAACCAAAAACCAAATGTACATTGGCGTTTCAAAGTTAGTTTTCTTCTAAAGGTTAAAGCAGAGGGGACTTCCTTATCATGCTAACTGAAACTGGTCTGTTTTGGGATTTGGCTATTAGCTCTTTTTCTCCACATATCTTGAAGGTTAGGAGAACAACTTAGTTTTGGTTTGGTGACATGGAATGTTAGCATGAGTAATTCCATTTTGTTTAGGTCTGTTGGGGCCTAGTGTGGGAATGCAGTCCATACCGTGGCCTCCTATAAGTTCTATTTAACAGGACAAAGATGTTTTCTAGATATTGTCGAAGGCATAATAATCTCAATTGTATTTTTGTTGTGATTTGTGGTGAAACATCAACTTTCTTGAGAATAAGCGAATAATACTTAGCTGTTCACTTGTGGTTTCAAGATTTAATATATCGTTCCTTATTATTTGGCAAAGCAGTGTTTTAGTGTAATGAAACTGACTTTCATGTGCACTTATATAATTTAATAGAATTAATACAAAGCAACTATTGGTCAGTTTATTCTGCCTCTTCCTGTAGGCTTATAGGATGAAGATTATAGACAGGATTTCATTGTCTTTGTACACTGCTGCTCTTTGGGTTACACTTTTTCTTTTTCTTTTTCTTTTTTTTTTTTTTGAGACGGAGTCTTGTTCTGTCACCCAGGCTGGAGTGCAGTGGTGCGATCTCAGTTCACTGCACCCCAACCTCCGCCTCCCGGGTTCAAGTGATTCTCCTGTCTCAGCATCCCGAGTACCTGGGATTACAGGCGCACGCCACCATGTTTGGCTAATTTTTGTATTTTTAGTAGAGATGGGGTTTCACTATGTTGGCCAGGCTGGTCTTGAACTCCTGACCTCGTGATCCACCAGCCTTGGCCTCCCAAAGTGCTGGGATTACAGGTGTGAGCCACCGAGCCTGGCCCTTTGGGTAACACTTTAAAAAAAATTTTATTTGTGGATTTTTATCTGCTAACATTTGAGAAGTTGATACTCCTTCTGCTAGGAGAATTAAACGCTATATTATAATACAGCAATAGATTTGATTCACAGGAGGTGTGGTATAAAAATTTTTGTCTTTGGTGTCTGTTTATATATTTCAACTATTATAACTTTTTCCTGGCAAATATTTGATGAGAATACTTGCCTAATTTTACAGGCAAATCTGTTTTATCACTTTTAGAATTGATTGGACAGTTTGAATCTACCTCTTTTAGTGCTGGTGGCCCTTGCTGTTTTGCCTCATATTGTACTACTTCCTCCCTTGTAATTCTTAAGCTGTAGCCATTCCTGGCTATCTAAACAGAAGGCCTTTTTTCTTCTTGTTGGTTTGGCAAACTCCTATTTATCTTTTAAGTCCTAGCTCCAGTTTATCCAGCAGAATAGGCTGCTGTCCATAACCAAAGAAGACCATCCCCCAACTCTCAAAGACGTCTACTAAAGGCTGAGTTGGGCACTCTCCTCCTACCTCATAATACTTATATCATATTAAAATTTTTTCTGTTGTAGACTGAACTCCTTAAAGGGTGCTGCTTGCGTTATTCATTACTAAATTCACTGCCTAGAACAGTGCCTGTCATTTACTAAGCACAAAGTACATAGTTGAGTGAAAGCACTAAGAACTAAACATAGCTACGTGACCCCATAAAAATTACATTGAGGATGAGATAGTGTCGTATGTAGAGAAGAATAGATTAATTCAAAGAATAGACTTTAATGTTACACCATAGTTGCTATATTACTTTCGATAAATGTGTGTGCAGAGTTTTTTATTATTGCTGAATTATTTAAGAGTAAATTGCAAACGTAATGCCCCTTTGTCCTTAATTGCTTCTGCATGTATGTTTTAAGAACGAGGAGTTCTTTTAGGGCAATCACAGTGAAATTCTCAAATTCAGGAATGTAACATTGATATGGTGCTGTTTGTTATCTAATGGACAGTTCATATTCACATTCACTAATTGCCCATTATGATTCAGCAGTTCCCACCCATTTGCCTACCCAGGATCCAATCCATGCTTACTTGCTGCATTTGCATTTAATTGACACGTCTCTTCAGTCTCCTTTAATCTGAAACTCTTCCTTACTTTTTCTTCAGTACTTTCTTTTATTAAGCATCTAGTTAGATACTGTTGGTAACACAAAGATAACAGGCTCTGCCCACGAGGAATTCAGATTATACAATTTACTTTTAGCATAATTTCCAATTATGCAGATTCATATGACTAGCTATGTATACTTATTTCTGATTTTTGAGGCATTATTCAAAGAGCAGAGCTAAAGAAAATAACTATAAAACTAGAATTAAGAAACATATAAAAATTACTTTTTAAACCTTTTTCTGTTGTTTTTTTTTTGAGATGGAGTTTCGCTCTTGTTGCCCAGGCTGGAGTGTAATAGCATGATCTCGGCTCACTGCAACCTCCATTTCCTGGGGTTCAAGTGATTCTCCTGTCTCAGCCTTCCGAGTAGCTGGGATTACAGGCATGCGCCACCCCGCCTGGCTAATTTTGTATTTTTAGTAGAGACGGAGTTTCTCCATGTTGGTCAGGCTGGTCTCTAACTCCTGACCTGGTGATTAGCCTGCCTTGGCCTCCCCTTAGTGCTGGGATTACAGGCGTGAGCCATCGCACCCAGCCTTTTTTTTTTTTTTTTTAAAGACAGGGTCTTGCTCTGTCATCTAGACTGGAGTGCACTGGGATGGTGATCACGGTTCACTGTAGCCTGGAACTCCTTTGATCAAGTGATCCTCTCACCCCAGCCTACTGAGTAACTAGAAAAACAGGCGTGCGGCCGGGCATGGTGGCTCATACCTATAATCCTAGCACTTTGGGAGGCCAAGGCGGGTGGATCACCTGAGGTCAGGAGTTTGAGACCAGCCTGGCCAACATGGTGAAACCCTGTCTCTACTAAAAATACAAAAATTAGCTGGGCATGGTGACAGGCAGCTGTAATCCCAGCTGCTCAGGAGGCTGAGGCAGGAGAATTGCTTGAAACTGGGAGGCAGAGGTTGCACTGAGCCAGGAGCCCACCATTGCACTCCAGCCCGGGCAACAAGAGCGAAACTCCATCTCAAAAAAAAAAAAAAAAAAAAAGAAGAAGAAAAACAGGGGTATACCACCATGCCAGGCTAATTTTTATCTACATTTTTTTGTATAGATGGAGTCCCACTGTTGCCTAGAATGGTCTCGAACACCTGGGCTCAAGTGATCCTCCCTCTTTGGCCTCCCAAAGTACTGAGATTGCAGGTGTGAGCCACTGTGCCCAGTCCTGTTTTTTTGAAGTGCAATTACTGGTCTCGAACACCTGGGCTCAAGTGATCCTCCCTCTGTGGCCTCCCAAAGTACTGAGATTGCAGGTGTGAGCCACTGTGCCCAGTCCTATTTTTTTGAAGTGCAATTACTTGTCTAATACACACACACACACACACACACACACCCACACACCCTACCTGAGTTTTTAATATATTCTTGATCTTAATGGTGTCTTTGAAGACAGTTGCACATATTGATAGGTAAACTTTTAAGTAAACCAGCCTTAATTGTTAAAATTATAAATCCAAGCCATCGAGATTAATTTATTAATCAAAAACATTATTAAGCTCTATCTCAAGCAGTAGATTAGACCTTAGTTTCGAAGGAAAGGAAAACCAAAGCATCTGGACTTTTACTCTGATTGGAATGCTCAGACAGCTTGCATGAGTCAGTTCCACATCATTGATGATTTAATTACCTTACCTTCTGTATATAAATGTTAAGATTTGGAGAGTGGGAAATCTTGAAACCTCTATCACTAGCCTTCAGAATTTTATTCTGGGAAAGATATATAGTTTGTGTGTGTTTGAATGTCAGCAATCAGGTCTACAGTGGACTGGTTCTCTATATACCATACCACCTGTGGATACAGTATTAGAAACAATAGGGCACAAGAACTTTTTTTACATCTCATATGCATTTCTGTACCAGCCTGTCATTTCTAGAAATAGTAAATACAAGTCATGTCCCCTTTTTCTGAGTTTTTGTCTTGGGAATAAATTTTAATGAACTAGAGGCCTAAGAACTAAAATGAAAATTTCATCCAAATTTGTTGTTTCCAGGTCTTTGAAGAAACTGGTTTTGATATCAAAGACTATATTTGTAAGGATGATTACATTGAACTTCGAATCAATGACCAGCTTGCTCGTTTGTACATCATTCCAGGAATTCCAAAAGACACAAAATTTAACCCAAAAACTAGAAGAGAAATTCGGGTATGTAACAAGAGTATTTTCAGGTTACTGGACAGTATCCCAAATGAATAAGTAGGGAAATCCTTTTATAAGCTCCTTGATAAAAATTAACTAAATGAATTATTTTCTTCTGTGTTTCAGAACATTGAGTGGTTCTCTATTGAGAAATTGCCTTGTCATAGAAATGATATGACCCCCAAATCCAAACTTGGTTTGGCACCTAACAAATTTTTTATGGCCATTCCCTTTATCAGGTGTGTTCATATTTCTTGAAATGTAACTTTCATGATTGGGATAGTCATCTTCTGTCTGTAGCCATATTTTGAAAGTGAATTCTTAATGTTTCTGCAGACCATTAAGGGACTGGCTTTCTCGAAGATTTGGCGATTCCTCAGACAGTGACAATGGATTTTCCTCAACTGGTAGCACGCCGGCTAAACCCACTGTGGAAAAATTGAGGTAAAGAAATACATTCATGGAATCCTGATTTTCTAATAGTTTTTAAAAGTGGAATAATAGTATTTTGCTTCTAAAATTTGCAGAGGATGTAAGATTTCTTTTTATAGATACTCTTTGTTACTGGTCTCACAGATAATAGAAGATTTTTTTAAAGGGTTTCTGATGAGATGAAAAAGGTTAATTGGAGTTGGAAAGGAGCTTCAGGCACCTTTTAAAATAGTATACTCAAGAGGATACCAACTTTTTAGATAGAACACTAGGAAAGGAAAAAAAATCTTGTGTCGTGTGTTCTTAGTGTTACTTCTCTGTTGTCATATCCTACTTTTAAGATAATTGAGTTTCTAAAGACGTTTGGATGGAGGATATGTTGAGGTTTGTTTTCTTGTAGGGGAGAGGAAGGATGCTAATGTAGTTTGTTAAATTGGAGATAGAACAGTGAAGACTTGGGCTTTTAAAAAAATTTCCCAGCAAGGGACAGTGGCTCACGCCTGTAATTCCAGCACTTTGGGAGGCCAAGGCAGGTGGATCACCTGAGATCATGAGTTCAAGACCAGCCTGGTCAGCATGGTGAAACCCCATCTCTACTAGAAGTACAAAAATTAGCTGGGCGTGGTGGCAGGCACCTGTAATCCCAGCTTCTCGGGAGGCTGAGGCAGGAGAATGGCTTAAACCTGGGAGGCGGAGGTTTCAGTGGGCCAAGATCATGCCACTGTACTCCAGCCTGGGTGACAGAGTGAGACTCGGTCTCAAAAAAAAAAAAAAAAATTGTGTCAGAGATTGTGTATTATCAAGAGTGACTACTACCTGGACATAAACCGTGAAGAACATTTTCTTGCTTGGAACTTTTTGTTTGTTTTTTGTTTTTGAGGCAGGGTCTCTCTCTGTTGCCCAGGCTGGAGTACGTGGCATGATCACAGCTCACCGCAGCCTTGACCTCCTGGACTCAAGTAATCATCCCACTTAGTTTCCTGAGTCACTGGGAACACAGGCAGATGCCACTAAGCCTGGCTAATTTTTTCTTATTTTTTGTAGAGATGGGGCTCTCCCTATGCTGCCCAGGCTGCTGTTGAACTCTTGGGCTCCAGTGATCCTCCTGCCTCAGCTTCCCAAAGTTTTGAGATTACGGGCGTGAGCCACCATGCCTGGCCTCTGGCTTACAACTTAATTGCATCCAAGTCAGTTACAGAGTAGGCTGGGAAAGTAACTTTGTTAAATAAGGTTGTATTTTTAAACATAATATATATTTTAAGCATAATCACCTTGTTTACAAAGTTGCCTATGTTAGAGAGAGTTGATTTTTACATTTTCTGTAATTTGGATTTGCTTTTATGACAGAGCTTCAGAAATTAAATAGGAGTAAACCACCTCTATAGTAAGCATTTCTTAAATCAGTAGCATTCCATTTTAGATGGATATTCTGAGGACAGGAGCTTGGACTAAATGCCCTGATGTCTTTCAGAATCTGTTATTGTAATATTAGTCAAAAGCTGACTAATTCCTGACCTTGAGTGATCTACCCTCCTTGGCCTCCCAAAGTGCTGGGAGTATAGGTGTGAGCTACTGCGCTCAGCCTGCATTAGTACAACATTTTAATAGATTCTTTTGCAGAAGAATTCGAGACTGGATCTTTACTTAATTTGCTCATTCATTATCTTGTGCCCTTTAATTTTATACTTTAGAGGGTAGCTTACTTTCTCAGATCATCTTTCAGCTAGGATGTGGTCTGTAACTGACTTGTGCAGGGTCAAAAAATTAGCAGGGCATGGTGGCGTGTGTCTGTAGTCTCAGCAACTTGGGAGGCTGAGGTGAGAGGATGGCTCGAGCCTGAGAGGTTGAGGCCACGGTGAGCTGTGATCCTGCCACTGCACTCCAGCCTGGATGACAGAGGGAAACCCAGTCTCAAAAAGCAGGAAAATGTACATTCGTTTCATCTAAATTTAGATTTATAGTCTGCATATTTTTTAAGAGTACACTATAATCACTTATAGGGAGGAGATGGCCTGGATAATTTTTTTAAGTCTAGGATGAAAAAAAATAGTAGTGTATTAATTCATTCAAGAAATATTTATTGAATACCAGGCACTCATCTGGGTGATGAGGATAAAGCAGTGCAGATTAAAATCTCTGCTCTCATAGAACTTACATTCCAGTGGGGAAGATAGACAGTAAATAAGAAAATATGTAGTCTATAAATTTAACTATTAAGGTGTTAAAAGAACTATAAGTGAACATTTTCTGATTTGATTATTTTTTAAATCTTGGTGTAGTCGAACCAAATTCCGCCACAGTCAGCAGTTATTTCCTGACGGTTCTCCTGGTGACCAGTGGGTAAAGCACAGGCAACCACTGCAGCAAAAGCCATATAATAATCATTCTGAAATGTCTGACCTTTTAAAAGGAAAGGTGAGTGATACACAATTACAGTCTTTTCAGAAATTTAGATCATTTGGCTTTGAAATTTTTCTCAATTGGAGAATTACATCTTAATAGTTACAGAGAGCTCTGAGTTACTGATCAAAGCCTGTATGTTCCTTACTTATGATTTGAAGCAGGGCTGAGGCTTCTTAATGTTTACAGTTCCGGTGTAAATCCAGTTAATAATAAGAATTAGCATCTGACTTTTGTGTATATGCTGCCAATGAAAGGTTCATTTAAAAATAAGTCATAAGGAAAATATTTTCCAAATTAACACAAGTGGGATCTATTGGCTTTTGTTCAGGAAGAAAAAGTAACAGCGTATTGTAAACTTCGATTTTCATTGTTGTATTCGAGTGTATAATTACACTGCTATTAATACTTGTTTTCCTTTTTTCCACATGTTCTAAGCACCACAGTTTATTTATTCATAACACTGTTAATGCACATTTTGGTTGTTTCCAGTTTGGGGCTTTAACAAACAGTGCTGCTGTGAACATTCCTATACCTGTCTTTTGATGAATATACACAGTTCTGTGTAACTAAAAGGAAAGAAAAGTAGAATTATTGGATCACTGGATATGCCTGTGTTATTGAGTATCTATTTGCTAATTTACTCAAGTTATTTATATCCTCAGCAAAATACATGAGAGTTCTAATCGTTGCACATCTTTACTAATACTTGATGTTATTTTTTTAATTTCAGGTTTCAATGTTACTTTTTTTTTTTTTTTATTTTAAAAATATACTGGGCTTGGCCAGGCGTGGTGGCTCATGGCTGTAATCCCAGCACTTTGGGAGGCGAGGCGGGTGAATCACCTAAGGTCATAAGTTCGAGATCAGCCCCGACATGGTGAAACCCCGTCTTTACTAAAAATACAAAAAATTAGCTGGGCGTGGTGGCGGGCTCCTGTAATCCCAGCTACTCTAGATAGAGCCCGAGGCAGGAGAATTGCTTGAACTCGGGAAGCAGAGGCTGCAGTGAGCCAAGATCGCGCCATTGCACTCCAGCCTGGGCAATAAGAACAAAACTCTGTCTCAAAAAAAAAAGTGTGCGTGTGGGTGTGTGTGTGTGTGTGTAAACTGGGCTTGTCAAAATTAAACTTTTGTGCTTCAGAAGACATTTTCAAAATAGTGAAAAAGTAGCCCACAAAATAGAAGATATTTGCAAATTATATATATAAGGGGTTAATATCCAGAATATGTAAAGAATTCTTAGAACTCAACAACAACACAACAATCTAATTTAAAACTGGACAAATGACTTGAATAGACAGTTCTCCAAAGAAGATATGCAAATGGCTCAACATTATTAATCATTAGGGAACATTGTTAATAATTAGTGGTATCTCCACAGTGAGATATCACTTCTTACCCATTAGGATGGCTATAATAAAAAACAAAAAAACAGAAAACAAGTATTGGTGAGGATGTGGAGAAACTGGAGACCTTGTGCATTGCTGATGGGAGTGTAAAATGGTGCAACCGCTGTGGAAAAGAGTTTGGCAATTTCTCAAACAGTTAAACAGAGTTACCATGTGACTCAGCAATTCCATTCCTAGGTAATATCCAAAAGAATTGAAAGCAGGAACTTAAACAGATAACTTGTGTACCAATGTTCATAGCAGCATTATTCACAATAGCCAAAAGGTGGAAACAACTCATATGCCTGTCAACAGATGAATGGATAAACAATGTGGTGTATACACATAATGGAATATCATTCAGCTTTAAAGGAATGAAATTAAGAAATGAAATTCTGCCCAGGCATGGGGGCTCATACCTGTAATCCCATCTCTTTGGTAGGCTGAGGCAGGCGGATTATTTGAGCCCAGTAGTTCGAGACCCACCTGGGCAGCATGTCTCTACTACTAAAAATATAAAAAATGAGCCAGGCATGGTGGTGCACACCTGTAGTTCCAGCTGCTCAGGAGGCTGAGGTGGGAAAATCACCTGAGCCTGGGAAGTCAAGGCTGTGGTGGCGCCATTGCACTCCAGCCTGGGCAACAGGAGTGGGACCCTATCTCCAAAAAAAAAAAAAAAAAAAAAATTTCGAAGCATGCTACAATATGGGTAAACCTCGAGGACATTATGCTAAGTGCAATAAGCCAGACACAAGAGGATAAATATCGTATTAATGTTATTCCATTCCTAAATAGGCAAATTCATAGAGACACAAAGTAGAGATTACCAAGGCTAGAGGGAGGGGAGAATAGGGAGTTACTGTTTATTGGTTGCAGAGTTTTTGTTTGGGATGATAAAAGTTGGGGAAGTGGGTAGTGCTGACTATACTAAATGCCACTGAATTATACATTCACAAGTGGTTGATGTGGTAAATTGTATGTATTTTGTACCACAATTAAAAAACTGCTGGGAAGAGTGGAATGAAACTAAATTAAAACTGCGTAGTAACATGAGTCATTCAAAGCCATACTTCCTTCACATCACTTACTTAGGTTATTGTTTTCCAGCTATTTTAGCAACTGGTTATTTTTCCCTATAGGTTGGAATGTAAATTAACATTCTTATTTTATATATATATATTTTAGAAGTTCCTCCTATTTATTCTATTTTAGCCAGTCCTCAAATAGCTATCTTTTCAATATCTCAAACAACAAATTAATGTTTAAAATGTTCGTTTTAATTTAAACTTAAGAATTTTTTGGTAGGAAAATTATCTTAAAGCAATTTAATAGCAAGATTCAAACTATTGCATGTCTAAGTTTAGGAATAATGGCCCACATTTTAAAACATAAATCTTAGCCGGGAACGTTGGCTCACACCTGTAATTCTAGCTCTTCGGGAGGCCAAGGTGGGTGGATCACTTGAGGTCAGGAGTTTGAAACCAGCTTGGCCAACAGGGTGAAAACCTTCACCGTCCCTATTAAAAATACAAAAATTAGCCGGGCATGGTGGCATATGCTTGTAATCCTAGCTGCTTGGGAGGCTGAGGCAGGAGAATCGCTTGAACTTGGGAGGTGGAGGTTGCAGAGAGCCAAGCACTGTGCTCCGGCCTGGGCAACAAAGTGAGACTCCATTTAAAAAAAAAATAATAGTAATCTTTGTTATTTTGTAAAAATATAGTAAAAACTTTGTAAAAATTAATACTGCTTATTAATAATTTAAAGCAGATTTCTAGGGTAACAATTGATTACTACATCTACCCATTTTCTGCTTTAAGAACTGTAGCTAATGTCCCTCGGCATTCCTTTACAGAGAGGTTCCATTTATGCATTAGAAACGAGATCTATAAGCAGACATGGGATAAGGCAAGAGGTGTGGAAAGATTTCTTTCTTTCTTTCTTTCTTTCTTTTTTTTTTTTTTGAAAAAGAGATAGTCTCCCTCTGTTGCCCAGGCTGTAGTGCAGTCGTGCCATCTTGGCTGACTGCAACCTCCACCTCCTGGGTTCGGGTGACTCTTCTGCCTCTGCCTCCTGAGTAGCTGGGACTATAGGCGTGTGCCACCATGCCCGGATAAGTTTTTGTATTTTTAGTAGAGACGGGGTTTTGCTGTGTTAGCCAGGATGGTCTCATCTCAACCTCGTGATCCGCCCGCCTCAGCCTCCCAAAATGCTGGGATTACAGGCATGAGCCACTGCGCCCGGCCGAGGTGTGGAAAGATTTCTAGGGGCAAGTGTATTTGCTATTTCATACCTTTAGAGAACTCTTGCTTTGGGAAGCACTGACTTCTATAAGAAAATACATTGATAGGGTGATTAATGAAAATTTGGGTAGGAGAAGCTTTGCTAAAAACTTGGTTCAACCAGCTAAACATATTCATGGGGTATTTTTTTTGTGCTATTACATTATGCTATAGATTCATATTATATTTCTTTTTGGGAAAACAGAATCAAAGTATGAGGGGAAATGGCAGAAAACAGTATCAAGATTCACCTAATCAAAAGAAAAGAACAAATGGGCTTCAGCCAGCAAAGCAGCAGAATTCTTTGATGGTAAGAGTTATAGCTGTCACACTAAGTAGGCAGTTCATCCTCTGAAGAGTGAAACAAGGGCATTGCCAAAGCACAGGAATGTTACTTGTTTTGTTCTTATTTTAATTGATATACTAGTAGGATTTTTGTGTAGCTGACTTGTGCACTATTCACACTAAAAATCTCTGGCTGCTCTTAATTACAAATGTATAATGTTGATGCAATTGTACATCTAATTTTTTATGTGGCTGTTTATTTTAATATCAATGTGTACTCAAACCTGTTCTCTAGAGCAATTATTTGGCTATTGCTCCATGTTTTTCTAAATATTATTTCAGTGAGGGTAAAAGTTTGGGGGGATTTGACTATTTTTTTCTTCAAGTTGATAGAGTTTAGAAAATAAAAAAAACACAGCCAGTGCTATTGTCATTAGATTTTGCTTGATGACAAATAACAAAGCAGTTTTCTTTCATTCTTTTGTTTAGTCAGTCCTCCAAAAGTTAATTCATAACTCACAGTCTCCTGCGTTATCTTTTCTGTAAGTTCTGATATTTGTATATTAGGTTTTCTTATTGTAGCTTCACCTGTTTTTCATTTATTGGTGAGTAATAATAGTAATTTCAAATTTTTAGCAAAAATATTTTACCTGAATTCCCTGGGTATTTACTTAATTTGGGTTCTAATGACTCATTTGACTACTTTACCTTTATTATTTCTCTTCTGTCTGATAAAAGTGGTGACAAGAACAGAGAAGACAATCTTAGTAGATGATTAAAAGGCTTTTAATAAAATTCAACAGCTGTTTTTAACAAAAACTAGACAGATAACTTTTTTTTTTTTTGAGATTGAGTCTCTCTCTGTCACCAAGCTGGATTGCAGTGGCACGATCTCGGCTCACTGCAACCTCCACTTCCCGGGTTCAAGTGATTCCCCTGTCTCAGCCTCCTGAGTAGCTGGGACTAGAGGTGTGCGCCACCACCCCTGGCTAATTTTTTTTTGTATTTTAGTACAGACAGGGTTTCACCATGTTGGCCAGGATGGTCTCGATCTCCAGACCTCGTGATCCACCTGCCTCTGCCTCCCAAAGTGCTGGGATTACAGGCGTGAGCCACCGCTCCCGGCCGACAGATAACTTATTGATAATATTGTGCAAGTGTTAATTGTCCTCAAATTAATGTGTACATTTAATATGATACCAATAAAATTCTTTGTAGATTTTTTGGGAGAACTTCACAAAATACTCTCACATTTGTCTAGAAGAACTTTGAATAGATTTTTAAAAGTTGTTTAAGACGAAAGTTAATGACAGAGAGCAAGTATATGAGCAGTTTTTAAGAGAAGAAATAAAAGGGACTGATAAACATATCACAGTGTTAAACTGTATATGTGGTCAAAGAATGTAAATTGAAATGAGTTACATTTCTCCGATCAGATTGGCAAAGATGAAAAGAAGTAACCCAGTTGTGTATTGAGTGTATTGGTAACACATAAAAATTACTAATTGGTACAACCTTCTAGAGAGGACTTTGCTATATCAAAACCCTACAAAAGTGTTCACTTTTTCCCTAGAAGAGGAATCTAAAGAATGTTCACCCCCTTTATGATGAAAACGTGGAAAACAAATATTGAAGAAGATATTAAATACAGTATCGTAGATCTGTGCAGTGGGTTACCATCAAGTTGCTAAAAATGACAATGTACATTTATTGAAAAAGGAATTTCTTCACATTATATTCTATTTTTAAAGACTATCAGACACTAGTACATATGATATAATTCCATTTAAAGTTTGCAATTTTATGAAAAGATGTTAACACACATCTTCATAGGAAATCAGCTAGAAAAATATAATACTAATTAGCTCTGGGTTGAGAAATGTAATGAATAATCTTTTTTTTCCTTTTTTTTTTTTTTGAGACAGGGTCTCGCTCTGTCGTCTAGAGTACAATGGCACGTACATTGTTTACTGTAGCCTTGAACTTCTGGGCTCAAGCCATTTTCTTGCCTCAGCTCTTTTTTTTTTTTTTTTGAGACAGGGTTTTGCTCTGTCACCCAGGCTGAAATGTGGTGGTGCGATCTTGGCTCACTGCAACCTCCACCTCCTTGGTTCAAGCAGTCCTCCCATCTCAGCCTCCAGAGTAGCTGGGACTATAGGTGCGTGGCACCACACCCTACTAATTCTTGTATTTTTTTTTTTTTTTTTTTGGTAGAAATAGGTCTCACCATGTTACCCAGACTGGTCTTGAACTGCTGGGCTCAAGTGATCCTCATGCTCTGGCTTCCCAAAGTGCTGGGATTACAGCTGTGAGCCACTGTCTCTGGCCACCTCAGCTAAATTAGTTAGCCCTGGCTGATTTTTATGTTTTATAAATAAAGTATGTTGGGAGGTGATTTTGCTGGTCTCAGACTCTTGGCCTCAAGTGATCCGTTTGCTTCAGCCTCTCAAAGTGCTAGGATTACAGGCATGAGCCACCACACCTAGCCAATACTTGTCTATTTTTTTGATGTCTTTATAATGTGTATGTATGTAATCAAGAACTAAAAAAAATTTTAGGTGTGAAAAGTAAATACAAAATACAAAAATACTGGTGAGAGAATGGGATGATGATTATATTCCTGGTTCAGTTTTTCTTCCTGAGAAATTTGATAATACATCTTTTGATTTTTAATAAGTGAAATAACTGGTGACTGTGTTGTATGTGTGTGTGTGTGTGTTTTTTTTTTTTTTAAATAGAAGTGTGAAAAGAAACTTCATCCACGGAAACTTCAGGATAATTTTGAAACAGGCAAGTCATTTCCTATCTTTTTATAATCTCTGCCTTGTGGGATTTGGTTTGGTTTACCTAACTTTGATTTTAGTGGGAGTATGTGATCTGTGATAGTTAAGCAGGAAGAGTTGCATATGTTCTGTAGAAAGAGTTCATGTATGTAGAGTTCTCTAAGAAACTGGCTGAAACAAATTCATTTAGATAAAATTACTTGCCTTCAGACTGTGCCGTTTCTTTTATGAATGTTAAGCCTTAGTGCTATGCGTGAATATTTTAAATACGTAAATAATTGCATAAGGATTTGGGGAGAGTAGAAAGAATCCAGTATTGTAAAGGCTAGGAAACCTCACTCTCAGATCTATATAAGGGGTGCACTGACTTTAGAAGGGGAACATTTTGGGGAGGTAATCACTGTGGTTCTTCCCATACACACGTTAGTAAATTTGTATGCCTTTTTTCCAATTAAAAGGAACATTTTTCCCTCTTTTGGAGGCAGTGTTCAACTTTTTAAGGTGATACTAAGTATGAGTTTTATTAAAGATACTTGCAATTTCTCCTTCCTCGGTTATGAAAACTAGGTGTGTTGTCTGATTCGGAAAGTAATCCTGGTGAATGTAGAAAGCTCTTTGTTAAATACTGATTTAGTAGATGATACTTGGAAGTGCAGTAGACTTTTTTCTTAGGTGCTATTTTGAATTGTATGAAATTTCCTGTGCAGTAGATACTCATTTATTCACCATCTAAATTTAAGGCTTTCATATAGAAAAGCCTAAGAAATGAAAAAGCATTATCATATTCTTTTTCTGTAATACTGTCTGTGATTTAAGCAAGATAATGCTATTTTGAAAGAGATGCCTTAACCCTATTATGGAAAGTTACTGTTAACTGTGAAGAAAGGAACTATCATTAGAATTTAGTTTGATACAGTCCCACTTGTTTATTTTTGTTTTTGTTACCTGTGCTTTTGCGGTCATATCCAAAAAAAAGTCATTGTGAAGATGGGCATCAGAGAGCTTTTTTCCCTGTTTTCTTCTAGGAATGCTACAGTTTCGGGTCTTACATTTAAGTCTTTCATCCATTTCAAGTTCATTTTTATGTCTGGTATATGATAAGGATCCAGTTCTTTTGCATGTGGATATCCAGTTTTCCCAGCACCATTTATTGAAGGGTCTATTATTTCTCCTCATTAGAGTTAGTATAGAAAAGTTATGGGGGTATAAGTCTTCTTAATAGGATTTTTTTCTGGCCACCTTGGGTGGTGGGGACATGTTAGGTGGATAGTGAAATCTAGTTAACATATATTCAGAAATTAGTTATTTCACAGAATCTTTTAAAAGCCGTATATTCAGGGACATTAAAAAAGGTACACCATGCCAGCCTGGGCAACATAGCAAGACTCTTGTCTCTACAAAAATTAAAAATGAGCCAGCTGTGGTGGCACATACCTGTAGTCCCAGCTACTTAAGAGGCTGAGGCAAAAAGGTCACTTGCGCCCAGGAGGTTGAGGCTGAAGTGAGCTGTGATTATCACTGTACTCCAGTTTGGGCAACAGAATGAGACCATCTCGAAAAAAGGGGCAGCATACTATAACTTGGTATATCGATCTTAGTTGGGCATTATATGAATATATAAAATTTTGAGTTGTCTTGAGAAGTGTGAAAGGATTCATGTCCTGGGAAGCCTCATCCTCATTTCAGACTTTCTTTCTACCCCAGCCTCTTGATGTCTATTCCAAACCTACTTTCTGGTCAAGTCCCTGATCTGTTTAAAAGGAGGGGGGAAAAAATCCCAGATAAATTGGAGTTTTGTTGTACTATGATTTGGAAAATTTGGATTTTTCTTTTTTTTCTTATTTTTTTCTTTTGTTTTTTTGAGACAGAGTCTTGCTGTGTCACCCAGACTGGAGTGCAACAGCACGATCTCAGCTTACTGCAGCCTCCGCCTCCTGGGTACAAGTCATTCTCCTGCCTCAGCCTTCTGAGTAGCTGGGATTACAGGCGTGTGCCACCATGCCTGGCTAATTTTTGTATTTTTAGTAGAGATGGGGTTTCACCATCTTGGCCAGGCTGGTCTCGAACTCCTGACCTTGTGATCTGCCCTCCTTGGCCTCCCAAAGTGCTGGGATTACAGGTGTGAGCCACCATGCCTGGCCAGATTTTTCTTTATGGTGATAAATTCCTGGAAATCTTGGTAAACCCCAGCTTTATTTTTCTGTAACAGAATGCACATAAAATAGGTAAAGCACATACAGGAGGTAAAGTTACGCTCATTTTGAAAGCAAAGGAATGTCAAGGGTCTTAATGGCTGAGATTAAGATTTTGAATATGTGGAAATAATAATAGATTGAAAATGCAGTTGACCACCAGTTTATGGAAAGGAAAATACATATTTTGGTGGTTCTGTTTAGGGTTAGAGTCTGGGAAGATAAATATATACTCAAAACTAATTGTTTTGTAACAAAAGGCAAAGGGCAGTATTTGATTTCTTACTAAGGTTACTGAGCTTATTTATTTTGTTTTTTCTTTAAACAGATGCTGTATATGACTTGCCTAGCTCCAGTGAAGACCAGTTGCTAGAACATGCTGAGGGACAGCCCGTGGCATGTAATGGACATTGCAAGTTCCCCTTTTCATCCAGAGCCTTTTTGAGTTTCAAGTTTGACCATAATGCTATAATGAAAATCTTGGACCTTTGATAGCAGCACATGTATTGTAAATGTCCCAGGATCAGAGACCTGTTGAATTTGAGTGGGTGTCTCCTCAAGCCTTACCTTTCTCAGGTGTTTTAAAGAAATGCAGGGAGGCAATGTTTCTGAAGACATTTTCTGTTTATAAGAGAGTAGAAAGAAACACGAGTTTGCACTGTAAATGCAGTTATAACCTTTTATACAGATTTACCTTTTCAGTGTTCAGTACAAGTTTAAGTTGCTTTCTTTGAGGGCATTTATTCTGTGTGACTGTGGGTTTTATTTTGTATTCTGGTTAAGAAAATAATGTATTGAGTTACTGTCAAGTAGCCAAGTTAATGGGAATGCTCCATCTACCTGTTACAGTGATTGCAATAATAGTATATTGGAGTTTTTCAAAGAAACTTAAAGTAATGCCCAATTATTAAATGAACACAAGAGCTGAGATGTCACATTCGTCAGCATTACAGGTGATCTATTTTGGTGGCATTTTGTACTTCTCTCTGCTTCTAACCACTGAGGCTCTCTAATCTTCCTCTGGAGTTTTAGTGAAAGGATTTATTGAGCAGCTTCTGGAATATAATGTGCATGTCCAAAATGAACTCAGCGCTTCAAAAGGACAAAGTCTGTAGCCTGGAGGGGCTTGAGTGGATGGGAGCTGATGCTGTGATTTTGAGCTGTGGTTACATGCAGTCAGTAAACCTGTGAGACTGCTGGAGGAAATGTAGCAGACAGCATGGAGGCTGGGACCCAGCAGCTACTTTGGGTCATGTCTTTACTGTCCTGCCTCCAACCCTTTAGTCTCGTAGACTTTTGTTCTTGTGGAAATTTCTTCTGTATTCCAGTTGTGTAAATATGTATGGAAAACTGATATTACTAGGTTTTACGTTGCATCTCCAGTATTGATCTTTGGAAACTGATGTTACATTAGGTTCCAATTCGCAATAGTAGCAGAGACTGACATGCTTTTATTGACCTGCTAAGCCCCTGGATGATGGAGCGAGAAGGGAAGGGGTATGCAGTTTACCCAAGTCCAAATAAAGCATTTCACTAGGTTACACGTTATGTATATGTGTTACATAACAGTAACATACATAACTCACTCCTAGGAATGTATTTTGCTTCAGGATTTTTAAATTCAAATAAGGATGGCAGTGCCCATTTTAAGGAGGATTTCAGCTATAACTGAGGACAATCACCAGGGCGTTAAGGGGGCTTTAGTGTTTTGGCTGCATCTGACCTCATTGAAGGAATTTCTTGGGAGTCGGGGGTGTTTGAGTATATGTGTGTGTGTGTAACTATCATGTGGGTTTTAAAAATCCTTTTTTACAGTGGTATCCACAAAATACTTCTCTGCTTATAAATGTTATTGTAGAAATCTTTATTCTGTGTAGGTAGCCTATTTAATTGGGTTCCACTGAACCTCATGGGACTTTTAAAAGAAGGGCTATTTAAGGAATTCACTTGGTAGTACTTTGCTTTAGCTTTTAAATGGCTTGATTTTAAAGGAGAAATTCTATTTATTAATGAAAGTGTCACCCTTTTGGTGCTAAGCAGGAGAATTCACAATTAAAGCAGTGTGTATAGAATTATGATATTCAGAATCCTGCATCTTTTAATGTGACAAATTTTTGAATCCTGTGACTTTTGCTTTTTAATGCATTATATGATTGTGTTTGGAAGCTTTTACTGTTCTTTTCAGAAATACGGCTGCTTTGCTTGGGTCTCTTCGAGCCATATTTATAGTTGGTCCCAGCATTCCAGACTTCTGGTAAATTGTTAAAGGAGTGAAAATGTAGTTTGCCTGGCAGATGAATAATTTTCACTCATTTATTGTCTTCTGGAAACCATTTAACTTTTACTGTTTTTTATTTTTTTGGTATGTGTTTTTTTTTTTCTTTTTAAGTGCATACTTTGGCCAGTCTTCCTGGTGCCTGTAGAGTTGGATTTTTCAGCTCTCAATACTGAAGCAAAAGAGATTATAGTTACCAGAAGTATGGCCTCTAATGGTGTTGAGCCTTTTCAAGAACCAACAAATTATCTTTGTGATTACAGTAGTTTAACTATGGTTAAATGTTACTGCTGTTGCGCTGCTTTATTTAATGCACTGTGGAACAAAATATAAGGGTACTGTTGGGGTGTGATTATGATAACTTCAGGCTTTTAGCTCTCCTCAAAGTTTGAGGTTAAAAAAATGTTAAAAGATGTGAGTTAAAGTTTATGTGTGTGATGTGACTTAACTATGCAGAAAATATTTAAGTTGGATGTACTTGTTTTAGGTACATCTACTATACTTATTCTCTCAAACCTGGGTAATAGTTTCTCAGTGTTCAGGTTACCTTGAGAAAGGCCATGCTTAGCGAACTGGATTTCTCCTTTGAGAAATTTTAGTATGGTTTGAGGAAATCAAGTGATAAAGGAGTATGCTGAATATGCAATCATTTACTTCTACTGAGTGCTGCATTTTAAGATGCTAGATGAGAAGAGTAGTTGGTTTTGCTTCATTATGTTTTATGTCTTTGAGAGAGATACAGGTCTTGGAATTCACTTTTTAAATGTTACGTTCCAACCTTATATGTTCCAAGGTGCAGTGCACTGTGAATCTTTTATTTTTAAAAAAATTTGTAGGTGCTTTTATGTATAACTTTAATGATTTATAAGATGCTAAATGAATTGTTTTTGTACCTAACCATTGTAATCCAAAAGATAAGGGTGTGGTTTACATGCTTTTCAAAAATTTTTGTTAAGAAGTAGCAAATGAATGGTTTAGGATTTCAAATAGTGATACCCTCCTGAGACATGAGCATTTGGAGAGGCCTGAGAACCTAATAGAACTCATATAGTGTGAGTGAAATTTGATTAAAGATGTTGGAAAATGAAGTTGGATTTTTGTATTCATGTATAAAGGAAAGTCTCCCAGTGCTGTCAAAGGAATTGTGGTTACTACTTGCTGTTCTGAGCTTTGAATATCGTTATTTTTCTATTAAATATCAATTAGTAAGTATAGCTAATGAAGACATATAATGAAAGTAATTTTATGCTGTAAGATTGAATTGGTACTTTTCCTTATTAAGGCTTTAGTAATTTGTATGTAATGTCAAATAAAAGGAATTCAAATCTGAGTAAATAACAGCCTCCTACTATAGGAATTAGATTCTTCTATAAAAGTCACCATATTGTATCCTATAGAAAAGTTAAGGTCTGAGTGCATGTGTGCATTAAAAACATTTCACTACCTATTCTCTCATGGACTTCTCATCCTTTCTTTTTTCATCTCCAACAGTTAAATGGTAAGGAGAGCAAAGTTAATTATAAAAATTAGACATTTTGCCAAGTTAGTTTTCTTACCACAATACCCTCTTGGCTTTTTTTTTTTTTTTTTTGAGATGGAGTTTCACTCCTGTTGCCCAGGCTGGAGTGCAATGGTGCAATTTCGGCTCACCGCAACCTACGCCTCCCGGGTTCAAGTGATTCTCCTGCCTCAGCCTCCCAAGTAGCTGGGATTACAGGCATGCGCCACCACGCCCTGCTAATTCTGTCTTTTTAGTAGAGACGGGGTTTCTCCATGTTGGTCAGGGTGGTCTCTCTTGGCTTTTTATCTTTATTTTTGTACCAGTGGACCTTCCTGCTCCCTGAGACTGTTTTGATTGACATCTTTTGTGTTTCTATATTTTCCGAGGCAGTATTTTCTTTGTATGTTAATCATAGTTATAGTAAAGTCAGACTCATTAACTTTTCTTCCTAGTAATTTTGACTTGGATTATTTTCTAGCCTGGGGGATGGGGTTCATATGTGTTGTTGTAACTTTAGATTACTAAACAAAACAAACTGTTTTTTTGTTTGAAGGTATCCTTTACATACCTGTCTGTAGGTAAGCAAGTGTTAGTAAAAACAATTTTGTCAAACAGTACTCCTGACAGCTTGGTAAAGTCTAGGTAGAGTTTCTGATTTTGTATTATGTCCTAAGACTTGAAAGTGCATTTGTCTAGTTGCCAAAAGTTCTAAAAATGAGATGGTGGGCTTTCTCAGCATCTTTTTGCTTCCTAGAATTGAGTTGCTCTTGAAGTCTGTACTCCTGTGTCAGAAAGATGGCAGACTGCAAATGGGCAGTACAGGCTTTGCCCCATGCTTTCAAAGTAGGATTCTGGATTGCAGTTTCAAAAAAATATGATAGATTATTGTTATAGAATCAAAGTGTCCTGAAGGGAGAAGAATAGCTATAGTTGCTGGGCAAAGAGTGTAAGAAAGAAACTTTAGAGCATTTATCAATACTTGAGTGCTTTATTATGTTCCAGGCTAGAAATGTGATCATTGCATGGCCTAAGTGTAGTCATTCATATATATATGAATATCTATATCTATATCTATACATATATATGTATCGCCATTATCGAGTGTTTTCTAGCCCTGGATAAAGTTAATTTTTTTGAAGTTTGATTGCCAAGCAATCCAGTGAATCTAAAGTAATTTTTCTCACTTTAAAGACCAGTGATGAGGAGTCTGGTCCTTCCTGTACTGATACTGTAGAACTCCAGTCAAACTTCAGTGCACTGCTTTCTTACAGGAAGACAACTCAGAACACACAGCCATAATCTGCTTTGGTGTCAGTCACATCACAGTGGTTATACATTTGTCCTGAATGGTGATTCATTCCTTTCCATCTAACTTCCTTGTGACAAATAGCATTTACTATTGAAATAGTCTTAAAATAGGGAAAAGAGTGAAAGTTACTCTTATGCATGGGAGTGGGCTTAAAGGGTTGACTTCCACCAGCTGAGTACAAACAAGTGTAAAGAAAAACTATGATAAAGTATGGAGGTCTTGAGAATTGTTCATAATGAAATCTTTAATCTGGGTTATCAGAGTAATGAAATCACCAATAAAAACATTCCATTTATCTTGGATCTTCTGTGGTTAGCAGAGGAGTATGGTCTAGCTATGTTAGCAGCTTGAAGGCACAACGTAAAAGGAATGAGCTTTCACAAGGTGCTTACGTTAGCTGGGTAGTATTGGTCAAAGGTACTCTGAAGAGTGAATGCAGAAATCAGTTGGCTGTGTTTGTAATCTTGTCCCACATGGACCCTAACCTTTAGTAGACTTCAGTCTTTTAGTCCAGTAGAAGACAATGGCCCTGAATATGTGTTTTCTGCTTTTTGGTGGAAGGTTTCCTGCAGGTGGTTGGGTGGTTTTTGGGTTATTGGCTACTGTTCGTTCAGTGCCATTTGAAGACCTGTTGTTTCTTAATCCTTTTTCTTGGTGTGACTGGCCAGGAAAAAGTCCATTGAGTCCTTTTTTTCTCCCTGGTGTCTTACCCCTTCTGTAGAATAATCCATATTTTAAAATTTGTTTCACATCTTTATAGCAAACCTGCCACAGACTTGCAAGCAGTGATTTTATCTTTCCTTCCTGAGAAGGTGATCTCACTTTTGATGTTTGGGTCACCTGTGGACACCTGTGCTCTTTTGAGTCTCAAGGCTTATAGCTTTCACATTGGCTTGGGAACAACAGACTTGTGTGTGGTTCTAGAGTGAAATGGGCAGTGTTCTGCTGGTCCTCAGTCTTTGAGAGGTCTTAGGCAACATCCTTAGTATAGTGGAATTTCTGAGGTCAAATTTAACATTTAATATATTCTCCTTTTAGTTCATTGAATCTGAGGTTCTAAATCTGTAGCTTCATTTTGAGCACAAGTCTGCATTGTCATTTTTTAAGAGATTGGCAGGCATATCCTTTTGTGATACTTAGGAAAAGACTATGGATGGCAGCAAATGAAAGTAAAGGTTCTCAACTGTGAATGAAATTTAGAAAGATAATTCTTCAGCAGTTGGTTGATTAGATGGGTTAGTGCTTTTGGAATATATAACAGTAGACTTGTATTCTTTATGCACTATACATATGATACGCACTGACAGAAAAGCACAGAAGACATACTGCTAAGAGTTTCTTTGTGCATTTCACTACTGTTCTAGGGGACTGCTGTCTCTTTGGTTCCTTTTAGGTTTGTGTTAGGATGTTGCACAAGTAATCATTTAATGTTAAATGCAAGTGTCCAAAGAAATGAGTCTTAAAGTTCTTTGGTCATATTTCACTTTAGAGTTAGGACAGGAGACAGCTAACCTGACTTCCATTTTACAAATATTAGAAACTTTTTCTTCAGTAACAAAAACAGGGAAGGACAATAAAACCATGAACTATTTTGCTTTATGTCTGTTTTTAAAAAATAATTGTTTTGAAGTTTGCTTATTAGCTTAATACCTTATAGTACTTTTAAAAAATCATCCTTGGTAATTATTGACTTATCCTAGATCCATGTACAATTCAGACTTTTATCTGTTAGCTTTAATAAAAATTTAAAACCATCTCATTTCAGAATAAAATAAACGGAATTACAGTTCATGCATTAGCATTTTTAAGTGAAGTTCTCTTAATAAGATTGCCTTTTGTCTAACCGAAATAGGGCATACAGATTAGTTTGGATGGGAAAGTGGTAAGACTTGACTTTTTAATACTGTGCCTATTTCCAAAAGAAGACTTGATGTGGCTTTTTACATTATGCTTTAAAGATGTTAATGGAGGATACATAGTCTTAAAACAATTTGTTTGGGAGTAAGTTTTAGTCGGAAAAAGGTGAAGATATTTATGCTGAGTTATGTTAAGCAAATTATTTTGAGACCTTTTGCTGGTAGACAAAAACTGAGGAAATGTTTCACTAAATATATTATGGTCAATGAAAAAACCAGACTTTAGAGTAAATGTGATAACCAAGTAGATTTGTGAACTTTATTTCTTTAGTAATTATTTTTATCTTATGTGAAATGATTCAACCTTTAATTTTTGCCTAGATTATAGCAATGTTTTGTTTTACCTTATAGGGCATTTTAATGCTTGGAGAAAGACTATAAGTGAATCTACTTCAAGGGATTCTGTTCATGGTGGTATACAGTTCTTGGTGCTCTTTTGGAAATTGTCAAACATTTACTGATAGCAGAAAAGGAACCCCAAAACACCTGTAGTGTTCACCTTGTTATAAGAACAGAAACATTTGGAACAGGTTTCATTCTGTTTCTAGATTTATGTTGTTGTAGTTGAACAGCAACTGTTTTTTTCCCTCAGTGTTAACGAAAGGATAAAGACTACCTGTATTGTTGGGTATGACTATCAAAGGATTTCCGGTGATTCATGTTTGTGAATTGGAGTTTAAATGTTTGCAGGATTACTGTACTTCCAAAGACCCACTAGAATGTCAGCTGTACTCTGTACTCTCCACTGAGAAAATGAACAAAATCCTATGTCTTAACAGTTATGCTCTAACTTTTTGAAAGCTTTTTGATGTAAATAATAGGTTAGAAACTAAAAGCCTTTTAATCTTACAAAATACAATTTGAACGATGGAAGGTTGTTCAGATACTGGCTTTCTGTAAAAACATCATTGTGTTAGATTGTTTGTAATGTACTATCAATAAAATTGGCTGCTTGGGCGGTTTTAGTTACCACCTTAGCCTGGTTTTCTGCTACTGTTATTTATCATCGTAGGTTCTGAGTTGCTCATTGTGGTTGCTCTTTGGACCAATAAAAATGGCAAGTATGAGATGAACATGATAAAAGTATGTTTATATAACAGGAAGAAGCTGGGCGCGGTGCTCATACCTGTAATCCCAGCACTTTGGGAGGCTGAGTTGGGTGGATCACGAGGTCAGGAGTTCGAGACCAGCCTGACCAACATGGTGAAACTAAAAATTCAAAAATTAGCTGGGCGTGGTGGTGCGTGTCTGTAGTCCCAGCTACTTGGGAGGCTGAGGCAGGAGAATCTCTTGACCCCGGGAGGCAGAGGTCGCAGTGAGCTGAGATCACACCACTGCACTCCAGCCTGGGTGAACAGAGCAAGACTCTGTCTGGAAAAAACAAAAAACAACCAAAAAAAAAAAAAAAAAACCCCCAGGAAGAAATATTGTCGAGAGTCTCTGCAAAAATGAAAATACCTCAAACAATTAAGTTTGTTGCTTTAAAGCAAGATTATAGTGTAGGGCTTGAGATGTGAATTCATTAGATATTTAAAATCCAGCAATTCTTAAGTTTGTGCTAGAATCAGGTTTTGCAATAGGAATACTTAACTTTGGATCTCAAGGGGGAAAGAAATACATTCTTTTCCATTAGAGACCTCAGCTATATGATAGTAACTTTTATTTTAAATTCTCAAAAGGAGAGTGACTAAGGTGTTATACTTACTGTCAAAGTTACTTTGCTTCCATAGTGAAAACTTGAGAACATTGTAATCTTTCTCTAACAGATGTGTTGCAAAGCTGCTTGCCATCTTGTTGTCCTATATGACTTCCTTGCATTTCCAGTCCTTGATTACATTCCATTTTAATGATCTTTCTTTAAGAGGGGAAAAGACTCTCTTCAATAGATAACTTCCTATTTATGCCAAATTTTAAAAAGCCAACTAAAAATGGGCTATAAATGAGGGTTCTTTGGCCATTTTGATCTAATAATAGTCTTACTTCTAGACCCCTGCTTTGACTAGGGCTCTTGATTTCATGTAAGCATCATGGATTTGATATTTGCCTGCATGTATATCACAGTTCTACAGAAGGATAGCCTTACCCTTTAAATAACACAGTTAAGGTACACTGTGGAATTAGAAATATTTATTCAGAATATAAGAATGTTTGTAAAATATTATAAATGTCTCTGTATAAATAAATGGAGTTTTTAAAAAACAATTCTATATCAAATAACGCAAAGTAGCTATTTTACAGCAGCTAAAACTAAAGGCATCTGGAAACATTTAAAGAATACAAGTGGAGAATCTAAAAAATTACAAGGTATAGTACAGTGTTAAGTAGCAATTTTAAAATGAGACTTTCAGTACAAACAGTAGAACAATACTGACAAATGCAAACTTAGTCACATGTGCTTTAATAACTGACAATACATTCAAGCAGGTTTTTCTAATTCAAGTGTATAGCACATATTCAAATAATAGGAAACAAATCTCATGCAAAGTAAATAAATCTTGATGTCTAAAAACTGATTAGAACTAGAAAAGAAGTGGACATGTTTTATTATCTTTGCATTACGTTCTAACAAAAGCAGATTATCAGGGGCTCTTACTCACTTGCCATTCCTGACATGAGCACTATAAGTGAATACTATGAGTTCTACAAACAGAACATTTTTCCACATGAATTTGACTTGCAAAAAGTGCAAAAGGGAATGGTAGAACCAGAATTACTAAGTACGGCATCAGTGTGAATGTGGGGGAAATTTGTGTATAACTTGCTTTGTTCTGCTGAGCTGATATTTCACCTGATTAGCAGATGGATGACTGTGGAAAGATGAAGTACTAGTCAAGGATGTGGTTTTACATAGCAGTTGCTATTTCCGGGACTGAATGATTTCTTCCTCTTGGTCACATGCAAAATCTCACCCAGATGTAATGTGATAAACAAACAGTTTACCCAGTGTAACCTTTAAGCAAAAATGTATGGTGATCTGCATGTGAAACTGTCTTTCTCTACACAGGTATTAGCAAAACAAGAATACATGAACAGCTGCTATCAACTTGTATACTTTTTTTCCACTTGTTTATATTTTAACAGCCACTGAGAGATCAGTGATGCTGTGGTGACAGCAGTCAGCATTATTTCTTAGAGAATACAAATGTATTAAGTTAGAGTAATTTCAGGTGTGTTAAACAGGAGATGCTTCTGAAGGCCACAAGTTTGGAGCTTACTTTAACCTGACCTACATGAACATAAGATTTGTAGGATGTGGATAAACTTTAAGAACTGGATAGTGAAGGCGTAACTTTTGTTTTGTAACCAGTTACGCCTCTTCTGTAAACTCTATAAGAGTGCTCAAAGGTGAATCAAACTTGTATATCATTCCTTGTCAAATAGGCTGTTCCCACTGGATAAGAAAATTTGCTGTATGTTTTCCTGAAAAATTTTATAGTGTTCTACAAAGCCATCACCTTCTGCAGAAAAAAAATGTTACTTATGCTCCACCTCCCCAGCCCTCACTAAAAACTTTGGTAGCCCTATGGCGGTACCCTAATTAAGGTCAGTGCAGAAATCTCAACCATTACAGAAGTCTCTTACTATTTTGGCTCTCAAAATACTCTAACTAGTAGCTCTGTTTGCTGAATCTAGAAGTAGGTAGAGCTGTAAATAGTTTAATAGAATGATTGGGACATACTCCCAATTAAGAATTTGCAAATTGTTTAAAGCCTTATGGAGGAAAGGACACTTTCAGAGATGTTTATTTTTTAATAGTCATCTTGATATGTTATCACTTTAAAGCTTGATAATCGAAACTCTTGAGAGCTATTAAGGTTGACTGATAGACTTAAAAAGTGATTGCTTTATAATTCTCGTGGGCCATAGGAAACACCTTCAGAAGGGAACAAGCAACTATGGAGGTTCTTTAATTCATGCCAGGGACACAGGCAGTCCAATCTTGATCGGGTAACTACGGTGCACTTTTTTCTCATTTAAAATAATCTAATCTGTATCCAGTTAGGAACCAGAAGACTTTCAGATAGTTTCATGTTTTCCTTAGAGTGGTAACTTTCTTTACTACTCCTTAACAGCTTTTAAGAAAAAGCCTATGGGCTCTAATTTGGACTTCCTTTTGGAGTAGAATGTCAAGGCTCTGACTTAGAAGAGGTCCCTCTAAAATATTGCTGCAGGCTCAGAGAAGACTTAGTGCATGCATCTGAAAGGAGAATTAAGCAATTTTAAAAGTTAAGTGCTAGTTAAACATAACATTTGTTTCAGGCAGCATGGATATTAACTTCAGAACGCTGACAAGCCAGCCGATGAGGATGAAAGTTTCAATAAGGAATCATACTGTTCCCCAGTCCATGACAGATTTTTGTAGCTGGTAAGCTCACACTGATGGCACTCGCAACTACGGACAGAAGTCTCTTTTGCTTGTGATTTGCACAGTTGGTTTTGTTTGCCTCAGTCCAACAATGGGAAATATATTCCAAGGGAACTGTGAAATGGGTCCTTTGGCTCTGTGCCCATTTCTTCAAAAGCCAAAGACTGAATTCTGAACAGAGATGGTTACTGACTAAAAGGGGGTAACCACTGAGGAAACTAGGGAGAACAATTCAAAATACGAAATCTGAAGGTTTTTAACCTCATATAAATTAGAATCAAGATCATTGTTTACCCTCATTGGAGATGTTTGTTAGAGAAAAATTCAGGTAGCGCCAGGTTATTCACAAAGGAAAATTACCCAGGAACCTGCAAGCATTTAATTTAATCAGTATAGTTTAGTTCAGTAGCTCCCACAATTAGCATAATCAAGTGCCACCTAGTTCACCTTCAAGGATTGTGTCTTGGGGAGTATTTGAAAAATACAAGAAAAGGAAAAACTTTTATAGCTTTTTTATTATACATATTTATAAAAAATTAACACTTTTGCCTGCAAAATAGTTTTTACCCAAATCACATTTGAAAGTACTAAAACTAAGGTCAGGTAGCATGAGTAAAACTGGGGCCCTTAACAGGAGCTGGAGCCGCCTCTGCCTGGGGGAATTCTCAGAGAAGGGGAGGTTCTCTGATTTTACCTGGAGCAAGAATGGAGACAGAAGTCAGTAGGCAGGATTTTATTCCTGCTTCAGCCACATGTTTCTGTGTCAGTGAAAATGAAAACTGCCCATTTGATGCCTGCTTAATCACAAAAAAGAGCCATGCACATCCCACTTTGCTCAGGGGAGGACGTTTCCCTAGGCAAGCTGGAAAAATAGTGAAAACTGATTTTTTTTTTTTTGGGGCATATGTTTTTCAGCCAAAACATTTTCCTCATGATAAAATGCAACTTTATATGAAAAGTGAAAAATTCTAAAAAATCACAGGAATGGCCAGGCACATTGGCTCATGCCTGTAATCCCAGCACTTTGGGAGGCCGAGGTGGGTGGATCAGTGGTCAGGAGTTCGAGACCAGCCTGGCCAACATGGTGAAACCCTGTCTCTACTAAAAATACAAAAAAACTAGCTGGGTATGGTGGCGGGCACCTGTAATTCCAGCTACTCAGGAGGCAGAGGTTGCAGTGAGCCAAGATCACGCCACTGCACTTCAGCCTGGTGACGAGCAAAACTCCATCTCAAAAAAAAAAAAAAAAAATCACAGGAACTAACTTTGACCAAATGATTGACAGAAACCAGTGAACATTTTCATAGTGATCAAAGCACCCCAAAGCTGGTCCTTCTAGACTGATACCAGTTGATCTGTTGTTTCGTTTTGGAGATGGGCAGCCTCACTGCTGGCCTCTCAGTGGTTGCTTTTAGGATACAGCTGTCTGCCCTCCGAACTGGTGGCTGGAGTATCCTCCAGCGAACAGAAGGCTGTGGAATTTGTATCATGCTCTGAAAATAGACCTACCCGTAGCTTATGGACATAAAGACTCTATGCAGAAACCTCCTCAACTTTAATTTGTAGTCAGCTATGGCAATGGAACACATTTTTCATAGGGAACTTTGGATGGATTCTCTGGTGCTACAGAAAAAAACAGTAAATGGTCCTTCAAGTGTATCAGTGTAGAACTGAGAGAGAAGAGGTAAAACTGAAAAAGAATAATGAATTTGTTTTAAGATTGAAGACCTTCCTGAAATAATTCAGTTACTTTGGTACTGCCTAGCCCTGTAAGCATTTTGCTTGAAATTTAACCTTTTAAGCACCATATGCTAACCATCACCATGTATCTGGGGGCAAAAAAGAAGCCTTAACTACCATTCCCTCACTCTGTCCCCGTCATGACAACAGGAGCTAAGTCTTGAACTGGGGGTTACACAGCACTCTTAAGTAGGCGTGATAAGTTTTGCAAAATGTTCAGTATCTCCTCAGTGTCTTGTCCTTAGGTAGAGACAGGTCCAGAGCTACAAATGCACCCATGTGGAAGAGATTTGATTCAGCAGAACAGCAATTATGTAGTGCCCTGGGGCGGGAAGTGCTAATAATGTTTCTCAGCTCTTGAAGAAACCCCTGACAGAATTTTAGTTCCACTACAGGTATCAAAAAGATTCCCAGCTCTAAGTCTTGGATATTAATAAGGCTCCACTGAGAGGGAGAAATCCCAGAATCAAGAGAGCGCTCCCTTCCCAGCCCTGCCTCCAAAATGAAGATTGAAGGAAGTTTTTATTCTCTCAATACAAAATTGTTCAGGCACAGTCCTGGTGGTGGTCTGTTTGTAACTTTAGTGTATCTGGGACTGTAAGTAACACCTGTCTACGCTCTTCCCATGACCTATAACTCCCAGAGATCACCTCTTATGGCCGCCTCTATCTTAAAGTTGAGACCCGGGACTTGGAAACCAAAGCCTTGCTGTAGTAAACAAATCAGCAGTCCTTTTAAATGCTGGAGGCACACACAGGTCTGTTTTCCCATGAAGCAGGAGGAAAGAGGAGAAACGAGATTCTAGAAGATGAGCCCAGCATCTACCAAAAAGAGGATACAATGGAAAATCTTACAGAAACAAATGTCTGGGATCCCACTGATGCACAGCCGCCAGACCAGAAGAGGAGGGGGAGAGTGAGTGCTGAAAGCAGAAACGAGGCTCTGCTGAGCAGGCACAGAACATGTGTTTACACGCTGTTGTGGGCCCAGGAGGGAAGAGCGGGCACCTCTGGATACAGTCCACAATGTCACCATGGCCAGTCGCCCCAAGGGTTGAGTTGGGGCACTCCATTGTCCAAGTGCCGACCTACCTGCCAGCCTTCCCTTTCCTCCTCCTCCCAACAAGTACATGGGCCCTTCTGTCCCCAGTGGCCTGCTGCAGTTTACTTCCCATGGGCAGAACTCCGGTGCGTGAGTGCTGATTAAAGCGAAGTTTCATTGGTGTGTGGCCTGGAGTTCTCCTCCTCTAGCAGAGCTATTCTTTGCTTGAGCATCCTCACTTGGGTCTCATGTCTCTCCACCATGGCCATCATCTGCGACTCTAACTTCTTCAGTTTGTTTTGATGCTTTTTCTTTGCTTTCTCATAGGCAGCCACCAGGTTGCTAGGTGGGAATGAAGGGAAATTGGTATTAAGATTCATCCTAAGTAGCATCGTGACACCATCCTGTCCACTGGATAACCAGATCTAGTGAGCACTGCTCTGAAGAAAGATCACTCATCCTCTTCGGTAAGAATCTGAAATCTAGTGGTCAGAGGAGGGACAGCACCAGGATGTCAACACTCAACGGCCAGTCACCTACTGGCTTAACCCTGATGAATCCAGCCGGATTGCTAGAGGCTGGTCACTCTCACATATTAGAAGGGGTTCTAAGAGTCAAACCAGCAATCCAAATTGGCCCAGTCCAAAACGGATAAATACAAATAGTGGGTCTATTTGTTGCTCCATGGTTGCTTGCAACATAGTCAAGTGTATCTTACAGGAGAGTACTCCTAAGGCACTGCAATCAAAGTGACCATACCTGGGACGAGAGCAGAGAGGTTGTTCTTGTTCCACCTTCCCTTTATGCTTTGGGCTGGTGGGACTCGGAATATTAAATTAGGCCATAAGCCAATGCTGCAAAGCCAAACATGGAATATACAGGCCTTTGAACTGTTCCCACCAGAGCCTGGTGGTAGGGTATACAGTGAGCCCAGGTAGGTCCATTCCATGTACAGTCATTACCCTTACAGCTGCAGTTCTCCCAGATAGTCTGAGGACTCACCCCAGAGATTTGTAAAACCCATTCAGGAGGTCTGTGAGGTCTTGAGCTTTTATTTCCAACTATAGAGCTGGATGATGCCAGGTGTTCTCAATATACATCCACATAATGTTGACTACAGAAGCAAATGTGAGAACCTAGCTGTCTTCTATTAAGCCAGACATTAAAGATTTGCAGAATTGTAAGACCAGTGCCACTTTTCTAATTATTTCTTGGAAAATAGTTTTTCATAAAAATGCCATTTTTTTTTTTGTAAATGAAATAATAAAAACTTTAAATAATTTATCTTGGTTTTAGTTCTAACATGAGAAGTATCAATAAATACAACTTACAGGAACAAAAGCTCTCTGAGGTCCTCCGTTTTTTATAGAGAAGAGTCCTGAGCCCAGTCTTAGAGCAGTATTTCCTGAAGTATTCCAGTGGATATTGTGTTGCTCAAATAAATTCCATGGCTAATTTTGTTTGGAAAATACTGGCTTAAACAGATTTTTTATTATATGACTTCTCAGAACATTTAAGATACATAATACCAGGAGGCATATACCACAGTATGCTACATTTGGCCAAAGGATGTTGTTACTGAGCATTTCTTAGTTTCCACAGACCATCTTGGGAGATGCCACTCTAAGGAAGACCAGGCTCTTAGAGAGCCAGGTAGGGACTCACCCACTTTCTAGAGTTAGTTCTTAAGAGTTAGGGAAATGTCCATCCCTGGTGCTGTGTCTACATGCAGGGTGTCAGTCCAAGTACCACAGGTGGAGGGCGGTGGGGGCTGGGTATAGGGAGATTTTTACCTGTTGGCCCGCTTTAGATCATTCACGAACTCTGCAGATTGCTGATGTCGGATTTCACTGCTCTTGGTGAGTCTCTCCAAGGCACTCACCAGCTCTTGAACTCTGGCCTTCAACTTCTTTTCTCTATATTAAAGGAGACAAAATATGCCAGGAGTAGTTTGAGATGATGCTGGAGGTGCCCACTCCCTGGGAAGTGGTGACAGAAAGAGGAAGGTTTAGCTTGCAAAGCCTAAAGGCAAGGGAGAGAAAAGATACTAAAGGGCCCAACAGCGCTACTGTCACCTGAATGAATTCATTCTCAAATGCAGATTTAAACCCATTTCTTCAATGACAAGGGCTTTTTAAAGATCTTATGTGTCAAAGAAAACAAGACAGGAATTTCTGTTTCTAGTCTTCTAGCTAATCTAGAAGTTCCTTTCTACTATTGGCATACCAGATCCTCAGCAATGAGTGCGGCCTGACCACAAACCCCCGTCTGTCTCCATCCCCTTCTTTTTCAGGTGTCCTAAGTATCTCCTGAACCACTCAGGTTTAGCAACCTACCTTGAACAGGTCCCCACTCATTGAGACCAACATGATCCCACCTTGCCAAAAACCAAAAAATTGGTAGAGGGAGTAGATATGATACTCTCTTCATTGTAAGGGTCCTTATTTCCCATGAAATTACATTTGCACTTTTGACTACGTGCCCTCCACAGGCAAAGCAGCTTCAAGTTCTGTGGATCCTCTACTACTTTGGTAACCCAAGCTAATTAGAGTCAGTTCAGGGAGGTTTCCAGTATCCAGTCAGCTCATTGCCTTCCTCTAATTCCCACAAGACCCAGCAGGGAAACACTAATCAAAGCCTTCTCGACTACTCTGACTCCCTTCCAAGATCCTTCTATCACATGCACAGTGTTACTCCACTTAGTAGCACACTCAGCACTATGTCACCGTATTACGTGCTGGAGCCATGACGCTCCCCCATGGTCATGTTGGGTTCTAGAGTGGCAAGGACTTTACTTGGTTTGATTCCCCAATGCACCCCCAGTGCTGAGCACCGTGCCTGGGTGACAGCTTCTAGTGACTGTTAAAACAGCTTTAGAACAACTTACTGAAGGTAATGTATTTGATTCTTTGGGCATATTAAGAAACCAGGATTTAGGGAAGGAATTCGTTTAAAAAGGACTCACTGTATGTAGAATGTAAATTTGCATGATTAATTTATAAGACAGTTGGGTAGGATCTAGCAAAATAATAAATGAACATGCCCCTTGACTAAGCAACTTCACTTCTAGGAATTGATTTTACAGAGATATCAGGAGCACAGGTTCCTAAAGATACATCACTTATATTTGGATTCACTTAGGCATTGGTTACAATAATGCCTAATAAAGGGAGACAAGCAGGGAACTGGTTAATCACGGCCTACCCATGCTACCGAAATGCTCTGCTTGAAAAATATTTTTAAAATGCAGATGGAGGGCTGGGGGCAGTGACTCATGCCTGTAATCTCAGCACTTTAGGAGGCCAAGGAATGTGGATTACTTGAGCTCAGAAATTGAAGACCAGCCTGGGCAACATGGTGAAACCCCATCTCTACAAAAAAATATAAAACTTAGCCAGATATGGTGGGTCATGCCTGTAGTCCATGCTACTCAGGAGGCTAAGTTGGGAGGATCGCTTGAGTCCAGGAGGTCAAGACCAGTGAGCCATGATCCTGCCACTGCACTCCAGCTTGGGTGACGGAGTGAGACCATCTCAAAACAAACAAAAAAATCAGATGGCCATGCACTGGCATGGGAGGATATCTGATACATTAAGCAAAAAGGGTGAGTTCTAAAGATGCCATTTTTGTAAAAACTGAAAAGCTGAGTGTGAATATCTGACACTGTAATAAGACTAGAAGGTGAAACACAAACTCAACAGTGCTTAACTCCTGAAGGGGGTTGATGGGAGGCTTTCATTTTCTACTTCACTCACTTTTGCATTGCCAGATATTTTTACAATTTTGTATATTTTCTGTAAAGTGCGAGTTAGAGTCATGTAGGAACGGCATGGGAATGTGACGTCGGGGTAGAAGGCTCCTTTCTGCTGCCCAAACTGTTCAGACCCTGGTTCTCCTTTCCTAGCTTTTCATATATCTAATCTTTTACATTTCTGCCTTTAGCTACTATGAGGGTAAGTCAAGCTCTCCAAACTGATCAATGAAGAAAGGAATTACAACGTAAAATCCAGGCCTGCTTTTGGGAGAGAGGATGGAAGGGGCAGGATCTTTAAGGGAAGTCTAGCAACCAGCCCTCAGCCCAGAACTCATTTTTCAGTAAATCCTCCTACCCGCCTCTGCTAAGCTGGAAGGAGCGTGTGTTTTTCCTGGGCCCTAGCAGCCTCCAGGACATCTCGGATCTGGCTGCATTTCCTCCCGGCATTGGAGAGTGGCAGCATTTCCTACCAGCAGTGAGGATGGTGTTGCAGGAGGGGGGCTCCTTTCCTCCCCACCCGCCCCCCAACACCTCCTCGGCCTTCCCAGCAGTCCTCCTCCAGCGGAGGGAAGCCAGGGACTCCTGCTTCCCTCCAGCTAAAAACAGCAGGGAAGGGTTTTTTGCCCTACATTTTATTACCATTTAGAGCCCTTTATCTTTCATTCTAATGTTGATTAATAGTGTAAAAGGAAAAAAAATACTGAAGAGTTAAAAATGTAACCACAAACTCAATAAGAAATTCACAACAAAAAACTCTGGGATGCTACCTAGAGCAGTCAAATCCCCTCCCTCCCCCACTCCTATCCACACTCAGTGAACAGGGAGACTGGAAATCCCAGCCCTTCCACAAGACAAAACGCTTCCTTCCCCAGCACCCAGGCCCTCAGGGGACCAGAGGGAACTTTCTGGATCTGGCAGGCTCCAAAGGAGGATAGAACCCCAGAAGGGCAGGAGAGAGTCTCTCAGACCCAGGCCAACCCCAGCTTAGGGTTGTGGCGCAGGAGTGGGGAGTAGCCATTGCTGGGAGCTTAGAACTGCCTGGCCTTCAGAAGGGAATGGGAGTGAACCGCTGGGAGAAACCCCAGGAAAGAACTATGATGCTCATTTATTTAAAGATGCAAAGACGAGGCCAAACTGTAAACTTAAACCTAAAATTTGGGTTGGTTGATCTGTTTTCATGACAACACAAAAAAATGTAAAATATCTATTTAGTTTAAAAAATACTGATTACAGGGGCCGGGCGCTGTGGCTCACGCCTGTAATCCCAGCACTTTGGTAGGCCGGGGCTGGCGGATCACCTGATGTCGGGAGTTCAAGACCAGCCTGACCAACATGGAGAAACCCTGTCTCTACTAAATACAAAATTAGCTGGGTGTGGTGGCGCTTGCCTGTAATCTCAGCTACTTGGGAGCCTGAGGCAGGAGAATCGCTTGAACCTGGGAGGTGGAGGTTGCAGTAAGCCGAGATCGCGCCACTGCGCTCCAACCTGGGAAACAAGAATGAAACTCTGTATCAAAAAAAAAAAAAAAAAAAAAAGGATACTGATTACATGTTGAGATATTTTGGACATACTGGGTTACATTGTTATTAAAATTAATTTCATGTGTGTCTCTACTTTTTTCATGGGACTACTAGAAAATTTAAAATTACATACATGCCTTGCATTTGTGGATCATATTATATCACCAGTGGACAGTGCTGCTCTAGACCAATTGTTTAATGCTGTCAGAGGCATGTGAACCAGAGCAACTCCATCTTAAATAGGAGTTAGGTAAAAGTGAGGCTAAGACCTACTGGGCTGCATTCCCAGATGGTTAAGGCATTCTAAGTCACAGGATGAGATAGGAGGTCAGCACAAAATACAGGTCATAAAGACCTTGCTGATAAAACATTGCAGTAAAGAAGCCAGCCAAAACAGCAAACCCAAGACGGCCACAAGAATGACCTCTAATCGTCCTCACTGCTACACTCTCACCAGCGCCACAACAGTTTACAAATGCCATGGCAACATCAGGAAGTTACCCTATAACGTCTAAAAAGGGGAGGTATGAATAATCCACCCTTTGTTTAGCATATTATCAAGAAGTAACCATAAAAATGGGCAACCAGCAGCCCCCAAGGCTGCTCTATGGAGTAGCCATTCTTTTCCTTTACTTTCCTAATAAACTTGCTTTCATTTTACTCTGTGGGCTTGCCCTGAATTCTTTCTTGCACAAGATCCAAGAACCCTCTCTTGGGGTCTGGATCGGTAATATTTTCCAGTAACAGCATTACCAGATATTTTCCCTGGCTTCTGACTAAGTAGGTTTCGGTTGAGACCCAGGAATTGCAGTTTAACAAGGGCCCCAGCTGACTCTTGTCATCAGGCAAGCTTGAGGGACTGGCGTAAGGCAGAAGAGTTCCTCACCTGGACCTGAGGATGAGCTTCAGTTACTCCTGGAACTGACTTTCTGAATTTATATGCAAAATTGCAAGCACGGGGCTCACTTTATCAAGTCTACAGTTTTCCTCAGATTTTCAAACGATGACATGGAAAATGCAAAGAAACATAGCTTACTAATTCAAGTCACATTGAAACCTCAACCATTCTTGTTCCTTTCTCCTTCTAATTTAAATTTGCTTAGCCTTTCGTTAAGATTTTATATGGTTTGGGTACATAAGTTAGGCCAAAACAAGCTTTCTTGGCTTCACACAAATGAGAAAGCAAAAATTCAACACTACACGTTCCATATGCACCTTCAATAGTAATGTATTCATACAGTGTTTCCTGGAATGGCCAGAAATACATAATCCATTCCTTTTTTATGCCCAGTAGTATTGGCACTCACAAATATACCCCATAGCATCAAGCAAAAACAATGCTGGATTGTAATGACTGTGACAACTGAAGTCCCCCAGTACACACATGGATTTCAGTTCCACGTCTTCCCACTTCAGCTTTTGGGCTTCTTATTCCTGGTGATAAAAGGTCGTATGACTCTAACCGCAGAGCCAGGGTGGGACTTTTAAGAGACAGGGTCTTGATCTGTCATCCAGGCTGGAGTACAGTGGCACAAATCACAGCTCACTGCAGCCTCGACCTCCCAGGCTCAAGCAATCCCCTCACCTCAGCCTCCTGAGTGGCTGGGACTACAGGTGTGTGCCACCATGCTGGGCTAATTTTTAAAACTTTTTTTTTTTTTTTTGTAGAGATAGGGTCTTAACTATGTTGCCCAGGCTGGTTGCAAACTACTGGGCTCTAGTGGTCCTCCCACCTTGCCCTCCCAAAATGCTGAGATTACAGGCCTGAGCAACTCCACCTGGTGGATTCTTTTTAATTGAAACGTAATGTGGTACGTTTCAAGGCAGTGGAATATACACAGGGAATTAAGAGGCAGCCTCGTGGTGTGAATTTAAAGGTAATATGAAAACCAAGGTGGCTTGCCAGTACGCTGGGCAGAGCGAAGCAAGCCTCGGAAGTGGTGCTTGTTGGTGTACCTGGGTAGCCTGGCAGTGCGGCTTCGTGAGCCATCAGTAAGGAGGTTATATTCTCCCTAAAATAAAAAGGCCAGCAGCGGTACTCTGTGATTAGAGTCCAATTGAGGAGCTGCAGGAGTCATCGGGCGAGAGCCCAGTCTCAATGAGGCTGTGAGTGGCTTCACAGCTGGCCAGGAAACCTTTCAGAGGAGCTGTAATCAGACCAAACCACAGGGAGTCACAGCCATGCAGCCACAAGGCCTAGAATTTCTTAGTAATTGCTGATTATATGGAATTAGTCACTAAGAGAATTGTCTGCATATGTGATGTCTCTCATCCTCACCTTCCATTTACTTTTAACCCGTCAGGCTCTGTCTCCACTGACGTGGATCACTGAGCTCACCAGTGAGCTCCAAGTTGTTGCATCCAGCGGTCTGGTCCCTTCTGTCCTTTTCTTACCTGCCCGCATCACCTGCAGGGCTGACAGCCTCTTTGCTCATGGCTTGCACAAGGCCTCCAGAGCCTGATTTCGTTCTGCTTCATTGGCTGCTCCCTTTCTATACTCCATGACAAAATACTGGGTGTTGTTTAGGACTTGGGCCTGGCCTGTATTTTATCTTATCCTTTTCTCTAATGGACTCCCTCCATTCCCTTTTCCTAAAAACTTCCACACTCTTAATCTTCTGGCCTTTCCTTGGATCTCTGGACTTGTCTGTTTGCGGCCTCTTAACTGGCATCTGCGATTTCACATGTCCAGAGGATTACTTCCCAGATGACCTCCAACAGCCACTCTCTCTCCTGTGTTGGCTAATGGCACCACCTTTCAGCCAGTCACTCATTGGGCTCAGATCTCTCTGCCTTCTTGCAAAGGCAGTTTAAGTTACTTGGAGTAAGCCTTAACTCCTCCTCCCCTCATCCTTGACATCTGTTCAACAGCAAACTCTATCTGCCAAGTCTCATCCTGCCATTGTCACCACACCCAGGTCCAAGTGGTCATCACTTCTCACCCGGACAACCACAACAGCCTGCTAACTGGTTTCTCTGTCTCCTCCCCTGCATCCCTCTGCCCTGGTTTTCACACAGCAGCCCAGGTAACATTTCACATGACAGATCTGATCATGTTACTGTCCTTCACTGCCTTTCACCTACACGTGGAATAAACCCTGTGGTCTTGCCTGGACCTCTAAGGCCCTGCTTGACCTGAGTGCTACTTGCTGGGCCTTTGGGCTGCTGGAATCACCCTTGCCCTGATGGAATCCTGTAGGTCCTCAACACAGCCCTGCACAGCCAGGGCCTCTTCCGGATATGATTCTGCCTCTCTCCTCCTCATCTCAGCTTCAGTGTCACCTCCCAGAGAGGCCTAGACTGACCACCCATCTAAACTCATGTCCCAGAGCTAAGACATCACCACGCCTTACCATTTCCTTCATATTATTCATTGCAAACTAAAGTTACTTTATTGGAAAAAAAATCTCCACAGTGACTGTATCACATCATCCCGTTTCCTTCATGGTAATCACCACAATGTTTACTTATTTTTTAGAAAATCCAGGCAGCAGATAACAGCTGTCTCTAAGTCCTTTATAAGGATAACATCATTTCATTCCCACATAACCTTGGAAGTCAGTACTATCATGATTCTCATTTTTAAGGATGAGGAACTTTTTTTTTTTTTTTTTTTTTTTTTTTTTTTTTTTTTTTTTGAGATGGAGTCTCACTCTTTCGCCCGGTCTGAAGTGCAGTGGTGCGATCTTGGGCTCAACACAACCTCCAACCCCTAGGGTTCAAGTGATTCTCCTGCCTCAGCCTCCTGAGTAGCTGGGATTATAGGCACCTGTCACCATGCCCAGCTCATTTTTGTATTTTTAGTAGGGACAGGGTTTCACCATGTTGGCCAGGCCAGTCTTGAATTCCTAATTTCAGGTGATCCACCTGCCTTGGCCTCCGAAAGTACTAGGATTACAGGCGTGAGCCACCGCGCCTGGCCTATAGATGAGGAACTTAAGATTAGTCCCTGCAGAACTGGGACTCCCACCTGGGATTCTGTCTGCAGAGCCTGTGCCCTTACGCATCTCACTGGGTAGTAGCCTGTGATTCACAAAGGGAATACAGTAGAGTGCAAGATAAACAAGACCTCTGCTTAACAGTGCAGCCCTGCAGAACTAAGGCTCAAGTGTCCCCAGATAATGAGGTTCTGCAGGTATGTCGGTGGCTGTGTTTTGCCAGGAGTAGCAGCACAAGGACAACAGCAGTCTAACTTTTTTTTGCCCAGACTTTGCTATGAACATGTTTCTTGTCCAGGAAATCCATCTGGAGTTTTCACAGGCCTTGCCAGTGGCTGCTGGGTGTTCCAGTGCCCTCTACCACTCTGCCTTTATGAGGTCCCAGGCAAGGCCTTCTTCTCTTTGAGCTTTGGGGATGCTGGAGGGATGGCAAAAAAGTAAAATAAATCTCAATTACTCAAGCAACAACCCCTCCATCCCTTGAGTGAGCCTCAGTCTTCACCCTCTGTGCTTCTAGGCACTTGGCTCTGGGGCTCAGCAGTTTATTTGCGTGCTAATGAAGCCACAGGCACACTTTGTATTCCATTAATGTCCTGCAGACCCATGTGCTTTTATGGAATTCTAAGCACAACTTCCATTGCTTGATTGCTTTTATACATCAACCAAATATGAAGAATCAGCAAGTTTAAATAAAACAGCACCTTTTACAATAATGGTCCTCCTCATGAACCAGTGAAGATTCTGCTGCTTATTTGTTCAGTGGGGGCTCCCTTTTAAAAAGCACCCCACCCACTTCCCTTTTCATTTTATCCCACTCTTTGTGTGGCTCAAAAACAGTATTCATCCACAGCTGCTGAAATAGGGGTCAACTAGGGTCATCCTTTTTCCATTCAGGGACAAATGTTGGTTCCTACAAGTCTGGAAGTTTTCTACAGTTGGGTGGATGGTGTATGAACTTGGACATGGATTTGAACTCTGAGGAGTCTCGCTGGCTTTTTCGAAGGCACTGGTAACAGTCAAGGGCTCTGTGGGCCACTGATGGGTAAAGAGTAGTCAGGGCCGGGCACAGTGGCTCATGCCCGTAATCCCAGCACTTTGTGAGGTTGAGGCGGGCGGATCAGTTGAGCCTAGGAATTTGAGATCAGCCTGGGCAACATGGTGAAATCCTGTCTCTACTAAAAATACAAAAATTAGCCAGGCGTGGTGGTGTGCACCTGTAGTCCAAGCTACTTGGGAGGCTTAGGTGGGAGGACTGCTTGAGCCTGGGGAGGTTGAGTCTGCACAGAGCTGTGATTGTGCCACTATACTCCGGCCTGGATGACAGAGTGAGACCCTGTCTCAAAAAAGTACCAGAGAAGACTCAGAGAATAGCGGGAAGATACATGATGGAGGTGACTGAAGGAAGCTTCAAGATGGTAAGCATTCTGATTGGAAAGGATGAGGGAGAATCAGGGATAAAGCAAAGGGTGTGCTCTTGGAAAGATGAATTGTCCAGAGGGGCTGGACTACAGATCAAGCATGGGGAAACATTTGAAATATGGGCTAGGAAGTTAAGTTAGGGACCTACGGACAATCTTGAGTGCCAAGGCACTGAAGGTGCTTATGCAGAGCACCCTAATCCGAAGTGTGTTTTAAGGTATTCTGGCGGCAGAATCAAACTACAGAATGACCCATTAGGACACTACTCTCTGGGTTCTGAGGGTCAGTGCGATGGAAAGGAATGGAAGGGATTTTAAGGAATTATGACCTGCTGACGAGAGGTAGGGAGGGGAGACTTACAAGTTATAATCCTGGATCATTAGGAGAAGGGGATTTTTAACATAAATAGGAATTCATCAAAGGGCAGGAAGAAACAGAATTGTATTGGATGTGCTGTTTTGAGGCTTTAGCATATTTGGGTGGAGATGTCCAGTGGGCATGAGGTTGAGATAATTTAGGGACCATTTAGAAGGAACAGCTGAAGACATGAGAGTTGGAGTCATGTACTTGGCTGAGTAAACCACAATCCCTGGCCCTAAAAGGACTCTCTTTCTGTGTGGGGACTGAGGGTTAAGGAGGGGAGTTGGGGGTAGAACCAGGCATATTAAGAAATGAGCAATGAAATGTTCCATGGGAGAAGGAAATTCATGGCGCTAGGAACCAAAAAAGAAGTGGGAGAGGGTGTCATTTCTGCTGGGAGGTGGAGGATGGGAACATCCGGATCCATTTTACAGATAGCTGTAAGTCACCTGATGTGAATGTTTGGGGAATGGCATTGGGTGGGGCCAGGACAAAAGCAGATGCAAGACTGAAGCCCCAGAGGCGCAGAAGAGGAAGAGCAGTCTCACGGCAGGTGTGATCGATCACACTGACCAGACAAGGCCCTCCTGCCACTGGATATATCCTTACAGGGCTCTGGCACACAACCCTGTCTTCCAGCAGTGGCAGCTTGCCTACTTCTTATTCAGCAGAGAGGGGAAAGGAAGCCCTCTTCTGGTGGATGAGTCAGGGGCATCCTGTCCCTGGACAGAACGGCCACTGTGATTTGTCGATTGCCTTAACGTGGCATTTTACAGAACCATCTGGCAAACACGCAGACACAGATGGCATATTCCAGTTCCCTGGAGGGCTGGGCACAGCCCCTGGATGGTCGGTGACTAAATGACCGCAGCCTCCTGGAGGGCAGGGCGCTGACTCCTGCAGGTAGTATGTGAGGCTCGCCCCACCCTGCTCCTGGGTAGAGTGAAAGGCGAGTGCCTGTGAGGCAGCACCATGCTCTGCTCCTCACCATGGCTCAGGTGATGTATCATGGTGAGGAGCAGCGCACCTACTTCCTGCCTCCCAGCACTGAGGAAGCACAGATCCTTACTTTAAAAAGATATTTTTTACTTATTTATTTTTTAAAGACGAGATCTCGCTATGTTGCCCAGGCTGGATTTGAACTGGCCTCCAGGGATGCTCCTGCCTTGGCCTCCCCAGTAGCTGGAACTCCAGGTGTATGCAACAGCACCTGGCTCACTCAGATCCTTACCTTTTTATCAGCATGACTTAGGCTGACATATGCCATTGCTTCACAGCTCTGTGTGTTTAAGGAAGTCCGCCTCCCGCCATGGCACCTCATTTGCCTTTCGCACTGACAGACTAAGACATGGCTGTTTACTGGAGGCATAGAGGTTTCTCACTGCCCAGACCAGCCACACAGCAGGTAGTCTTCAGATAAACGAGTGGGCTCAGCTCACTCATCGGCAAGCAAGCCCAATGCTGCCAGCACATGTGGGGCACAAGGGGTCCCCATAGAGAATGTAGAAACATGCAGACTTCCCCACTGCCTCACTGTGTGACCTTGAGAGATCACTCAGCCTTGCCGTCCCACTCCGCGCCCCCCCCCCCAACCCACCCCAGGATCACATGGAGAGCAGCACCTGCTCCCGGCTGCCTCCCAAGAATATGACGGAGATGAACTAGTCTGCTCCTCTCAGCTGTGCTTGGGTCCCGAGGGCGGGCTGCACAAACACCATGTGAGTACAAAAAAGGAGTCATTTCTGAAAATTCCCTTATTTAGCTGCCTTTTTATAGATCACTTACTTGGTGGAAAGATCAGTCAAATTTTACTAGGACCAAGGGTGAGAGACAGATCTGAGATGGAGAAGGTTTTTACAGCACACAGGCTGGATGGACAAGAGAGAAAACAAAATACCCTGTTAAGAAAACATCTCGTGTGCCAGACTGGAAACCTGGTCATCCAGATGGGGTTTTATGGCAATACCACAGCCAACAAACTGCAATAAATGTTCACCGAAGTAGGGGGAACGAAATCAGACCAGATGGGAGTTATACATACAGTAAAGGCGGGGTGGCATGTAGCCTTGGTTTTGTTCCAAACAGAAGAAAGTTAGGAGAAGATACACTGAGAGAGCCAGGGCTGAGTGACAAGGGCTGGCCAGGTAAGGGGAGGTTGGGTTGGGGACAGTGTCATGACCCAGAACCAGTGACTGAAATGTCACAGGGCACCTTCCCTGGGATGGCTGGTTCTCCTTAAGGACAGCCCATGGCTTAGCCTCTTCCTCTTCCCTTAGCGACACCTGATCTTTTCAGTCTGGATGCCTGCGCCTACAGTTTTGGTGTCTGGCACCATCCTTTTTTCAAGGGAGAAATACTGCTGAAAATGCTGGTAAGATTCCCCCAGCTGACCTCAACCATAAGCTCGGCTGTGATTTAATACCTTCAAAAAAGGTGTTCGTTTCCATTTGATTTTTTAAAATAAAAACCTCAGGAATCATTTCATCAAGGTATATAATACAAACCCAAACTGCAGCCCTGAGGTGTGTATATTGTATCCCCTCATGAAGTGATGACCCCAGTTTCTAAGCTATATTTACAGTATCATTATGTTATTTTCCTTTTTCCTTTACCTCTGTAAGTTTGTTCTTGGCTCCATCCACCTGGGTCTTGATTAGAAATCCATGCTAACCAACTTAAGGCTGGTTATTGGAAATCCATTGTGACTGACAGAACAAATGAAGTCTCTTTATGTTTAGTCAGCACAATCTGCATCTTCCTTGTGCCAGCAAAGGCCTCTGAGGTTTGGGGAATTTGAAAAACTTAAGGGCTTAGCTTACAGATACAATATCCAAATGGCTCCCACTGGAAATAGCGAGTGGGATTTCCATCCCGTGTTTCTGGCACAGTTAAGTCATTAGGATTTGTTGAGGGCATTTTTCTGCGCAGCTTTTCTCTTCCCGCCCCAAGCAGAGCAACTGCCATTTAACTGCACGGCCAGAGGCTCTGGCAAAGTACAAACAGAGCTATTACAACTTGGAAGGAAAGACAAAAAGTGACAATAAATCAGGAAGGTAGTGAAGTTCCCCACAAGGCAACCTTCCATCCACCATCAGCTTGGAGGCCATCCTATAAACAGGCCCGCTGGATCAAGTGAGCTGACTGAAAATACACTGTACCCTTCCCCTCCAACCCTAAATCCCCAGAAATGGCAGGAAAGACATTTTTTAAAACCCCTGAGCATCTTAGAAAGGAGTGCTCTTTGTATATCAGAAATCATGCTCAATCATAAAAAATGAAAGGCAGATGTTTTCTTCTTCCTGAAGAGAAAACCACAATGCAAAATGAATGCAGAAAAATATTCTGCAAAAGGAAGAAGGGGATTCAGAGGTGCTCCAACCAGAGGTGTTGGCTACCAGAACAGGAGGGGACCAAATGCTTGGGTCAGATACGCAGACTAGAGGGCTGTTATTAGCCAGGAGACACAGAAAGCCCAGGAGACAGCTTCTGATATGACCCAGCTGACAGCACTTTGAAGGACCTGGCTACATTTTCTGGGTGGCAGACTGTAATAAGTAGAAGCAGGACTCTCAAATGGGATGGCCGGGTGCAGTGGCTCATGCCTGTAATCAGAGCACACTGTGAGGCCAAGGCGGTTGGATCACATGAGGTCAGGAGTTCAAGACCAGCCTGGCCAACATGGTGAAATCCCATCTCTACTAAAAATACAAAAAATTAGCCAGGTGTGGTGGCGTGTGCCTGTAGTGCCAGCTAACTTGGGAGGCTGAGGCAGGAGAATTGTTTGAACCTGGGAGACCGAGATTGCAGTGAGCCGAGATCGCACCACTGCACTCCAGCCTGGGCGACAGAGCGAGACTCTGTCTCAAAAAACAAAAACAAAACCTCTCGAACAGGTGACCTAGGAATTTAAAATACAAGAATGAACACACAAACAAGAACCGCTGAATATTTAAAGAAAGCAAACACCAAGAAAGAGTCACAAAACTCAACTATGAAAAGAATTACATGTGAAGAAACAGAATTAATACAGCAGACAAAAAAGATGAAGGAATTTAAGGGCCGGGCAGGGCACTGCATGCCTGTAATCCCAACATTTTGGGAGGCCAAGATGGGAAGATCACTTGAGCCCAGGAGTTTGAGACCAGCCTGGGCAACGTAGGGAGACCCTGTCTCAAAAAAAAAAAAAAAAAAAATTAGCCAGGTGTGGGGGCATGCACCTGTGGTCCTAGCTACTTGGGAGGCTGGGGTGGGAGGATCACTTGAGCCCAGGAGATTGAGGCTGCAGTGAGCTGTGATTGTGTCACTGCACTCCAGCCTGGGCAACAGAATGAGACCCTCTCTCAAAAAAAAAAAAAAAAAAAAAAAAATTTAAGCATTATAAAAATCCTCAAAGAGATGCATATCACTAAAAAAGAGATGACAGATTTAATCACCAAAATAACTCAACATATAGGTCAAACATCACAATGAACCTAACTAAAGAATAAATTAGTGAGCTGGAAAATTTAGCCAAAAAATCTGTCTCTCCAGAACTGCAACTATCTGATAGGGCAGCCACAACCATATGTGGCTCTTGAGAACTTGAAATGTCTGAATTTGAGATATGCTGAGGTGTAAAATACATACCAGGTTTTGAAAACTTGGTTAAAAAAAAATTTCATTAATAGTTTGAGAAAATATTGACTATATGTTAAAATAATGTAGACATATTATGTTAAATAAAATGTTATTAAAGGGAATTTCAGCTGTCTTTGTTCTTTTTAATGTGGCTACTAGAAAATTTACAAGTACATATGTGGTTCACATTACATTTCTGCTGGACAATGCTGCTGTAGCACCCGGGGAAAAAGCAGTGATGGAAAGAAGGTATGAAAAGTGGAGATACGGAAGACAGAGCTAGATGAATCAGCATCTGTTTCTCCTTGCAGGAGGAGATAAAGAACTGGGGGGCGGTGAGGGGAAAGAAACACTGAAATAATAGAGGAAAATTTCCCAGAACTAAATAAATACACAAAGCTTTTTCACACTACCAACGCTGAAGGAAAGTATTCCTGCTGAAGTTGGAAACAAGGTAAGAGTGCCTGTTTTCACCTCACTAGTTAACACTGTCCCGGAAGTTTCTAGCCAATGCAACAACATAACAGAAAAGGAAAGGAAGAGGAATTTTCCTATTCACTGATGAATCAATGACTGCCTAAGTGCTGTCTCTTAAGTGCTCTCTCTTCTCACTGTTTTGAAAGGCCTGGCACCAACAGGCCTTCTCCATTTCTGGCTTCCAAGACATGGGTAAAGTGGAACACATCAGCACCTTCTCCTTTTGGGAGCAGCAAAGAGAACTCAGAACAAAGTCTCCATGCCCAGGATAAACACCAGCTGGGGTGGGGAAAGGGTGCTTACCGACGAATGGCGTTGGTGAACTCCGCAGCCAGCTCATTCTCGCTGCACGTTGTCCTGAGTTCGGCTAGGGACAGAGCTGGGGAGGCAGCATCAGCACACTCCTGACAACAGCAAACACATTCCAGTTAGGCCTGAATCCAAGCCGGCAGCACCCTGGAAGCCTGCAGCAGAGCGCGGTAGGTGGCTCGTGCAGTGATGGCAGCAGTGTGGGCACCGGGTGGCGCCCTCAGGTCATGCCAAAGGGGAAAGCCTGGCAGCAAGCCAAAGAGGCCCCTCTGCTCCCAGACCGCTGGCTCCTTTTGCAGACTGGCCAGTGCGGTGGGGATGACACCCAGTATGCTCTGAGCAGCCGCTGATGCCAGGCACTGGTCTAAGCATGCCATATGCATTCAATCATTTAATCTCCACAAATACTCTCTGAGGCAGGAACTATCATTATCTCCATTTTACCAAGGAGGGAATGAAGGCACAGAGAAGTTATGCGGCCCAGTCACCAGCTAGGAAATGGGGGAACCAGGATTCAAACCCAAGCTGTGTGGCCACAGATCAATCTCTTGACCGCTAGGTAAAGCCTCTTGTAATCATACAAGACAAGTGAGAAATACCTGTGAATATCCTTGGTGCCCCATCCCACGTCTCCTTGGGAGAAAAGCAAACTCCTTTAGATTTAGGAGCCTTGCTGGGTTCAGTGTAATCATCAAGAAAACCCAGCAGAGGAGGAGGAAAACAGAAGTGCAGCCCACCCCATGGCTTAGCATTAGACAGGGACCTTGACATCATCTAAAGCAAATCATCCCACCCTGCAGATGAGGAAACTTAAGAGCCAGTGCTCCAAATCCTATAGTTAAGACTATTCAAAGCAGTGACCATGCCTGAGTGCTCTACATTCCATGCACAGAGAGGACAGCAGCCACACTACATAGTACCATGGCTGGGGGAAGGCATTCATCGGATGATCTCTCAACGGACATGAGTGCTACCAAGCTGCAGACCTGAGAATAAAAAGCTTGTGATCTGTTGCAGGAGATGGAATGTAAACAGATATTTTTTTGTTTGTTTTTTGAGATGGAGTTTTGCTCTCGTTGCCCAGGCTGGAGTGCAATGGCGTGATCTTGGCTCACTACAACTTCTGCCTCCTGGGTTCAAGCGATTCTCCCACCTCAGCCTCCCGAGTAGCTGGGATTACAGGCATGTGCCACCACGTCTGGCTAATTTTGTATTTTTAGTAGAGACGGGGTTTCTCCATGTTGGTCAGGCTGGTCTCAAACTCCTGACCTCAGGTAATCCACCCACCTTGGCCTCCCAAAGTGCTGGGATCACAGGCGTGAGCCACCGCACCTGGCCATAAACAGAAAATTTTATAAGATATGAGCTACAGAGAGGCACGAATTCAGTGCTGCAAGTCCAGGCATGTGGTCTCCCGAGGCAGTTCCTTGGCAGTGGCACTGCCAACACTTGAGTGCTCTTCCCTCTGCCATGCCCTCCACCTGGGCCGCCTTCCACCTCCTCTCCACCTACCTGCGCTCAGAGATCCAAGTCCCCTGTCCACCCTTGGAATCTGTTGAGATTCCCACAATACCCTCACTTTTTGTATATCCATTCCCATTTGATGTTAACATTTCGTGAGACTCCTTAAAGACAGGGACTGCTCTGTCTCATTCACGGTGCCTCTCACTGAATATACTTGGCAGTATCTGGTGCACACAGACGAGAATTTCAAAACCTAACGCAACTTGGATAAGATTTGGAATCCAGCTGTGCTAGTTGGAGGGAAGCTTTTTAAAGAAGCATAAGCACCCACCCAGTGGAGCAAGAAAAAAGGTTCAAGACTCAAATGTGGCCCGCCAGCTGCTTTTTATGACCCACAGGATAAGAATGGTTTTCCTATTTTTAAAATCATTTTAAAAAGTCAAAAGAAGAGTATTCTGTGACAGGTAGAAATTATATGAAATTTAAATGTCAGCATCCATACATAAAGTATTACTAGAGGCCAGGCACAGTGGCTCACGCCTGTAATCTCAGCACTTTGGGAGGCCAAGGCAGGTAGATCACTTGATGTCAGGAGTTTGAGACCAGCCTGACCAACATGGTGAAAACTCATCTCTACTAAAAATACAAAATTAACCAGGCATGGTGGCGCACACCTGTAGTCCCAGATAATTGGGAGGCTGAGGCAGGAGAATCACTTGAACCTGGTAGGTGGAGGCTGCTGTGAGCTGAGATCGCACCACTGCACTCCAGCCTGGGCAACAAGAGTGAAACTCCATCTCAAAAAAAAAAAAAAAAATTAAATAAAGTGCTACTAGAACACAGCCATGGCCACTGGTCTCCCTGTTGCCTCTGCTTTTGCGCTAGCATTGGACAATAGCAAAGCTGAGTGGCTGCAGCTGCACCCAAATGACCCACAAGCTCTACAACATTCACTGTGTGACCCTTCACAGAAAAGTGCTGACCCCTTCTCTAGATGCTCGCCTCATCCAGCAACAGCTAAGACCAGATGAATAGCCCAGATGGGAGATTTTATTCCAACAGTAAATGGATCTAGTATTTGAAAGGCAAGATAATCAGCTTATTTCATTACCTGAAAAACACAACATACTCTTATAAAGGTTCTTACTGTAGTGTTAAAAAAAAATCATCTGGCCTTTTCCATAGGATAAATTTTCTTACTTTTTTTTTTTGAGACAGAGTCTGACTCTGTCGCCCAGGCTGTGGTGCGGCTGCACGACCTTGGGTCACTGCAACTTCCGCCTCCCAGGTTCAAGCAGTTCTTGTGCCGCAGCCTCCCGAGTAGCTGGGATTACAGGCGCCACCACCATGCCCGGCTAATTTTTGTATTTTTAGTAGAGATGGGGTTTCACCATGTTGGTGATGCTGGTCTTGAACTCCTGACCTCAAGTGATCCACCCGCCTCGGGTTCCCAAAGTACTGGGATTATAGGTATCAGCCACCACGTCCAGCCAAATTTCCTTACTTTGAAGCCACTCCACATAACAGTATTTCACCCAGTCAAAATAAATACCAGGAACTAGGGGAAAATGCTCAGTTCATGGGCCTTCTGGCAAGAACCTGGTAACTCCATTCCTACCACACCCCAAGAACACACACAAACACTAGCGCTCTGTCTCTAACTGACTGCTAACAAACTCAAAAGGCAAAAAAAAAAAAAAAAAAAAAAAAAAGAGAGAGATTTTGAAGGTGTTTGTATGGAACCTCATCTTCCCGAGCCCCAGATACTTCCATGTGAACCCAGATACAGTACCGCATGGCTGATGCCCACCTGCACAGCCTGACTCACCTCCCCCAGCCTTGGGCAGATGGCTTCATAGTGCACTTGGCATAGTGACTTCTCTAAAGCCCAAACTGTATCACATCATCTCTTGCTGAGGACCCTTCCATGATTCCGCACGGCCCTCAAGATAACTCCAGCCAGTGCATCAACTCCACAACCCTCCGGGCCATTAAACGTGCTGTCCCATCAGCCTAAGGGCACCTCTTCTCTCCCCTGGCCCTCCACCTGCCCCTCTTCAACAGGCTACCTCCCACTTTCCACTGGGGCTCAGCTCAGAAGTTCATTTCTTCCAGAAAACCTGTCCTGAATCTCCCAAGTGGACATTTGTGTCTGGCTTCTGTCCTCCCATGGTGCTAAGAATTCAGCCTCGCACTGGGGACATTCTCTCACTGCTCTGCGATCACCCATTTGCCCACCAGTCTCCTCCTAAGAATGTAAATTCCTAGAGGACAGACTGCCTGTCTACCACAGAGCTGCCTCTAGCACCCTGCCTTGGTTCTGGCACGCTGTGAGTGCCAAATCACATTTATCAGCTGAATGGATGAATAAAAAGCAGCCAGGGTCTTGGGAGGGCTGGCCTGGCTGGGTGCCACAGCTGTGTCTTGTCTTGGCTCCTCAGCAAGTGGGAGGTGGAGAAGGGTGTAGCTGTGGCCATTTGTGAATCATGCTTCAGAGTTCTTAACTATGTAGGGAGTGACAATTCACTGTCACATGACATCAGTACTGTTCCTTCTTTCCCAGGTATATGGCTCTCCTGGAGACGATCCTGCACTTATGCTATGAGAAGCAGCTTATTAGACTAGCAAGTTGGCATATGTCTGCGAGTCCTGGGTCTGAAACAAATGGGGGTCAAGAGAAGCTTGCATTTATTAAGAACAGAAAAATATGATGCACAGAATATAGATGACCCTTGGACAAGGGATATAATTCTTTAGAGTCCACAGTTGTTTTTTTCCCAACACAGTATTTGGAAAATTCTGAGATACAGGATAATGGAATGAACTTGGATTCCAGAAAAAAAAAAAAACACCTGGGGGCTGATAAAAGAGTGAGTTTGCAAAATTCTATCACCAGACAGCCTGCTTTCAGATGATGTGGACTTCGTAACCCAAGGCTTCCTTCCTCCTCCTCTGCCGGCAGGCTGATTCCTGCTTACCACCCTGTGACGGTAGCAACGCCAGCAGGAAGGAGTCAAGGAGGAAATGCAGTGGAGAGAAGAGAGCCCGTTAGTGGATCTGGGCTAAATCCCAATTCTACCATTTATCAGCAGTGAGACTCCTCACTTCTTTGAGCCTCATTTTTCTCATGTAAATGGGGATAACTATTCTTTCCTCAGACCTGTGAGACTTAAGGGCGATAATAAATGCAGTCATTGGTACAGAAGTACTGTAGCTCCCCCTTAACTGCAGTTTTGCTTTCTGTGGTTTCGGTTCCTCAAGGTCAACCATGGTCTGAAAATATTAAATGGGAAATTCTAGAAATAAACAGTAAGTTTTAAATTGTGCACCATTCTGAGCAGCGTGATGAAACCTTGCACTGACCTGCGCCATCCCACCTGAGTTGCGAATCATTCCTTAGGCCAGCATAGCCGCAGTGTAGACACTCCCCACCCATCTGTCATTTAGTAGCTGTCTCCATTATCAGATCAACTATCAGTGTCACACTGCTTGTGTTCAAGTAACCCTTATGGCATGTAATAAAAGCCCCAAAGTGCAACATTAATGATGCTGACATATTGTTATAATTGTTCTATTAATATTTTATTAGTTGTTAATCTTTTACTGTGCCTAATTTATAAATTAAACTTCAACACAGGTATGTATGTATAGGGGAAAACGTAGAATATATAAGGGTTCAGTATTACCTGTGGTTTCAGGCATCTATGGGGGATTTTGGATCATATCACCTGTGGATAAAGGGGGCCCTATTATACCAATAAACCAACAAATGAGGGCTGCCGTGTGACAGAGGATTAGACGAAGGAGGTGAGAACAGTATCAGTGGACAACTGCAGAGATCACCCCTCTGATGTGACTGTGATATGTGAAAAGGTTCAACTATTACATAAAGTGAGATTTGGTATTTCTAAAATGTAGACCTGGTTTCATTACACTCAAAATGTCACCTTCTTAGATACCTACGAATGGCCTGCATTTCCTATGCAAATACAAGAACTGAGGCAGCAGGGCGGTGAGGTGTGGCCAGTGGTCACTGGGCAGTCACTGGGCAGTCACTGAGCCTAAGGGTGTCCCCAAGCCACTCCGGCCCTACCTTGCCAGGTTTGTCTTTGCTGCCGCTGCTGGTGGAGCTGAGGGATCGCATCCGCTGCTCCTTCTGCTCCTCCACCTCGGACTTCAGGTGCTCAATGTGCACCAGGTAGGCCTGCTCCTGGGCCTCCCGCGTGCTCAGCTTCAGCTCCAGGGCCTTCTTCTCTTTCTCCAGTAGGTAGAGCTGGGCCTTCAACTCGGCCATCTCCTCCTACAGACAAAGGAGCACAGAGCACATGAGGCATGCCCTATCTGAGAGCAGGCCTGGCTGCTGCCAAGTGGGTGGGTGGGGGGTCCCCGGCTATGACCCACAGGCCCATGGTAGAGTTCTCACTTTGAAGTTGGCAGTAGGATGAGTGGGAGGAGACGTGGCACCTGTCACCACACTTCTAAAGGAATGACGTATGGACAAGGCCATGCACTTTGTCAGTCTATGGACTAGACCTGAGACAGAAGGGTAGAAGTTACAGGCAAGATTGTGGTTCAATATAGGGAAAACCTTTCTAACAAATAGAGCCCCCACTCAGGCACATGGGCCTTGATGGAAACCCATTCTCTGGTCTGCAGAGGCTGAGCTGCACCTGCCAGAGGCTGTAAAGTCACCTATCCATGGAAGGCCTCTTCTGGCCAAGCCCCTTCCAATTCCCATTTTGGTTTCCATGGCACCAACCACATGTTTAATCACACCCACGGCACCTCTGTTGCCCTGTAGCTGGGCCAGGCATGCGGCGAATGCCTGCAGCAGCATCAACCTCCAGCTCTTGCCTACTTCTCAGGGCCCAAATGAAATCAATAGAAACAGCATCCTTCACAGGTGACTGCTCATCAGACAACTTCTAAAAGTATCCTAAGAACTCAAATGAGAGCGATGAGTGGAGAATACGAAGTGAATCCAAAATAGGACAGTGCCATCCTGGGACCAGGAGCCAGTAACAATGACAGCCAGTAGCCTTTACTGAGCACGTGGCACTGTGCTAAGTGTTCACATGACGTGGCTCATTTCATCTTCCCAACCTGGGTTAGGTATTGCAACTATCTCCATTGACAGATGGGAAACTGAGGCACACAGAAGGAAATCCCCCTGCTTATGGCTACTGGGTAAGCTGTGGAGCCACAGATTGCAGCCAAGCTGTCTGGTTCAGAGCTATACTGCCTCCCTCCCTTTCAAGGTGAGCCCACGCATGACTCTTGTCCCCGCACTTCTGCTGGAGAGTAACTCCACCAGCCCATGGCCACCAGGTCCAGCCTTCCCAGCCCACCGTGAGATGGACTCACCTGAGGTTAGTTCAGATTCTCACAACCCCCGAAGTCACCCTTCTGAGGTAATAAACCACAGGCCTGGTGCACTCTCCTGGGTAAGTTGGACTAGGGGGTAGATGTTTTCACTCTCAAATGTGGGGAAATGGGTAGAGGACACCCCTCGAAAGGGACATTAGTCAATATGCTCAGTAAACTACTCAGAACATGCCAACCTTCTTTACCCTAAATATCAGACATAAAAGCCAGAATGAAAGGTGTGCCACGCCCAGAGCCTTCGGATCTTTTGCCATTGGAAGCAGGATTCTGAAGGTTCTGGCAACACTGCATACTGAGCTAATGTGATGGTCGCTTCCAGAACAAACATATAAGTGCAGGCTTGAAAGAGGGAAAGAGAAACCTATGGGTGCCAGAAATGAAGAGGGAACTCTGCCAGAGAGAACGGCAAGGAGGGCAGGTGCTGGCCAGCAAGGCGTCAGACTGTCCTCAGGCCCTCCACCCGGGGGCTTAACATTACCCAAGGCCAGGGCCGTGGCCTCTGAGGCAGAGAGCCACAGCTCAGACCCCTACGGGAGCAGGATTCTCATCAGGCTGCCCATAAGACACTAGGAAACTTCCTTTCTGGAGATGTGACAAGTAAACTTGTCATCTCTCAGGCTCTGTGTGGGAAAAGAAAGAAAAATCTCTTTCCAGGAATTAAACCTCAAGCTTGTGTCATGTGTAGGTGTGGTACAGGAATCCAGAGCCAAGAACTTAATAACAACTAGTCCTAAACCTCAGAAACTGATGAGTCCCAACAGATCTAAACATAGAACCACTCTGTAGGGACATCTGCAACCCAGGATCCTCAGGGCCCCACGGAAGACAGTTTCCACAGAGGATGAGCTGGTGCTTGCATTCTCTCCCCCTACCCCCACCACCGAGGAAATGAGAATGAATCAGCACTGACGAAGAATGAGCGGATGCAAAAAGTAAGAGTCAGCATTTACAAGAAGCAGAAATAACAATGTGCAAAACTAGAAAATAAAGATTTAAAACAAAGTGATACAGGAGTCATAATGAAGGGATAAGATGTTCAAAAAGGAAGAGAAGGCCAGGCCTGGTGCCTCACATCTGTAATCCCAGCACTTTGGGAGGTTGACCTGGGTGGATGACTTGAGCCCAGGAGTTTGAGACTGGCCTGGGCAACAAAGTGAGACCCTGTTTCTACAAAAAAATAAACTTAAAAAGTCAGCTGGGTAGGGCAGTGCATTCCTGTAGTCCCGGCTACTCGGGAGGCTGAGGCAGGAGGATCACTTCCAGCCCAAGGGCGAGGCTATAGTGAGCCATGACTGTGTCACTGCACTCCAGCCTGGGTAACACAGTGAGACCCTGTTTCAAAACAACAAACAAACAAACAAACAACAACAAAAAGAAGAATGGATTTGAAAAGGAACCAAGCACATCATCTAGAAATGAAAAGGTATTACAAAAACAGAAATTTGAATTTCTCAGCAGTTGGATCCTAGAAACTGGTGAAAATCCAACGTAACCTGCTGGATAATGGATTTGGTATGGGTGAGCACACATCCCCAAGCAGACTGGGAGGGACTCAGAGGAAAAGGGGACGGCTCTGATATTTAGCCTTCAAGAAAGTCATAGGGAACCAAGCCAGAATGCTAGCAATGGCTGCCCTGGATCATGATATTATGGATTGTTCTCCTCCCAGCTTTTCTACTTTTTTAGAAAATTTCTAAGATCAGTACACATTTTATTTTCAAGTGGCAAAGGGAGTATTAGAACTTTTATTCCAACAAAAATGTCTTTCTTAGGTAGAATACCAGTAAATTTATCACCCCACGTTGGCCAATTTTAAAAAGGAAATCCTTAGTCTTTGGCCAAAAGAAACACAATGTTTGGAACAAATGATGGAAGGGTGGCCTCATAGCTCGTGCCACAGGCTGCAAGCATCTGCAAACAGGGCTCCCAGTTGGGGGAAAAGTCGCTACAATGATGGACCCAAGTCTAGCTCATAAGCAATGAGAGGTGGAATCAGCCAAAGCAGCATGAGGATTCTCTACAGAGAGGTCAGGATGGGAGCTGCGTGGCTTGATGAAGATGAGCCAGTTTGGAAATCATGGGGGTGGGGGTGGGAGGTAAGATTCCTGTATCTGTTACCACTGCCTAGTGTCTTCCCAAACTTCGCCCAGATTCTAGCTCAAGAAGCTCCCAAGGACAGGGCTGTGCTGAGTGAGTCACCCCTGAGGGTGTCAGGATGGCTGCTGTTGCCAGCTCCCCTCCACTCTCCAGAGATGGTGCGACCAGGGGGTTGTTTTTCTCCCTGCTGCGGACAGTACTGATCCTAATAGGAGCCATTAACTCTGCACTGCCACGACCTGCTCTGGCTTGCTAGACTCCAGTTCCTGACCGGTCCTAAACTCAATCTCTGGCTCTCTTCCCCTCCCCGGAGGTCAGGTGGCTGAAAGTCCCAATCCTCCAACACACGCCTGGTCCTTCTGGTGACCAGCCCACATTCTGAAGCTGTCTAGGGCCCACCATAAGTCACCTCATCAGCATCACAAAGACACCCCTAGCTCAGCAAGAAACTCCAAGGGTTTCTCAAACTCTGTCCCAAAACCAAGGACAAATATCAGATATGGTCTTATTTATACCACAGCTGCCTTGTAAGAGCAGGTACCAGGTGAAGGGCTGGTGCCTGGCATTCCACACCAGAAACAGGCAAAGTGATGTCTTGTTGTAGGTATGGCGGTTTAACTACTTCCCAGTAGGGGACACCAGCTTTCCAAGAAAGCTCCCTTCTGTAGAAATACCAGCAGGTAGGTATCTCCACTAGCAGCTGAAGGGCCCAGTGTTTCAGATCCACTGAAACACTGACCTCAACAGCACTGTACACCTTCACTGGAGGGCACTATGGTCTGAGCAGGCTCGACATTGCACCAAAGGTACAGGGTGTCAGGAAACTAGGGCTCTCGGCCAAACTCTACAACTGGCCTCACCCTGTTCTCCCCCTGCCGGAGTTAACATCAGCATCAGCAACCCAAGACATATTTCCAAGCATTCTTGAGATTAGGGGTCAATTTAGATGGACAGAGGCTCCACCCTGCAGAGGTCTGACCTGGCTTCTCTTAGAGGATGAAGGGCTCCAAAGTTGGGCTGGGACACCCTGAGAAATCCCTTAGAAATTCAACTCCCCTGTCCAGAAACACGCAGCCCAAGTGACCCCCAGACATAGTGAAACCAGCTCTGTCTATAAACAAGGGTCTAGCTCTTCTCTGGGCAGGAGGGGTTGATTCCTCCTTATCTGCTGGACCTGCTTTCAGAGGTTGTTTAGATTTCCTCCTGGTGGCAGCCTAGCACATGGGACCCACCCACCACATACCTTCATGGCCATGAGCTCCTGCATAAGCACTGCGTTTTCCAGATCCAGCCTCTGGCTGTCTCCCCGAGGCTTGACGTCATAGCTGAGAGGATCGATGTGGATGCTTTCCAGCTCCAGCATGGTCAGCTTGACCGCAGCCCTGTCATTCTTGAGCTGCTGGATATAATCCTTCAGCCTCTGCTCGTCTTCTTTAGTGAACTCGGTGTCGCAACTACTGGCTGTGGAGCTGGTTGTGCTGAGAAAGAAGAAAAACAAAGACCCACCACCCTGTGTTATTCCAAGTCATGGCAAATAGATCTTTCCTCCTCACTCTTCTCCACATTCCCTCTCCCCAGTGTTATTTAGATGGTAATCCAAAAATCAGTTTTCTTCACAGCATAGGAAAATGATACCACCTTTTAGGAAAGAATTAAGTATGAAGAATAACAAATGCTTACACTCCTTGACGCAACACTGTGGACTCTAGAAATGAATTTCTAAGGAAATAATTCCACAGAAGCAAAAAGATACACATACAAAGGAACATAATCTAAAATACAGTTTAGTGATTTATCACACCTATCAAAAGGAGGGAAATCATGTGGACATTACAGTGATAATTGTAATAAGTGAAATTATAGTGATATCGACAATGGTGGTGATATTTTGAGGACATAGGTTAAAAGATATTATATATGTAATAAAAAAGATACTCATGTGGTCAGAACTTAAAAAAGGTATATTTAAGGCAACAAAAGTTGAAGCACAAAACTCCTATGGCATGATCCACAGATGCGTGTCACACCCTCGCACGTGTACGCAGGTGTCCCAGGCTGTGGCAGCCGTCCCTGCGGAGCAGCACCGAAGGGGGCTGTTTTGCTGTGTTTACTTCTGTTGTTTGCAACATGTACCATGAAAAACACAGGGGTGCACAACACAGCAATAACCACTTTGGGAGTAGGGTACCCCCTGGCCTTCACAGGATAGTCTGAGTATAGTGTTCACTATAGGGACTCGGGCTGGCCCAAGGGCCCTTGGCAGCCCAAGGTGAATGGTGACCAGGCAGGGAGCCCCCAGCTGAACCCCAGGCCTGTGGCAGCCCAGGAAGGTTTCTAGGGGACCAAACCACCATGAAAGGGGGAGCACCACTGGAAAACGGAGGCCACGGCTTTCAAGTGGGCTCTGGCCTTTTCCAGCAGTGGGCAGGCTGCTCCCCGTGCCTCCGAATAAGGCCCACTCCACTCGGTTGAGGACTCTGAGGCCAGTGTGCACCGACAGCAGTTTCTCTGCACTTGCACTGGGCCTCCCTAGGGGTGACTCGCCCCTCATGGAACTGGTCTGAAGATGGCAGAGGAAAAAGCAGAGGCCTACTGACCTTGCATCAAAACAGGCCAGGCTGTGTTGTCATGTCTGTTGCTACAGATTTGGAAAGTGAAGCTCAGAGACATCAAGTGGTCAGCCGAGTCATGCGACTGGAAAGAGGTGCAACTAGACTTGGGCCGCAGCCTCGTCCCACAGCCCTGTCCTTGTCCCCAGAATCCTGTAGCTAGAAGCTATACCAGGGGCCACGAGTGATCTCCACAGGCCGCCAGATGCCACAAACCCAGGCCTGCCCTCCTCATCTCACACTGCAAAAGGGTAAGAGCCAGGACCCCAACTCAGTAGCTGTAGTCCCCACAGCCTAGACATGAGTGAGGGCAGGCCCACTCTTGTACATGACACATTGCTACGAAGACAAGGCTTCCGGGGAGAGAAAAGCTGAAGAGAGATGGTGGCTGGAGCTTTGCTGTTCACAGGAGGAAGAGGCTACCCTAGGGCTTGGGGTGGTCTTCAAGTCAGAGAACCCCTTCTAGAATGGGAAACTCCTGAGCACTAGAAACCCTTTGGGGCTGCGTCTCACTCCCTCTGTACCATCAGGACGGGTGGGAAGTCCCTTGGAGATAAGGTAAGCTAGATCAGCCTGACCATTAAACACCATCTCTTCAGAGGCTATGCCCAGTAAGTTCCCACGTCAGCTGGGCTGGGCTATGTGCGCAGTTGCTTGGTCAACCACCAGATTAGGCATTGCTGCGAAGGTGTTTGTTACATGTGATTACCATTAAAATCAAGAGACTACAGGGAGACTGTTTCCATACAGTGAGTGAACCTCGTCTAATCAGAGAGGCCTTAAGGGGAAAGACAGGTCCCCCAAAAGGGAAAAAATTCTTCCTCCAGACAGCTTTCAGACTCAGGATGGCAACATCAACTCTTCCCTGGGTCTCTAGCCTGACCTGCAGACTTCAGATTTGCCAGCTCCATTATCAAATGGGCCAATTCCTTAAAATAAATCACTGTTTGCGATTTACTAGAATCTATATCAAGAGATCGATCTTGATCTTTCTATCTAGGTATAGATGTCTCCATATAGACCCACCTCCTATTGGTTCTGATTCTCTGCAATGCCCTAAGAGCAAAGTGCTACCTTTACGTGTGACCCAAGCGTCTTACATACTTTGAATATTCCCTGTCTTCTCATCTCTAAAATGAAGGTAATCATAGTACCTGCTTCATAAAGTCAGGGTAAGGAATAAATGAGGTAAAATTAGAAGTGTTTGTAATAGCAAAGACATGGAATCAACCTAAATGCCCATCAGTGGTAGACTAGATAGAGAAAATGTGGCACATATATACCACGAATACTATGTAGCCATAAAAAAAGAATGAGGTCATGTCATTTGCAGAAACATGGATGAAGCGGGAGGCCATTATCCTTAGCAAACTAATGTGGGAACAGAAAACCAAATACCACATGTTCTTACTTATAAGTTGGAGCTAAATGATGAGAACACATGAACACAAAGAGGGGAACAACAAACAATGGGCCTACTTGAGGGTACAGAATAGCAGAAGGGAGAGGATCGGAAAAAATGACTAATGCATACGAAGCTTAATACCTGGGTGACAAAATAATTTATACAACAAACCTCCATGACATGAGTTTACCTATGTAACAACCGTCCACATGTACCCCTGAACTTAAAATAAAAGTAAAAAAAAAATAGAAATGTTTACAACAGTGCCCAGCACATAGTAAGCACTCAATAAATGCAGAAGTCATCATTCATTTATTCAAGAAATATTGGAGTGCCTACTATGGGGTCCTGGAAAAATCCCTGCCCTCAGGGAACTCATATTCTAATAGAGTAGGCCAGGAAGTGAAATACACAGTCCATGAGATGGTGAAAAATGAAGCAGGGAAGAGGCGTGGGGAATGCAGAGTGGGCATGAGGTTATTATTTGTGATTGAGCTGCAGGGAAGGCCTGTGTGATCCAGTGACATCAGGGTGGACCTAAGGGAGGCGAGAGAGGGAGCTACGTGGATGTTTGCAGGACACAGTAAATGCAATCTAGGCAGGGAGTGCGGCCAGCAGAACGAGATGGTGACTGAAGCAGTCAGGCAGGGGAGAGAAAGAAGGAGAAGTGGTCAGAGAGGGAGTGCGTGGGAGGGGCTGGGTGCCAGGTCATGCAGCATTTTATAAGGGCTGTGTCTTTTTCTCTAGGATTAGGATGGAGGCCATTGGGGGTTTTAACAGGGAGGGATGTGGTCTGCTTTATTGTTACAACAGGATCCATCTGGCCTCTAGGATGAGTAGAGATGCAGGGAGGCCAGGGCAGAGGCAGGGGTGCACCTTGGGAGCTACAGCAACAATTCCAGGGAGAGATGGTAGCAGCTTGGAGCAAGGTGGGAGCAGGGAAGGCAGGGAGAAAGATAAAAATGACTACTGATCATCAGCATTATGTTTTCTCAAGCTGTATTTTAAAAATGAGAGGGGAGAAGCAGCAACATCCTGCAGCTGGAACACCACGGGCTATTCCACAGTGAAATGAGGCAGCTCAAGGGAACTGCAAAGAGAGCAAAGCGCGCCCACAGCAGAGGGCACTGAGGACCCCGGCTGTGCATCAGAGGACGCATCCAAAGGACCCTCAGCATCTCAGCGAAGGCCTGTCTGCCTGCAACCTGCTCAGCGGCAGGCATGCCTCGTACAAAACCCCCAAGTAGAGCTCAGGAGCTCACCTTCACAAATCATCAACACTGATGTGGAGGGACAGACATCTAATGTTCCACAGGCGAACGCGCGACAAAATTAGAGCAAACTCAAGTACTGGCACTGTTTGCAAAGCATTCTACAGACAGGGCTGAGGGTGGAGATGTGCTCACAGCCTCGACATGTTTAGACAGCGTGGCGCTGGCAGACAGCAGCACTTCTCTTCCAGTTACTTGGGAGGTTTCAGGAATGAAATCCTTCCTTGTAAACCTGGGACACAGGGTGTGGGGTTTACTTACACCTCTAGTCTTTCCTTTCATTAAAAATTATTTTGAAAACTTTCAAACCTATAGAAAAACAAAGAATAACCAACAGCTGTGCGTCTACCACCCACAAGACACTGAGGTATATTTTCTTCAGACTACTTTTTGGGAAATATAAATTTATACTTGAAACACTTTTTGTTGACTTTCATTTAAAATAAAAATCACAAAATTCAAAGAGTGGTAAAAGCTAGCATTCTCTAATTACCCTGCAGGAACTGAAGTGATACTATTTTGGCAGATTTTCCATTTAGCAGGACTGGTCCACCCCAGCAGTTTTCCAAGAGGGGTCCCGGGCTGGCCGCATCAGCAGCACCTGGGGACTTGTTAGAAATGCACATTCCGGGGCCTGCTGTCAAGACCTCCACAGTCAGGAACTCTGGAGGTGGAGCCCAGCAATCTGTGTTTTAATATACCCTCTAGGTGACTCTGATGCACGCTTAGGTGTGAGAAGCACTGGTCTCCCCCTCAGGCTAAGTGGGCATTTGCTCAGGAGCCTGTGAGGTGACTGGATGCTCCTAGGTTTTCTAGGTAGAGGCCACAATGCTCCTGGCTGCCCTGGTGGGTGTCAGGGTCTACGAGCAGGTCTCTGATGTCAGTCAAACCTGGATAAATGTTCCTCCTCTGCCACTTCCTTGCTTTATGGCCCAGAGTAAATTACCCAATGTTTCTGGGCTGCAGGAAATAGGAATACTAAGGGTTCCTGCCTCACTAAGTTGTGGAAAGGATACGGCAGGCCCTGAAGCAGGCAGCTGGTGCTGCCACACAGCACCTGTCCTGTGGGAGTAAGAGAGAAGGTGGCCACTTTCCTGATGGCTTTGCCAACAGCCCCACAACACCTAACACCAGACTCAGAGATGCCCTGAGCTATTGGCCACCAGCAGGTCATCCAGAATCCCTCCATCCCAGGGAGAACGAAAGCTGCCAGTGGTTGAATGGACTTGAGAAATCACCTAGCCCTAACACGAACGCAGGCAGGCAGAGACTGACAGGCGCTGCCACCCTTAGGGCCCGGAGCCTCATCCATGGCAGGCAGGGAAGGCTTTTGTTTCACCCACCTTGCTATGAGTATAGTTTTCAAAGAGGAAGGAAATAAAAAAAAAAAATAACAAAAGATCTCAGTCCACAGATCTTACCCTGTTGGAAGCACAGAGCTTTAAAATGCTTTTAGTGGAGAAAGTTTAATTTCAAGATAAACCTCACAGCCCCTCCGGCTTCCCTTCTCCTGCTTCCAGGACAGCAGCGGGGAACAGATCAGGCGAGGTTAATTACAATTCTGCTTTGAGCTCTTAACGTTTCACTGCGGAATATGATTATGACAATGGTAGGGGAGGGGAAGCCACTGGCCTTTTCTCTGGCCTCACAGACAAAGGCGCTGGCGGTCTCCCAAGGGCCTGCTGCTGGCTGCTGGGCAAGGGTTAAGTCATCCATTAATTCTCCCAGCTTGGAATGCTGGATGATCTCAGTTGTCAAGGGGGAATCAATCACTTTCTGTGGCTGCATTATTCCTCCTCTCCAGAACAGGAGCCTGTCTGTGTTCTCTGAGAGCGACTGTGGGGGAAGGCTAATGACAAAAACCCTCGCCACACATGTGTGTCTTGCTCTGGCTTCTTGAGGAGCTAGTCTAGGATGTGTGGGTTTCTCCTTTCCGTGATGCTCTGCTGGAGCTCCCGTCACGCTGGCTTTCCTCTGCATCTGTTCATTGCCAGCAGCTCTTCCAGCACAAAGCATACACAGCAGGCCTGTAGCCTGGTGGGAATGCGGGGCTGGCTGGTTCGGGACGGTTCGGGCCGACCCACTCTCCACCTACCCTGTCCACTATAGGAGAAGCTGTTCAAACCAGCTATCGACGTCAAATATCCTCTCTTCTATCCCTCTCCACCATGCCCCACCTCTGTCCTCAAGACAGTCCCCCAGCCTGCTCATTAGAAGAAAAATTCATTTTTCATAGCCTCCTCAGCTTGCCTTGGTGGAAGGCTAGAAGGACATTTCATTTCTTTTGCCTTGAAAATCCGTGATGACATTTTCCTGAAGTTTTCATCAACATCTTACCTGGCCCTAGCTGAGATCTCATTTCCATCAAGGAGCAGCTCTTTTTGTTTGTTTGTTTGTTTGTTTGTTTGAGACAGAGTCTCACTCTGTTGCCCACACTGGAGTGCAATAGCATGATTTGGCTCACCACAGCCTCCGCCTCCTGGGTTCAAGCAATTCTCCTGCCTCAGCCTCCTGAGTAGCTGGGACTACAGGCATGTACCACCATGCCTGGCTAAATTTTGTATTTTTAATAGCAACAGGATTTCACTATGTTGTCCAGGGTGGTCTCAAACTCCTGACCTCATGATCTGCCCGCCTCAGCCTCCCAAAGTGCTGGGATTACAGGTGTGAGTCACTGCGCCCGGCCTAGCAGCTCATTTTTAGAAGGAAAGTGCCCTGGGGGTGGGCATCTGTTTTGCTGAGCATTTGAAATTTATCTGAATGAGTGGGGTCAGTCCAATGTCCTTTCCAGTGAGAGTCCTAGAATGGAGAACTTTACCATCCTATGCATTTTGCAATGCTGGCATTTTAATTGCTTAGTTTTACAACAAACATACAGTTCTTTTGAAATCAAGAAGTTAGATCTCACTAGAAAAAAAACCATAAAAAGCATTCCATGTCTATACCTTGTTCTCATAGAACCTAAAAGGTAAGTGATGAGGACATTTGAGCAGGAGGACTGATCATAATGCTGTCATGTCAAGGATGTGTCGGGGCTGGTCTCTAGAGCTCACTAACACCAGTAAGCGTTTGTCTCAAGGACTTTGGATAGACTCTCCTGACACACAGATGGAAAAGCACCTCTCCTCAGTAAAGATGACTGTTTCAGCCAGATCTAGTCTGACTCTCATTCCCTGAAGCTTACTGATGCCTGTTCTAACTAGGTGGCTGTTTCAAAAAATTCACCCTTTCAATGGACATGATTTCACTCTCCTCAACCATTTTTTCTGCCCCAATGAAACTTTACCTTAATCCAGACTAGTTCAAAGAGTGAGAGCTAGGCATCTCTTGAGCTCTGCTGCTGTCCAGTCCAACTTGGGGATTACACCCCAGAGTGAGTGGCCACACAGGCAGCACCCTGGCTACCTGGAGGTACCTAGAGGCTCACGGCAAGGCTGCAACCACCATTCTCACAGCTCTCCAGGGTCCCCACCTGGTGCTGAGACAAGGGACTCAATTTCAGTCTCTGAGAGTACAGACTTGCTGTGGCCGATCCTGTCTTGGCCACAGTTCCTTTGTGGATTGAGATCGATGACTACGCTGCACAGAAGGAGCTGAACTGTGAGGCCTGCCACAGAGGGTGGGCTTGACCAAGGATTCCTATTTCCACTTCCTAACATTTTAGTCCTTGTGCCTCTTTGTCATGATATGTTGATAAAGCCATCCAGGCAATCAACCTAGTCACTCTGTCCATAAGACTATTATACTTTCTGATGAGGCCATGGCTATATTTTTCAAAAATGAAGTGGCACCGACCCTGGGCACCTGCCAACAGTCAACTGAGGGTTGGCTATCACTTTTATTCTCCTTGCTGGTTAACTACCCCTCTGCTGCTCCTCTCTAAAACCATTAACCCTCCTGTCGTTAGGAGCTGCCTATGGGCTGCCAGAAATGCCGCTGGAGGCACAATACTCAGCGTTTCTTTCCTGAACCCTTGAGGGGCAGTTGATGGACACTCTGATTAGACCTCTTGAAGCTGGGTGGTTACAGCGGGGGGAAAGGAGATTTGCTGGGCCACATAAAGCTCCAACTCAGAAAGATCCTTTTCTTTATTTTCATAAACTTGACAAGGGGGAATGTCTGAGCCAGAATGGCAAGATTTACAAACAAAATTACTATAATTATCATAATTATGAAAGGGGTCTGGTGCTTTGGGACTTTATTCTAAACCCACGTTTAACATAAAGCAGTCTAATTGCATCAGGTTCTAAGAATGTGGAGTGACAAATGAATGCCTCGTGTGTGGTTCTTCCATCCTCGGAGCTGCTCTGATTTGGGCGGGAGGGTAAAAGTGATTTTTTAAGGAGAATTGGGTGACATTGGAGCTAAAGACCTCTGTACTTTGATGGGAAGATCCATTTGAGACTGAAATTAATTTAAGAACCATTCTTTGGTGAGGTTATCCTTGGAAACAATGACTCTGTGTTTTGAATTTATCTCAATCTGCAGAAAAACAGGATCCCAAATTAAATTTCTCTAAGAAAACAGTCTCAAAATCAAGGCTAACCTGTAAGTTCAAGTACTTCTAACAAATATTCAAAAGCTAAATAGATGGTGATAAAATTGTTCTCCCTCCTGACTGGTTCTAAATTTGTCTCTGATTCAGAATAAAACCACAACATTCTTTTTGGGGGTAGGGAGGTTTGAGCAAATGATCCGTAGCACAAACCTCATAAGCTACTGAAACAGCACACATTTCCTGTCAAGCAAACTCTTATGTTCACTAATAAAACAACACAGCATCACTGACAACATGAGAACTACATTTCTATACTAAATAAACACACAAATTATAGATTATACACATCTGGAAGAGTCATTAAGAAGAGCATCTGCTTTCTGTGTTTACACAGTAGAATATGGTTTTATGAAAAAAATTATAATCTGTGCTTCACTGAATGAGACAATTGTTGCTGAAGTAAAGAAGAATCAAGTCCCTTTTGTTTGTGGGCACCTGGCTGAGTGCATTACTGGGCATGTTCCCTCTCCTGGGACACCTGGGCCAGTAGAGGTAAATGGAAGCGCTAAGGTAGATGGCGGGTCCCACCAGGGGAGAAAGAGAGAGGGGAACATTAAGTTGCTTTCCAGCACCAAGAAAGCATCAGTATTTCTCCTCTGGCTCTCAACAGTCAATCTATCTTTATGCAGTTCTGGTCACTTAGTCTGCAAGTAGACACTGTTTTGTTATGTCATGAGATCCAATGTGGGAAGAACAATATGCTCGATGCTAAGATCCCGGGTTCCCATCCAGGTTTCCCTCTTATCACCAGGCAGGTCACTGACATTATCTCTGAGCCAAGGTTTCCTAACCTGTGAAAATGGAGTAAGTTACCCTTCCAAGTCTTTCACGATTTGGCAATTAAGTAAGAATCTCTAACAAAGTGTCTTCTAAACTGAGGACTGGTAAATAAAGGGAAGGCATTCGTGTTTTTAGGGCTTTGGTGGCAAGAAATGAGAAGGTAAGTAGAAAGGGTTTTGTTCTGACTCTCCACTCCCATCCAAAGAATGAAATGACTTCAGCAAATTATGCTCTGCAAGGTCTTCGCCGCTCTCTTCCTAGCTTCCTTTTTCAAGCACCCACTTTAATTTCCTAGATTCACAGACAGTGAACTTGACCTCAGGTTCATGACTGAGTGCCTGTAAGCATGTGCTGTGAATGTGGCATCATTCCATGAGGCAAAAGAGATGAGAGGAGAGGCTCTTGCCTGAGAAGAGCTTATAGACGATGGAGGCACAAGAAGACAGGAGAGTGATGTCTGGAACTAGGATGAGCTGGGCTGGGCCTTGGGACCAGAGGGACCATTTGGAGCAAACGGCTCTTGGCTACCCTAAGTGCTTCCTGGAAATGAAGACTTATAAAGAAATGGAGAACAGAACAATGCAGAGAAAATGGATCTGACAGAAAGGTAGGTTTGCATTCCATCTCTACCACTTTCCACAGCAAATCTCTCCAATCTCGACTGCAGTTTCCACATTGGCAAAGTGAGAGGGCCACTTTCTAGCTCTTCTGTTCTGATCTTCTGACTCCTTTTTGGATGGAGCAGGCTGCATGCCAGAAGCCATGTCTGCCTTTTCCCAAGCCACACAGTCCCCAAGAGCTGGGTCACTGCACACCAAGTCCAGTGAACAGATGCCATGTGGACACACGCCCACCCCAGAGCAGAAGGCTGAGCATTACCTGGTGTGGCTGTTGGAGGAAAGGCTCTCCCAGGGCTGCACGCTGCAGCCGGCCACGGCAAAGGCTCCCCCACAGCTGCCGTCCAGCTTCATGAGCAGGGCCTTGGCAGCGTTCTCAGCTGTCTTCCGGCAGTCATGAGCTCGCTTGAGCATCTGAGTGATGTTTTCATCCCCCGACTGGTCTCCTATGTGGCAGAGAAGCCAACGGATTAATCAACATAGGCCTGGACAAGGCACGCCTGGGAGGGACTATGCATAATTAACTCTGTTACTTAGGGCAGAGGTGGCACTGTGGAAGGGAATTGGCAGTGCCCAGCCGAAGAGAAGATCTGTGTTCTGGGCCTGGCACTATCACTTAGACGCTACATGTGGGAAGGTATTTCTCTGCTCTTTCTCTGGGCTCCACTGGCCTCAGGGACAAGTGTAGGAGTTAACCAATGGGATCACCACATTTCTGTTTCCAGCTCTAACACGCTCTGATTTTTCTAATGATCCAGGCTCCTGGCTTCTCCTCCCATTCAGCCACAAGTCTACCATTTGGCCATTCCTCTGTGCATTGGCACTTCCCTGTGAATGAGGGAGGGAGAAACTAGGGCAAAACTGTGCCATCTTTCCACATGTCTACAGCTTTGGTTAGAGCCCTGTGTGGGGGCAAGAGAGACAAAACTAATGGTTCAGACGAGAGCTTTAGATTGGCTCTGTATTATAGGTACCGATGCCACCCCTGACCCTTCTCTTGGCTTGGTAATCGGCGTGAACTCAAATGCCTCCAGGAGCCAGGTAAGTGGGCTAGTGCAGAACATCAGGGTGTGGTGGGCACTCGCACAGACCAGGCAGTGAAGTCCCTGCCCAAAATGTTCACATTCCTATTGTGATTTAAGACTGTGCTGGAAAAGACAGAACTATAGAGATATTGAAAAGATCATGGGTGGCTGAGCTGAGGTGGGAGGACTGCTTGAACTTAGGAGTTCAAATACAGCCTGGGTAACAGAGCAAGACCCTGTCTCCAAAACAACAACAAGAACAACAGCAACAGCAATGGTTGCCAGGGGATGGGGTTGGGGGAGGAATGAATAGGTGGAGCCAGAGAACTTTTGGGGCAGTGAAGCTACTCTGTATGATACTGTAACCGTGGACTCAAGTTGTTATACATTGGCCCAAACCCATAGAATGTACAGCACCAAGAATGAACTCTGATGTAAACTATGGGCTCTGGGTGATGATGTGTCACTGTAGGTTCATCACTTGTAACTAATATACTACCCTGGTGGGGGACGCTGAAAACGGGGGAGGCCGTGCATGTTGAGGGTTGGAGGCATATGGGAAATCTCTGTGCCTTCCTCTCAGTTTTGCTGTGAACCTAAAACTGCTCTAAAAAAACAAAGCCTTAAAAAAATAAAACAAAACAAAACAGAAACTGTGCTGGCTGAACAAATCACTGGTTTGCTACCTGTACAGCACAGATCCATGCTTTTCCAAATATTTTTAAATGAAATCTTACACCAAATCATAGAAAATGCTATCCTAACATACAAAAAAGGTAAATGCGGAATTGGATGAAGTGGGCAGAAGTGGGAGACACACTCAGAGTCCCACCCTCCAACCCCACTGCCGAGGCCCAGAGAAACTCCTCCAGCTTCCCAGACCAGTTTGAAAACCACTAGCCTAAAGCACCTGTGAATGAAAGAATGAACAGAATGAATGCCTGTGACATCAACAAGAAACAAAGAAAAGACCCACAATCATAGATACTGTGGGTGCATGTCACAAATGAGTTCCTGCTTTGCTGTGCAACAGCTCTATGGCATGATGGGTGGCATGATGGCACAGTATGATGGGCCAGCCACTCCTGTCAGCGGAATGCAAGGGCGAGGCTTAATGGGGAACTGCTAAAAATCAAGCCTGCCCTCAGTACTATGGAGAGTGGGCAGGAAATGGGGTGGACCCATTCTGCAGGCCAAAAATCCCTGGAACTCCCTCCTGTCATTTCTCTGACAAACTTCATGCCTCTCTTCTCTCCACAAATAAGACATTTTACATACATCTCACCACTGACTGCTATTTGGAATTAGGCATGACATTACTTACTGGCTCATATTATAAATGTATACATGAACTTCCCAGTATTAGGTAAATACAAAGCATTTCATTATTGATTTTGAATATTTAAAAGGCAGATTTATTTAAGCTCTTTCAGCTCCTACACCAAATAACTGCACTGAGTAGGTACATGCCTAATGAAAGGTACCTTGTGAGGCCTGAACAGGTTAAGACACTCCGCTGATAACCAACTGGAAATACGATTGACTTTTTCCTTTAATTTATCATTTTTCTTAATACGTATATTAATTTAAAAAAATCCTGACAGCAGGCCAAGATCATTTTAGGATCTGTTTCATATGAGAAATAAAGTTTTATGGTTCAGTTAAAAGACCCTGAAAAATGAGGTTTCTAATGGAAATGCTGGCAGAGTTTCTACTTCTGGGCTGGGCTGGTAATACTATTTAAAAAAAACCAGAGGGAGGATCAGAGCATCACTCTCCATACAAATGAAGGTGTGCTCCTTTGTTGGATTACTTGGATATGAAGCAGGAAATTAACACCCAGGATACCTTCCTTCCTTCACTTTTGCTTCAGATTCCTGTGCAAGTCGAAACTGAAGGAGGAAACACATGTGAGTGTTCAGTGCAAAAGTGAGCCCCCAGACAAAGGGGGAGGAGCGGGGAAGAAGGACAGGAAGGTGCATTCAGAAGGTGCCTGGATGGTGACTTTCTTTGAAGGGTGTGTCCTGGATGGACAAGTCCTAATGGAAGCTCACAGCAGAAATCCAGTCCATGACAGAGGCCTGGCTACCACACATGGGAATGCCTGGCCTGCCCACACCATCCATCTTTGGCTCTGGAGAGACCTGGTCACCTTGGCTTTCTGTTTACTTGCTATTGCCTCTCCGAAGGCTAAGGGGGTGTCCGGGGCTTAGTTCTGCATGGAGAGACGGCCACCTTTCTCCTTGGGTCTCTCTTTCCTCTTAGCACTGTTTCTACTGCAGTCCTCCCCACATCACTGCAGGCTCGGAGCCACAATCACTGGCCACGTTTTAGCAAATGCTGCCGCTTCCTAGAATGACATGCTTGTGTCCAATTAGATACTCCTTCCACCTTACTCAAAATTGAGGGACAGAAGTGAGCAGGCAGTGCAGATCTCGAGGTACAGGTCAGGCCAACAGGGCACAGGATCCCCGGGCTGGGGGAAGGACAGGCACAGGAAAGCGAGGTGGGCGAGCATTCTGTGATGCTGACAAGAGCAGGGGGTGAAACTACTTCTTCTTTGTTCGTAAGACACCTGGAGACCTGGCAGGGGAAACCCATGTTTCAAAACTACTCAAAAGCCGGGCGCAGTGGCTCACGCATGTAATCCCAGCACTTTGAGGCAGGTGGATCACCTGAGGTCAGGAGTTCAAGACCAGGCTGACCAACATGGTGAAACTGTCTCCACTAAAAATACAAAATTAGCCAGGCGTGGTGGCATGTGCCTGTAATCCCAGCTACTTGGGAGGCTGAGGCAGGAGGATGCTTGAACCTAGGAGGTGGAGGTTGCAGTGAGCCAAGATTGCACCATTGCACTCCAGCCTGGGCAACAAGAGCAAAACTCCATCTCAAAACAAACAAACAAAAAAAACAACTACTACTCAAAGAGGTAAACTTGGAGAAGCTCAGCCAATGGAACGAGATGAAGTGAAGGCCATGTGGCGGCAGCATGTGCCTTGACAACAGGCATCAGAGAGACAGCTGCAGAAACGCTGGCCCCTTTCATCGCTGATGCGGCCTCAGCTCCATCTGGCCCCACTGTCAGCCCAGGAGAATGCAGCTCCTAAGAAGTCTTGTTTGTTTTAACTTGTCTGTTATTCTGTTTCCACTCCAGTTCTTGCTGCATTCAACATAAACAATTTACCCATTCAGTCATGAGGAAAAACGAAAAACACACTTGACAACCAAATTTTGTGTTGTCGGGAGATGATTCAATGCCAGTTGCTGAGACAGGGGCAGAAGCAAAGGAGGCAGGGAGACAAGAGGAGGAAGAGGGACTCTGGAGACACTTACCAGGGGAGGACCCCACGCCCGCCGCTCGGAACTGCCCCAGGATGAGGCTCTGCTCACTCTCTGCCAGCGCCAGGAGGAGTTCGTAGGCTTCGATGCACTGCTCGCTGAAACAAAGCACATGGGGCCTCAGCCCTTGCAGAGAACAGCGGACACCTTCAATGTGGCGCCGGTTTCTGTGCAGGAGGCAGCTCAGGTGCTGTCTCGGCCTCACTCTCCACACAGGCAAGGAAACCACCCATGAATATTCCCAGGGCAGGGCCAGTGGCTTGCTCTTTCATTTGGCCTTTTTATTTTTAAACCTTTAACTTGGTTCTGGAAAAATACAAGAGAAACAATAAAGGTGGGAGAGGCAAATGTGTCGTCCCTTCAGTGACCACCTGAAAGGACCATGTGATTCCCTTGTGGTAGGCCACTCCAGGTAGTCCCGCTGAGCCGGCACCCTGGTGTCCACACCCTTGTGCTGTCCCCCATCTGCACTGTACCAGGGTTGGTCTGTGTGACAGAAGTGACAGTAGGTCATTTCCAAAATTAGCTTACTAAAAAACCCTGACTTCCATCTTGGTCACTCTCTCTCACTTCACTATCTTGGACCATCCTCCCCGGAGCAGGCCAGCTGTCGTGTCTTCAAGATTCTCAGGCAGCCCTATGGAGAGGTCCACATGGTGAGTAATGACTAAGGCCTCCAGCCAACAGCCAGGTGAGTGAGCCTTCTTAGAGCAGATCCTCCAATCCCCCACTGAGGTCTCAGATGATACAGCCCTGGCTGACAGCTTGACCAGAATCTCACAAGAGACCCTGAACCAGAACCACCTACTAAGCCACCCCCAGGTTCCTGATCCTTGAAACTGTGATGCAGTAAGTGATTAGTCATACAACAATAGGTAGCTGATATAACATCCCACAAGGAGATGATTTTGACCTAGACCTGCACTATTCAATATAGTATCTACTAGCCACAAATAGCTACTTAAATTGAAAATATTCTGAGTTAAATAAAATGAAAAAGTCCATTCCTCCATTGCAGTAGCCATACTTCATATGTTCAATAGCCATACATGGCCAGTGGTTACCATATTGGGCAGTGCATGTAGAGAACAGTTCCACCATCACAGAAAAGTTCTATTAGATTCTCATAAAACTAAGTGCTTAAAATGTCTCATGAAACATTCTTAGGCCTTCACAAAAGCTCTGACAAGAGTTTGAGTTTGGATTTCTAGGAGGAGGAAACATAGTCACTCTTCTTTGTGCCCAACATTCATTGGGCAAACAAGGTAAAATATCAAACAACAGTCCCTTTCCTGTAGCGTGAGACCCACGTGGCCCACGTCCACACAAGAGGAGGTGGAACATGTGTACAGCATCCTCAGGGTCCCAGATAATATGCCTGCAGTAGGAACATTTCCTCTTTAAGAAAGTAACTGTCTAGCTTCTTCAAGCTGAACAGGGGATATGTTGCTTCATTTAGTCAACAGACAATTTCCTTTGATTGCCTTTCTTTTTTTTCTTTGAGACGGAGTCTCGCTCTGTCGCCCAGGCTGGAGTGCAGTGGCACGATCTCAGCTCACTGCAAGCTCCGCCTCCCAGGTTCACGCCATTATCCTGCCTCAGCCTCCCGCCTCAGCCTCCTGAGTAGCTGGGACTACAGGCGTCCACCACCATGCCTGGCTAACTTTTTTTTTTGTATTTTTAGTAGCGACGGGGTTTCACTGTGTTAGCCAGGATGATCTTGATCTCCTGACCTCGTGATCCGCCCGCCTCGGCCTCCTAAAATGCTGGGATTCCAGGCGTGAGCCACCGCGCCCAGCGTCAATTGACTTTATTTTCATTGTCCTTTACTAAGAGTTAAGACAAAGGGCTGAAATGCTAGCCCTAGGTGATACCAGCTCCTCGTTTCAAAGGCAGTTCATATTCCAGAGATGTGAGGACATTTCCTTATCCATGAGGTTGTACTAATGTGGAGAAAGACCTTTCTGCTCAAAGGCAGATTGTGGGTGGACAGCAACCAGCTTCAACGGTTATCACAGATGGATTATCTGCTTGCTTTGCTGTCTGTAAACCAGAATGATTGCTCTCTAGCTTTGGTCTCATTCATTTTGCTTTGATAATTTCCTGAATAAACAAGAATGTTTCTTAAACAATACCGAACTTTTTAGAGGATGCTAAGTGTACGATACAGTCAACTACTCTGAGGCCTTGGCAAATACACTTAAGTGGTAACACTAATAAAAGAAACCTATGATGATAATAATAAGGCATAGTTTTGCAGCTTTAAACAAGCAGTAATTTAAAAACAGATAAATTTCAAAGTGATGAGGCAGAAAAAAAAAAGTGGCCCATTCAAATTACCACTTGCTCACCAATGAGTGAACTGTAGTTATTTAAATTGACTTGTTTTCATGACAAAAAATCAGCAGCATGCCTGAAGACCAGGAAAATATTCATATCCTTTGACCTACAATTCCTGCTTTGGGATTTTATCCAGAGGAAAATATTCAAAAGAATGAAGATCTTATCTGCATTAAATTATTCATCATAGAATTATTTTTAATATCAAAAGTCTAAATGTCTTTTAGAAAAGTGAATAAATTAACAATATAAAAACTTGTTGGAGGGGTTACAGCCATTCAGAATAGAGACTATTAAAAGCAACATTTTAAGACTACAACAAAATGAAGAACTAGAATGCACTAGATTTATAACAATGTAAATTACATATGAACATGAATAAAGATCTGCAAGAAGAAATGAACATGTAACATGCCAAAAAAATCGATATTTTGAGTGATAGTACCTAAATGAAATGATATTTAAGATGAATATGCTAGGAGAAATATACCTGTTTACTAACATCATATTCATTACTCTTAGCTATTTGCTGTCCAAACCGCCAGATATGCCTTGGTCCAAACTGCCAGATATGCCTTCTAAAAGCCTATTTCCTACTTTTATTCTGAAGGTTACTCTGGATGCACTTCTACCCTGAAGTAGCTCCAAACATCCCAGTGTGTGCCTACCTGTACTGCAAGGCCAGCCTCAGCGCTGTGGCATTGGATTCGTATTTTCCCACCAGCATGCTCATCCTCTCGGCATTGCTTTTACATTCCTCCAAGGTTATGGTCAGGAGGTCATTTTGGGATTTGAGGTGCTCAATCCGGCTACAAAGGAACAAAAATCAGATTCACACTAGGGTTACAGTTAATTTGCCAATATTTCAGTTGTCTCATTTATATTCAGGGCAGAAAAGCATGTGAGGATGTGGGCCTGTCAGATTAGTAGCTGACACAGTATTTTGTCAAAGAAGCAACTCTACATAAAAGTATCACCAAACTCTGTGTGAATTACAAATAAAAAATAAGCCCCCTGGTTAAAAATAAGCCCCCCAGCCATTGCCACACTCACTCCATGTCTATCATGAGCAGGGCACAGTGCTAGGCTCTGGAGATATTCCAAGGAAAGGAGACAGTTGTGCAACCTCCAGGCCGCCATCATGTGGAACGTCTGGTGGGCTTAGATAAGTCACCCTCCACATGCAAGGATGAAAAGCAGCAAGACAGCAGTCATGGCTATTTGTTAAGCCTTTGCTTTAGTGATTCTCCTAGCAGCCTTTTGAATTAAGTGTTGTTACTCCCATTTCAGATGAGGAAATGGAGGTCCAGAAACATTAAGTATCTTGCCCTGGGATTTGAACCGGGAAGTGTGACCCCAAATCCCATCCTCATAATCACAAACTACAGAGAGAACCAAAGGAAGAATCAGTGAGTGAACAGGAAACTTCCCCTGGTGGCCTTTAAGTGGGAAATGGACGAGGAGCTATGGATTGTACCCAAAGCTGCTTTTGGGTTACACAGTCTAGCAGCTCTAACTAGTGGTAGGATAAGCATTGGGAACTTGAAGTTTTACAAGATTCAGAACTGTAGATTCAGGGCAAATGAGTCTGTGGCAAAGTTAGCAAACAAATGAATAATATGATCCTTCAGCTTCTCCGTTTTCCATCTCAGGGTACAGATGCTCTTGATGCCACAAGTCATTTTCCATGGACACATCTATTTGTAGTACTCTGACCACTAACTCTTAAAGAGAAAGCTTCACACAAACAAACTGCAAGTGACTTGAAATGTTAAGGGGTTTGGAAGCCATTAGCTTCAAGGAAAAATCTTAGACTCAAGCCTTAGAGCAGAATATGGAGACACTTGCCAACATGGGAGACATCTGGTGAGTGTAGAAGAACTAAGATCACTGCCAGGCTCTGGCCATTCCAAGGTCACTTCAAGGTAAGGTGCCACAAGAATGCTTTTCTGCCCCTGTTCACATTAAGACTTCTTGAAAAGAGTCACCATTCTCTCACTTTTCAACTTGCTCCAGTCTACAGTCTGTCCCGGCTAATTAGATAAAGCCTTTACCCAACTCATAGACCTCCATGTAGCCAAGCCCATCTCAGGGCCCTTCTCAGACAACACCCCACTGATCTGTTACTCTTTCCTTCTTAAAGAGCTCCCCTCACTTAAGCCATGGTGGGTCTCTGCTGGTTTTCTTCCTGCCCTAGCGGCTATTTCCTCTCAGTCTCCTTTGCTAGATGCTCATTCTCTATAAAATTAGTAAGGCTTGCCATTCTCTTGGGGCTGTCCCGGGGTCCCCTCTGCTATCAACACTCCCACCCTAGGGGTGATTTCTATCCAGTCCCATGATGTTATTAGGCAGGTATGCTCCGCTGGCTCACAACTTTCTCTAGCCCAGCGCTTTCTTCTGAGGGCCAGGCTCACATATCCAGCTGCCTTCCTGACATTTCCTTTTGCTGTCACATTGCCACCTCTAGTTTAACATTCCAAAGTGGGATTCTTGATTTCCCCTGAACCTCATCCTCCCTTATCTTCTCCATCTCAGTAAATGCCACCACCGTCTACCCAACACTACATGCTAGACCAAGCTTGTCCAACCTGTGGGCTGCATGGGGCCCAACACAAATTTGTAAACTTTCTTGAAACATTACGAGATATTTTTGCAATTTTTTTTTTTTTCAGTTCATCAGCTGTCATTTGTGTTAGTGTATTTTATGTTTGGCCCGAGACATTGCTCTTCTTCCAGTGTGGCCCAGGAAGCCAAAAGATTGGACACCCCTGCACTAGACCCCTGAGGATCTTTTTTGAGACCATTCCTTTCTCTTATTCAAGTGCAACCCAGCTGCAGTTTCCACTGCTTTCAGCACCACACATGGCGTGCGTGAGGCCCCTGGCCCCATCCTGCCAGAGCTGCCCTGGCATACCACAAAGATTGTGCTGCTTCCACTCTTATCCCATCCTTCCCATTCTCCACACCCAGGTAAGCTTCCATAATGTCAATCAGATCTTGTTTTTCCACATTCGAAAACCCTTTAATGACTTCTAATTACACTTCGAATAAAGAGTAAAATTTGTCCGTGGCATCAAAATCCACAGCTGAGCCAGCCCCTGCTCTGCCACCTCGTCTCATGTAGCTTCTTCCCCTTACTCCATTTCAGTTCCGCTGGCCTTTGGACAATTCCTCTTTCAGGCCTCATGGTTGTTAAGTGGCCATAAGAATATCAGTTCGCCATATGGCTGCTTTTTTTTTTTTTTCTTTTAAATCCATCTCAATGTAAGCCTCCCATCTTCAGATGCCTGCCCTGACTACCCACCGAAAAATTAACCTTCTCTGGGGTCCCACGCCCACGGAGCTTCGCTCACTGCTAGCACAGCAGTCTGAGATCAAACTGCAAGGCCACAGCGAGGTTGGGGGACGGGCGTCCGCCACTGCTGAGGGTTGAGTAGGTAAACAAAGTGGCTGGGAAGCTCAAACTGGGTGGAGCCCACCGCAGTTCAAGGAGACCTGCCTGCCTCTGTAGACTCCACCGCTGGGGGCAGGGCATAGCTGAACAAAAGGCAGCAGACAACTTCTGCAGACTTAAAAGTCCCTGTCTGACAGCTATGAAGAGAGCAGTGGTTCTCCCACCATGCAGTTTGAGCTCTGAGAATGGATAGACTGCCTCCTCAAGTGGGTCCCTGACCCCTGAGTAGCCTAACTGGGAGACACCTCCCAGTAGGGGCCGACTGACACCTCATACAGCTGGGTGCCCCTTTGATACGAAGCTTCCAGAGGAAGGATCAGGCAGCAACATCTGCCGTTCTGCAGTATTTGCTGTTCTGCAGCCTCCGCTGGTGATACCCACACAAACAGGGTCTGGAGTGGACCTCCAGCAAACTCCAACAGACCTGCAGCTGAGGGTCCTGACTATTAGAAGGAAAACTAACAAACAGAAAGGACATCCACACCAAAACCCCATCTGTACATCACCATCATCAATGACCAAAGGTAGATAAAACCACAAAGATGGGGAGAAACCAGAGCAGAAAAGCTGAAAATTCTAAAAATCAGAGTGCCTCTTCTCCTCCAAAGGAAGACAGCTCCTCGCCAGCAATGGAACAAAGCTGGACAGAGAATGACTTTGATGAGTTGATAGAAGAAGGCTTCAGACGATAGATAATAACAAACTTCTCCAAGCTAAAGGAGGATGTTCGAGCCCATTGCAAAGAAGCTAAAAACCTTGAAAAAAGATTAGACAAATGGCTAACTAGAATAAACAGTGTAGACAAGTCCTTAAATGACCTGAAGGAGCTGAAAACCACGGCACAAGAACTACATGATGCATGCAAAAGCTTCAGTAGCTGATTTGATCAAGTGGAAGAAAGCGTATCAGGGATTGAAGATCATATGAATGAAATGAAGTGAGAAGAGAAGTTTAGAGAAAAATGAGTAAAAAGAAATGAACAAAGCCTCCAAGAAATAAGGGACTGAGAGGTGACAAAGTGCTAGCAGCCCTTGCTTGCTCTTGGCACCTCGTCGGCCTCGGTGTCTGCTCTGGCCATGCTCAAGGAGCGCTTCAGCCCACCACTGCACTGTGGGGGCCCCTCTCTGGGGTGGCTGAGGCCAGAGCCAGCTCCCTCTGCTTGATGGGAAGTGTGGAGGGAGAGGTGCGTGGCACTCGTGGGCCAGCACGAGTTCCAGCTCAGCATGGGCTCACCAGGCCCCGCACTTGGAGCAGCCGGCTGGTGCCACTGGCCCTGGGCAGTGAGGGGCTTAGCACCCGGGCCAGCAGCTGTGGAGGGTGCACCGGGTACCACAGCACTTCCGGCCCGCTCGCGCCACGCTCGAATTCTCACTGGGCCTCAGCTGCCTCCCCGCGGAGCAGGGCTTGGGACCTGCAGCCTACCATGCCCGAGCCCCCCTCACCCCCTGTGGGTTCCCGTGCATCCCAAGCCTCCCCGATGGGTGCCGCCCCCTGCTCTGAGGTGCCCAGTCCCATCGACCGCCCAAGGGCTGAGGAGTGTGGGTGCATGGCACGGGACTGGCGGGCAGCTCCGCCAGCGGTCCCAGCGCAGGATCCACTAGGTGAAGCCAGCTGGGCTCTTGAGTCGGGTGGGGTCTTGGAGAACTTTTAAGTCTAGCTGGAGGATTGTAATTGCACCAATCAGCACTCTGTGTCTAGCTCAAGGTTTGTAAATGCACCAGTCAGCACCCTGTCAAAACAGACCAATCACCTCTCTGTAAAACAGACCAATCAGCTCTCTGTAAAATGGACCAATCAGCAGGATGTGGGTGGGACGAGATAAGGGAATAAAAGCAGGCTGCCCGAGCCAGCAGCAGCAACCCGCTCGGGTGCCCTTCCATGCTGTGGAAGCTTTGTTCTCTTGCTCTTCACAATAAATCTTGCTGCTGCTCACTCTTTGGGTCCGCGCCACCTTTAAGAGCTGTAACACTCAACGTGAAGGTCTGCAGCTTCACTCCTGAAGCCAGTGAGTCCACGATACCACCAGAAGGAACCAACAACTCCAGATGCGCCCCCTTTAAGAGCTGTAACTCACTGTGAAGGTCTGCAGCTTCAGTCTTGAAGCCAGCGAGACCACAAACCCACCAGAAGGAAGAAACTCCGGACACGTCTGAACATCAGAAGGAACAAACTCCAGACACACCATCTTTAAGAACTGTAACACTCACTGCGAGGGTCCACGGCTTCATTCTTGAAGTCAGCAAGACCAAGAACCCACCAATACTGGACACAGGACTATGTGAAAAGACCAAATCTACATCTGATTGGTGGACCTGAAAGTGATGGGGAGAATGGAACCAAGCTGGAAAGCACTCTGCAGGATATTATCCAGGAGAACGTCCCCAACCTAGCAAGGCAGACCAACATTCACATTCAGGAAATACAGAGAACACCACAAAGATACTCCTTGAGAAGAGCATCTCCAAGACACATAATTGTCAGATTCACCAAAGTTGAAATGAAGGAAAAAAATGTTAAGGGCAGCCACAGAGAAAGGTCGGGTTACCCACAAAGGGAAGCCCATCAGAGTAGTAGCTGATTTCTTGGGAGAAACTCTAAAAGCCAGAAGAGAGTGGGGGCCAATATTAAATACTCTTAAAGAAAAGCATTTTCAACCCAGAATTTCATATGCAGCCAAACTAAGCTTCATAAGTGAAGAATAAATAAAATCCTTTACAGACGAACAAATGCTGAGAGATTTTGTCACCACCAGGCCTGCCTTACAAGAGCTCCTAAAGGAAGCATAAACATGGAAAGGAACAACCGGTACCAGCCACTACAAAAACATGCCAAATTGTAAAGACCATCAAGGCTAGGAAGAAACTGCATCAACTAACAAGCAAAATAACCAGCTAACATCATAATGACAGGATCAAATTCACACATAATATTAACCTTAAATGTAAATGGGCTAAATGTTTCAATTAAAAGACACAGACTGGCAAATTGGATAAAGAGTCAAGACCCATGAGTGTGCTGTATTCAAGAAACCCATCTCACGAGCAGAGACACACATGGGCTCAAAATGAAGGCATGGAGGAAGATCTACCAAGCAAATGGAAAACAAAAAGAAGCAGGGGTTGCAATCCTAGTCTCTGATAAAACAGACTTTAAACCAACAAAGATCAAAAGAGACAAAGAAGGCCATTACATAATGGTAAAGGGATCAATTCAACAAGAAGAGCTAACTATCCTAAATATATATGCACCCAATACAGGAGCACCCAGATTCATAAAGCAAGTCCTTAGAGACCTACAAAGAGACTTAGACTCCCACACAATAATAATGGAGACTTTAACACCCTACTGTCAACATTAGACAGATCAATGAGACAGAAAGTTAACAAGGATATCCAGGAATTGAACTCAGCTGTCCACCAAGCAGACCAAACAGGCATCTACAGAACTCTCCACCCCAAATCAACAGAATATACATTCTTCTCAGCACCACATCACACTTATTCCAAAATTGACCGTGTAGTTAGAAGGAAAGCACTCCTCAGCAAATGGAAAAGAATAGAAATTATAACAAACTGTCTCTCAGAACACAGTGCAATCAAACTAGAACTCAGGATTAAGAAACTCACTCAAAACTGCATAACTACATGGAAACTGAACAACCTGCTCCTGAATGACTACTGGGTACATAATGAAATGAAGGCAGAAATAAAGATGTTCTTTGAAACCAATGAGAACAAAGACAAAACATACAAGAATCTCTGGGACACATTTAAAGCAGTGTGTAGAGGGAAACTTATAGCACTAAATGCCTACAAGAGAAAGCAGGAAAGATCTAAAATCGACACCCTAACATCACAATTAAAAGAATTAGAAAATCAAGAGCCAACACATTCAAAAGCTAGCAGAAGGCAAGAAAAAACTAAGATCAGAGCAGAACTGAAGGAAAGAGAGACACAAAAAACCCTTCAAAAAATCAATGAATCCAGGAGCTGGTTTTTTGAAAGGATCAACAAAATTGATAGACCGCTAGCAAGACTAATAAAGAAGAAAAGAGATGAATCAAATAGACGCAATAAAAAATAATAAAGGGGATATCACCACTGATCCCACAAAAATACAAACTACCATCAGAGAATACCATAAACACCTCTACACAAATAAACTAGAAAATCTAGAAGAAACAGATAAATTCCTGGACACATACACCTTCCCAACACTAAACCGGGAAGGAGTTGAATCCCTGAATAGGCCAATAACAGGTTCTGAAATTGAGGCAATAATTAATAGCCTATCAACCAAAAGAAGTCCAGGACCAGACAGATTCACAGCCGAATTCTACCAGAGGTACAAGGAGAAGCTGGTATCATTCCTTCTGAAACTGTTCCAATCAATAGAAAAAGAGGGAATCCTCCCTCATTCATTTTATGAGGCCAGCATCATCCTGATACCAAAAACTGGCAGAGACACAACAACAAAAAAAGAGAATTCCAGACCAATATCCCTGATGAACATTGATGCAAAGACCTCAATAAAATACTGGCAAACCAAATCCAGCAGCACATCAAAAAGCTTATCCACCATGATCAAGTGGGCTTCATCCCTGGGATGCAAGGCTGGTTCAACATATGCAAATCAATAAACGTTAATCCATCATATAAATAGAACCAAAGACAAAAACCACACGATTATCTCAATAGATGCAGAAAAGGCCTTTGACAACATTCAACAGCTCTTCATGCTAAAAACTCTCAATAATCTAGGTATTGATGGGACGTATCTCAAAATAATAAGAGCTATCTATGACAAACCCACAGCCAATATCATACTGAATGGGCACAAACTGGAAGCATTCCCTTTGAAAACTGGCACAAGACAGGGATGCCCTCTCTCACCACTCCTATTCAACACAGTGTTGGAAGTTCTGGCCAGGGCAATGAGGCAGGAGAAAGAAATAAAGGGTATTCAATTAGGAAAAGAGGAAGTCAAACTGTCCCTGTTTGCAGATGACATGATTGTATATTTAGAAATCCCCATCACCTCAGCCCAAAATCTCCTTAAGCTGATAAGCAACTTCAGAAAAGTCTCAGGATACAAAATCAACCTGCAAAAATCACAAGCATTCCTGTACACCAATAACAGACAAACAGAGAGCCAAATCATGAGTGGACTCCCATTCACAACTGATTCAAAGAGAATAAAATACCTAGGAATCCAACTTACAAGGGATGTGAAGGACCTCTTCAAGGAGAACTACAAACCACTGCTCAACGAAATAGAAGAAACAAACAAATGGAAGAACATTCCATGCTCATGGATAGGAAGAATCAATATTGTGAAAATGGCCATACTGCCCAAGGCAATTTATAGATTCAATGCCATCCCCATCAAGCTATCAATGACATTCTTCACAGAATTGGAAAAAAACTACTTTAAAGTTCATATGGAACCAAAAAAGAGCCCACATTGCTAAGACAATCCTAAGCCAAAAGAACAAAGCTGGAGGCATCATGCTACCTGACTTCAAACTATACTACAAGGCCACAGTAACCAAAACAGCATGGTACTGGTACCAGAACAGAGATATAGACCAATGGAACAGAATAGAGCCCTCAGAAATAATACCGCACATCTACAACCATCTGATCTTTGACAAACCTGCCAAAAACAAGAAATGGGGAAAGGATTCCCTAGTTAATAAATGGTGCTGGGAAAACTGGCTAGCCATATGTAGAAAGCTGAAACTGGATCCCTTCCTTACACCTTAAACAAAAATTAATTCAAGATGGATTAAAGATTTAAATGTTAGACCTAAAACCGTAAAACCTCTAGAAGAAAACCTAGGCAATACCATTCAGGACATAGGCATGGGCAAGGACTTCATGACTAAAACACCAAAAGCAATGGCACCAAAGGCAAAATAGACAAATGGGATCTAATTAAACTAAAGAGCTTCTGCACAGCAAAAGAAACTGCCATCAGAGTGAACAGGCAACCTACAGAATGGGAGAACATTTTTACAATCTACCCATCTGACAAAGGGCTAATATCCAGAATCTATAAACAAACAAATTTACAAGACAAAATCAAACAACCCCATCAAAAAGTGGGTGAAGGATATGAACAGACACTTCTCAAAAGAAGACATTTATGCAGCCAACAGACACATGAAAAAATGCTCAGCATCACTGGCCATCAGAGAAATGCAAATCAAAACCACAATGAGATACCATCTCACACCAGTTAGAATGGCAATCATTAAAAAGTCAGGAAACAACAGGTGCTGGAAAGGATGTGGAGAAACAGGAACACTTTTACACTGTTGGTGGGACTGTAAACTAGTTCAACCATTGTGGAAGACAGTGTGGTGATTCCTCAAGGATCTAGAACTAGAAATACCATTTGACCCAGCCATCCCATTACTGAGCATATGCCTAAAGGATTATAAATTATGCTGCTATAAAGACACATGCACATGTATGTTTATTATGGCACTATTCACAATAGCAAAGACTTGGAACCAACCCAAATGTCCATCAATGATAGACTGCATTAAGAAAATGTGGCACACATACACCATGGAATACTACTCAGCCATAAAAAAGGATGAGTTCATGTCCTCTGTAGGGACATGGATGAAGCTGGAAACCATCATTCTCAGCAAACTATCACAAGGACAGAAAACCAAACACCACATGTTCTCACTCATAGGTGGGAATTGAACAATGAGAACACCTGGACACACGGTGTGGAACATCACACACCGGGGCCTGTCGTGGGGTGGAGGGAGCGGGGAGGGATAGCATTAGGAGATATACCTAATGTAAATGATGAGTTGATGGGTGCAGCACACCAACATGGCACATGTATACCTATGTAAAAAACCTGCACGTTGTGCACATATACCCTAGAACTTAAAGTATAATTAACAACAACAACAAAAAAAAAAAAGAAAAGAAAAAAGAAAAATCACCCCTCCCAGAGCTTCTGTTGGTGTCCTATTTATTTCCTTCTTGGATCTTTCTTATCATCTTATTTGTTTTCTCTTTGGTCTATTTTCCCTAACAGAATATAAGCTCCATGAGAGCAGGGACCCTTTCTGTTTTACTTTGCTTTGCATGCCACATAGCCTAGCATATAGCAGATGCTTAACACAGATTTGCTAAAGAAGGAAAACATTTTGGTGGGTAGGGATGACCCCCCCTCCCCTGCCAATCATGAAGTTAAAGGCTAACATACTTTGAGAGTAATAGGCCTCCAACTTTGAGGTAGTTAGAATAGCAGACATCAGGATATACTGGTAGCTTATTTCTAAGAACCCCCAGGTTCCCGCAGCAGCTAGGATCACAGAGATGACAATGGAGGTGAGGTCAAAGGGTAAGGGTTGGAATTCTGTCTCAGCTACTTAATAGCTCTGGATTTAAGGCAAGTCACTCAACTTGGGACTTCAAAGCCTTTGTTTTCTCATTTGCAAAACAGGACTACTCTACCCTCACAAGCTGAGGATTAAGTGGCTGTCTGCGAGAGCCCTTTGTAAGCTGTTAAACACCATAATAACATCAGCTACCAGCAAAATATTTCCCCCTTCTTTGGTCTCTCCTGGGTGTATATAACGGAGTAGAAAGCAACTGCCCTATTCAAGGTCAGCCACAGATCCAACTTGTTAAAGCCCAGAATCTGTAGAGAGGAGATCCTCACTAAATCGAGGTCCCCCTGAAGGCATCTGACTTCATTAAATTGCAAAGGGCATATCTGATTCAATTTTTAAGCACTCCCAGGGCAGTGATACTGAAAAGACTGCTTCTTTACTGCCACTAAGTAATCACCAGGATTATCACTCTTAAGTATTCTGGATTTAATAAGGAAACCATTTAATTTCAAGATTTAAAATGACCTAGATTGCCAATTTACCTTAGTTCTCAAGAACTGTATTAAACAGCTTCAATCAGGCAGGACTAACATGATAATTCAATTTATTCTGGTTTGCCATACACAAGAGGAATGGAATTAAGCAACAGCGGATGGGGAACGGTATCCCTATTTCTTCCTGGTTAGCTCATAAGTCTTTCAAATTCTTACAATGCTCTCCCACTAAAGATTGGTAGGTCAAGGCAGCCACACCACACTCGGATGTGACTCAACAGTCCATTCTGCCACTGCAGAACCAATTCTGAGGCCAAGTGGTTTCCATGGTTTTGCCCTGGTCATTCTCCTTTGCTTTGTTAGCAACTCCCTCATCACTGGCATGACACATAAGAGAGTCTTTGCCAACAGGCAAAAGGGCAAACTGAAACTACCTCTTTTGTAAGACTTGAAAAGAATCCATAAAATGGGGTATATGGTAAAATTACTCTAGGTAGGACAGTTAGGATAGGATGTAGGGATCCAAGACTGAGCACATTTGCGAAGAACATAAATAAAACTAGGCAACCATCAGGAAGATGATCTAAATCAGCATGCCTGGTCGATGCCAGGAATGGCTCTACCAGATTGCCTGTGCTGTTTCCAGTAGCTCCAAGTGCCTCTAGGATGCTGACTCAACATTCCAGAACTCCCTTCTGTGGTTCTCTGCAGCACAGGCCTGCATGCTTGGCAGCCACCTGTGACCTACTTGCCATTCTGTAGGGACTGCTCCCAGGACTCACTATGTAATTTGCAAGGTCCAGTGTGAAACGAAAAAGTGGGGTCCGTTGTTTAACAATATTAAGAATTTAAAACGTTGACAGCAGAGCAGTGAAGCAAGTATGGCACCTTTCTAAGCATAAGGCCCATGTGAATGCCAGGTCACAGCCATGATGGCAGCTCAGACTGCTGTGAGCACTCCTCTGATGACCAAGGTGGTAGGAACTTCCATCCCCACCAGCCTGACGGTACTGCTCTATGTCACAATACATAAGCCACCTTGAACAGATCTTTGGAAAGAGAAGTGAGGAGTAGCACCTCCTCCCTGCCCCACAATCAAATCGATACGATCTCTCCTCACCTATTCAGCCGTTCTGTTTCCACCTCAAACTCTCTAATCTTGCTTTCTGAGATGGCAGATCCGTGTGAGTAGAGTGTTTGGAAAATCTCTTGGATATTGGAGCAGTCCTGAAGTGAGTGGGCCAGGTGTTCAGCCACACTGCTGGATACCTGCAAAAAGAAGCATTAATTCCCCTTTGGAACATATCATTTCAGAGATGCATGTTTTGCATGCAAAAGAATTTAAAGCTGATATTCCGTGAGAATCGGGGACTGGGAGGATGGTTACCCTGAAGGTTCTCAGTTTGTAGGATAGAATCCTAGTATGAAAAGCTAACTATTAAATACTATAAAAGCAGTAGAAAAAAAAAACCAGGATCAAAATATGGCTCCTTCCCCAAGCACGTGGTGCTGGGCAGCCAGGATGGGGAGATCATGCCTTCTTGGAGTTCCTTAAATTCTGAATGTGGAACAGAGTCAGGATTTCTTTCCCCTATCCTGAATTCCCTGCCACTCCAGGCCACTGTTTTTGGTTTCTGTAGCCCAGGAGAGGGGCTGACTCCTTCATTTTCACAATTTGGCTTTGGCACAGAATCTGAATGCATGCATTTTTGCTCAGTGTAAAATTCTAAATTAGGGCCTTAAAATGCTATTCAGGCTCTCTCTGCCTCTGAGGATCAAATAGCTGGCTCTCTAAGCCTCATCCCCAATCCTAAAAGATCCCTTAAAGAAATGAAACTACTCCTTTTCACCATCCATCAGCTCTTACAGTCCCAGGGGGTTTCCAGACTCCACAAATGAAAACTCTGGAACTAAAGTGAAGGTTCTGGTCTTTCCCACCACTGGGCTAGGCTTCAAAGACAACATTCCTCCTCAGTGGAAAGCACATCCCCTTTCAAGATGGATGTGCAAAAGACAAAGTTATTTTAGAGCTCTTGGTCTCTGGGGTAGCAGGGTGATATAAGACAGATACTTCAAGACTTTCATCTATATCACCAAGAACTGGACCTAAATCATTTGTTTCTGAATGGTTTCAAGGAAAGGAAAAAAAATCTCCCTTAAAGCTGAAGAAGTAATTCACCATATGGATGGAAATCATCATACATTTTAATTTAATCCTTTGGAAGGAAATCAGGTATGATTTACTATTATAACTAACTGGTTTATTGGAGATAGACTTTGGAAGTTCTTCTGTCATCTATAATCCATTGTCTGTGTAGCTCTGCCGGGTACTTTCTTGCCTTGCTTCTCATGAACACTCACCCCTATGCTACTGATTTCTGAGCCCAGGACTGGCCGATCAGATGATGACGATTCGGACCTTGTCTTTGATAGCTTCACCCTCTCAGCAATCTTAAAAAAGAAAACAAAACATTATAGAAAACTACACACCACTCCTCAGATAAACTGTTGGGACTACGCTTATACAGGGCTACTTTTTAGCCATGTCAACTAAATGATTAAAGAACTTAAGAACAGCTCACGTCCAATTTTTCTACCACCAGCTTAAGCCAGGGCCTTTCAACTTCAGCACTGCTGATATTTTGGCTTGGATAATTCTTTTTATGGGGGTCTGTCCTGTGCATTGTAGGACATTTGTCAGCATCTCTGGCCTCTAGCCACAAGATGCCAGTAGCACTCCAATTGTGACCATCAAAAATGTCTCTAGACATTGCCAAATGTCCCCTGGAGGATGAAATCACTTCTGGTTAGAAAACACTGGTTTAACCTAACTTATTAAACTTGATAGTTAAGAATCAACCTTATTGTGGTGGCTAGCAGAGCTACCAGGCAAGCCAACAGGCATAATTTTAATCATCTGAGACAGACTCAACATAGGTACTGGGGGGCTGTGGCAGTGAGTCAGTGGGGCTACTTCTCACAGCTGCCACAGCCTGTCCATCATAATCTATTTTTCTTTTTTTGTGGCAGAGCTGTCAGTCTTGTGAGTGGGGAGATCATTGGTTCATTACTCAAGGTCCCTGACTGGGCTGAACCTTAGTCTTTGAGAGCAACTCTGTCCACTGTGAAGTACTGGAGCACTTGACAAAACGTCTCACTCTCCATAATGACTTGTCAGCTGTGACATTCTCCAGCTGGCTGATTAATGAGAGCTGGCGTCCAGGTTGCAGCTGAGAGAGACTTAAAACTATTAGTGGGTTATCTCTCCTTGCAGCTCCTGCATAGAAGGCCTGCGTAAGGTCCCAGGGGAAGCCCCTTGTGCTGTCTCAGCTAAGGGCATGCCTGTACAGTGGCTAGGATGAGCCTGGTGCTTCCAGATAACAGGAGGTGTTCCCGCTCATCGGGTCCATCCCCAGGAACTCACCTTGGCGATGGGAATGTCATTGCTGCTGCTGCTTGTGCTCAGCTCCCCAGTGCTGGGGTTAATCGGGCGGTTGGTGGAAGTGAGGCGGCCAGGGCTGGAGGGACCTGTGGCCTGCACGCTCTGTAGTCGAGTTTGAAGCTCTCTGACCTGAAATCATAATGCTTTTAGACATAGTTGGTGGTTTCCCTGGCTAAAGAGCAAAACAGCCAGATGGGTAGGTGGTGGGGCTTTCATTTACATTGAGGGATCAGCCCACTGAAAAGCTAGGTTGGTTGAGTCCACATAAAAGTCATTATATTCCTTTTTTCGGACTAATAATTTTTTTTTAATGAATCGGTTTCTTAAATCACATGTAATACAAAAAGTAGAGTTATAAACCAAAGTGATGATATTACTAGTTTTTATATTTGCCTAAGAGTCACCATATTCTTAACGGAATCTGCCACAGACCATCACCTATTCTTCACAAGCATGAGGTGAACATATTATGTAAGGCCCTGGAAGCTTCCAGGATGGATGACCATCTTTTTTTATTTTTATTTTTTTGAGACAGGGTCTTGCTCTGCTGCCCAGGCTGGAATGCAGTGGTGCAACCATGGCTCACTGCAGCCTTAATCTCCTGGGCTCAAGGGATCCTCCTGCCTCAGCCTCCTGAGCAGCTGGGACTAGGTGCACACACCACACCTGGCTAATTTTTAAATTCCTTTGTAAAGATAGAGTCTCGCTATGTTGCCAGGGCTCGTCTTGAACTCCTGCACTCAAGCGATTCTCCCACCTCAGCCTCCCAAAGTGCTGGGATTACCGGCATGAGCCACTGTGCCAAGCCACTGGATAACTACCTTTAAGGAATGTTTATTCTTTCAGCCCCACTTGCCTGACTGTGCTGGGGACTGCGGACGAGGACCCAGGATGATATCACCTCTCATGGAATCATCATTTCAGAGCCCAGAGGAGACAGGAATGATTTCAAGACAAGTGCACTTGAGTGTTATAAATTTCTATGTCAAGTGTTACGGGAAGCAGAAAAAGGGAAGAATATAACTCCAGCTGAAGTCATCCAGAGAAAGCTGAATGAAGACAGTGGTACTTGAGCAATCTTAAAGGAGAACAAGTGAGGAGATGGCTTTAGTGGTGATATGCCTGGGGGGTTGAACAGGTGCTAGGATGATATGCTATGTTTGAAGAGGTGCAAGTTATTCAATATGTGTGTTTTAGCAGAAGTGTCTGTATTGGGGAAAATATTAGGCTAAGAGAAGAGACATTGATGGAGCCAGCACCTTTTCCCCAAGTTACCTACAGATGAGATTTTCCCTGGAATAGTAGGTAGGAACGTCTAAATAGTCCTTCTATATAAAAAAGAAACACGGGACCCTCTAAGTTACATTTAAAACGTGCATTTACCTGCACAGAAATTAAATGTCCAAATCCTGCTCCTCTATAGTTACAACTCTGTGACTTCCAAAGAGAGAAGTATTCCAAGTAGCTGAAGAGAGTTGCTAGAGATTGGTCTTTTATAACCTTGGTCGCAGTTTCAGCATGAGAGTGCAGTGTCTACCTGAAAGAGCAAACTAACTACAACACCCAGCGGTCCTTACAAATGGACATCAGACTTTGTCGGGCTGGGAAGAGTTAGCACTAGGAAATTTAAGACAGGGCTTTCTAAACAGAATGTGTACTAGAATCCCCCAGAGGGCTTGCTAAAACAGATTCCAGGGCCCTACCCCAGGGATTCTGATTTAGCAGGGTCTGGATGAAGCCCAAGATCTGCATGTCTAGTAAGCTCGCAAAAGATGCTGATGCTGCCGGTCGGGGACCATACCTTGAATAGCACTCACCTAAGGGACTTCCAAGGCCACAAAGCACTTTAATCCCATAGACAGGAAGAGTGGAGCCATGCCCCGGTGCCAGCCCTGCCGCCAAAAGTCTTCTAGACAGGGCAGAGAACAGGCAGGCACATGGCCCCTTCTCTAAAAGGCACTGGAAAGCTTTTCATATTAAATGTCTAGGATGTCTCCATCCTGCTAACTTGGGAACCAAAAGTAATTGAAATTTCAATAATTCATCAACATATTAGAAGCTAAAATAGGAAAATTCCCTCAAAGCAAATTGCATTCAATAGTGCAACAGCTCAAAAGTGCCTAATGCTCTGCCACGGTTCCAGTAACGGAGGATCGATGGAAACGCTTGCTGTCCTCAAAACAGACCAGACACAGGGCTAAACTCAAAATAGCCTAAAGAATAGGAAAATATATCCCTGTAGAAGCCAAATGGTACTGCTGATGAAGGATTACAGGACTCGTTCTGAAATGGTCCCTCACAAACCAAAAATGGGTACAGGGGTGGATACCTCATTATGCCACAAAGAGAGACTGGGCAAAGAGAGAGGGCTCATTCATTTCCTCAGGGACTGGGGGAAACCTCCCGGTGGAGACTTGCAACCTCCGGTGAATTCAACCTCCCGGTGAATTTCAGTTTTTACTGCTGATGAGTCTGATAAGGTCCTGAATAATTAACAATGTTAACACCACTCCAAAACCTAAATGGTGTCTGAATTGCACTCAAGACAATCAGTGGTCTGTTCTTAGAATCCCTACTGGCCTACTCATCTTTTTTTTTTTTTTTATATCTCTATTTAAAAAAAAATACAGATAAAAAAAATCCTGGGCAATTTATAAAGACTTCATTAAAACTATCCATGTTTTAAAAACATTTCTTCTTCTAATCACAAAAGTAAAACATGCTCACTGTGGAAAATGTAGATGACACTAAAACATAAAAACAGTCAAAGTGCTTATGTTCTTTCTTACTCTACAGAGGCAATTTACTCTAATCATTTTCCTTGCTGTGTATGTGCACACATGTGCTTAAAATAATTTCTAAATCTAAATATCTACTTTCACTTTAAAAACTTCGGACCCAGAGAATGTCTTTAAAAACTAAAGATGATAAACATGTTTATTTTGGGCTATGCTTTATTATTTAATGATAGTTGCTAGCCAGTGGAAACAAACCCAGCTGAAGGGAGTGCAGTGTGCCTGTCAGGGAAAGAAAGACAGCTGGTTAAGTGGCCTTCTCCCCCTTCTTTTGATTTGAGAGTGAGAATCTTAATTTACAGGAATAAATGCAAGAAACTAAGGCTAAAGCCAATATGCTGAGTCAGCTTAGGCATGGCTTCGGAAAGAGGCAGAAACATAGTTAATAGAGTTCTCACTTTTATTCTCACCCATTGTAGTGGGTTGGATTATGTCTCCCCCAAAAGATATGTCCAAATTTGAATCCTCAGTACCCGTGAATGTGACCGCATCTCAAAATAGGGTCTTTGTAGATATAACTAAATTAACGATCTCAAGGCAAGATAATCTGATTTGGGTGGGCCCTATGTGCAATGACTGGTGTTCTTTTAACAGAAAAGGAAGGGATATTTAAGACAAAGACAGAGAGACACAGGGAAGAAGGTCCTGTGAAGATGAAAGCAGAGATTGGACACAAGTCAAAGAGCACCAAGAGCTATCAGAAGTTCGAAGAGGCAAGGAAGGATTCTCTTTCAAAGCCCTTTGAGGGAGTGTGGCTCTGCTAACACCTTGAGTTTGGACTCCTAGACTCCAGAACTATGAGAGTTTGTAGTAATCCAAATACTCCTTCTTCATTGAAGACTTATTTTTTTGAGACACGGTCTCACTATGTTGTGTTGCCCAAGCTGGCCTCAATCTCATGGGCTCAAGAGATTTTCCCGTTTTAGCCTCCCAAGTGGCTGGGACTACAGGGGCATGCCACTGCACACGGCTATTTTTATTGAAGGAATTATGTTTCTCTCTACAAAATATATATTTTGGAGTCAAGAGATAGCCAAGAACCAGGGCTAACCTGAGGCAGGGACTGACACTTGCGGGAACATCATTCAGCACCCTTCACAGCCTTTCTCAACTGGGGTTCCTCAACACCAGAACATGACCTGAGAGGCTGTTTTTTCACTTCTCCTGAAGTTACTGCGTGTCTGGTAAACATTATGATGGGAAACATGCTCTGAAAGAGGGGTATCAACAAGGAGTGTCAAAGTGCAGAAGAAGAAACCTGGCTGGCCTCTGCCTTCCTAGAGCAGGCAACGCTAGAACTCAATCTTGAAGGCTGAACTGTTCAACAAGCAAATAAAGAGGAAAAGATAATGGGGAGACTCTGGAAGGTTCAAGTAGGGAAATGACATTAAAAGGTTGCAGTTGTTACCCTCTGGTATTTCTTCAAGGGTTTTGTAAAAATCATTTGATTAGAGGAGAAAATGGACTGAAGTAAGGAAGAAAAAGTTGGTGAGCCAAGAGCTCTACTGATGGTTCAGATAGGAAATTATGAGGGCTCAAATACAGTCAGCGAAGTGGGAATAAGGATGGCAAAATACACTCTAGACCAGTACTATCCAACAGAACTTCCTGTACAGACGGAAATGTTCTAGAGTGGCACTATCTGCTATGGTAGCCTGGTGCCACACGTGGCTGTAAGCACTTGCAATGTGCCTGGTGTACTCAAGGAACTGAATTTTTAATTGTATTGTATTTTACTTTATTTAAATTCAAATCTAAATGGTTGTATGTGGCTAGTAGCTACTGTACCCATCAGTGCAGTTCTAAAAATATTCAAGGAGGTGAAAAAACAAACAAAACACCCAAACTTGTAGCTGGGGTGATTCAGTGGATCATGGAGTTACTTAGCAATGAGAAAGAAAAACATAAAGAGAAGCTGATCTTTTCGGAAAGAAATGACCAGAGCTGACAATGTCCGGAGCTGACAATGATATCAGCTTTGGACATGCTGAATTTGAGAAAACAACTGGGTATGTAAGAGAGGGCTTATCAGTCAACAATTAGAGATGTAAGTCTGAAGGAAAGCAATTAGAACTGGATAGATAGATTTAGGAATGCTGGGCATGGATAAGGTCCAGGAAGGAGGTGTGGCAGTGTGGTGGGCAGAGTGCCTGTGTGGAGCTGGCAGGAGTGGAGGGTCAGTGGAGGACAGGGAGATGGGGACACCTTTTTCTCGGGGAGAAAAGGAAAGGAGGTGAGGACGGGCAATAACAAACGTGATTTGCAGACTGTCAGGGGAAGATGCGAAACAGGGACTCCCATCTGATGGCTTCTATTTTCTCTGCTAGGCATGAGGGGGGAATGTCAGAAATGAGAAAGGAGGCTGACCTAGGACCAAAAAAGAAAAAAAAAAAGGAAGCTTACACAGCAGCACTGACAGCTCAGTTGAGCTCTCTTTGAAGACAGTAGACTGAAGAACACATTGTTTTCTTCCAACTCTAGAGACCTCAATAAATAATAGTACAAAATAAAAAAGGATTAAAACCACAACGGAGATAAGAATGTGCCTGGGGCATTGGCCGAAACAAAATTTGGACACGTTCCTCAACGGCCAAGTGAAAAGAAGAGCACTGATGAAAGACACAGAATAAAAAAAGTCTATAATGTATACAAAGAGAGGCAGCCAGTCTACCCAGAAGGACGATGGCAGACTCTAATTCAGCTTTGGCAGAGAGCAGGAAGGACAAGAATGAGAACAGAGGCTTTCAGAGGTTAACAGAGGTTGCAGCTATGTAACTGTACACAACAATTGAAACTTCCCGGCATATGACAGCTTCAGCTAAAGTCAACAGGTGCTCCTATTAAAAATGCATAGAAATCCTGCATTAAAAAAGGAACAATGAGAAATAAATTCATTGCCAAGGTCAAAAGACAGCAAAATCTCCAGATGCCAGAAATGAGAAAGAAGGCTGAAGGAGTTGCCAGGAGGTGGTGCCACCGCAAGCCCAGGGGCTGTGAGCAGGGCACAGAATGAGAGCGTGGGAGGGAGGAGATGGAGGGCGCCTGCTAGTCTAGCTGCTTGAGCTGATCCCTCTGCCTCACGCCTGGAGCCTCTCTGCTCGACCCATAGGTGAAAAGCTGAAAGTGCTGTCCACAGAAGGAATCCTGAGGCTGTGCAGCGGAGTCAACCTTCAGAAACCAAAACCCCAGACCAGTGGCACCTTTGGGTGTGAGGTCCAAATTTATACTATCTGCATACTGTGGGACTCCAAACTTGACATGAACACTGGAAACTGGTTTGGATTTTGCCAGGCCACCCACTGCCTCAGAAACTGCCTAATTTGTAAATCGCCCAGTATCAAGAGAGAACAGGAGACTTAGGCTTCCCATGACTGGGAGCCCAGGTCCACAAAGCTGCCAGACACAGAGTGAGGACAACTACAGAGAGCAAAAGATAAAACAAGAGAGCCAGCAGTCTGAATCAGGAGCTGAATTCACCCTAGGGGAAATGAAAATAAAGCAACTGGTAAACCACATCACAATAGGTACACTGAGGAACCTTAAAGAGATAAGGGGAATAATTTCCTTAAGATTAAGAAATAATGAAACAAAAATAGACACCAAATCTTAAAAGCCTTCTTGTGGGGCTAGGCACGGTGGCTTTGGTGGTAATCCCAACACTTTGGGAGGCCAAGGTGGGAAGGTTGCTTGACCCCAGGAGTTTGAGACCAGCCTGGGCAATAGCGCAAGACCCTGTCTCTACAACAACAACAACAACGAATCAGCCAGGAGTGGTGCGTGAGCCAGTAGTCCCAGCTACTCAGGAGGCTGAGGTGGGAGGATTGCTTGAGCCTGGCAGGTCAAGGCCATGGTGGGCTAGGAGGATCACACCACTGGACTCCAGCCTGGGTGATGCAATGAGACTCAGACACACACACACACACACACCACACAAACACACACACACACACTGCCTTCTCATGGGATAGAGGCATCTCAGGTTCTGTGGGTCTGTGGGTGTTGTTCTGTTTCATTCACTACTGCATTGCCAACACCTTCAACAGGGACTGACACAGTCTCAATAAAATCTATTGAATGCCACTAAAAAACCTATCACCTTAAAATCTAATGCCTACTTAGAATATTGTGGTAGGCTGAATGATGGCCCCCAAAGGCATCCACGCCCTAAACCCCGAGAAATGTAAATGTAGCCTTGTACGGCAAAAGGGAACTGAGATGGGTAGAGTATCATGGATCATCTAGGTGGACTCAGAAGTCACAAGACCCCTCTAAGAGGGAAGCAGGAGTGCCAGAGTTAGAGCTCTGAAGATGCTATGCTGCTGGCTTGGGAGATGAAGGAAGGGGCATACTCAAAGGATGCAGGCTCCCTCTAGATGCTGGAAGCGACAAGGAAGTATATTCTCCCCTCCAGCCTCCAGAGAGATGCAGCCTTGCCGACACTTTCATTTTAGTGAATGAGATGCATTTTGGACTTCTGACCCCCTAGGACTGTAAGATGATAAATTTGTGTTGTCTTAAGTCACTAAGTTCATGATAATTTGTTACAGCAGCCACAGGAGATTACACAGCTATTATCAAGAGTGTGGGCAAAAATAAAGACCCTCTCAAAGATTAAGAATCTATCACCTATAGATCTTTGCTGAAAGAATTTCCTAAGAATACATGATTTTCAGTACCAAAGAAAATTAAACCTGAGAAAAAGAATGAGATGAAAGAAACAATGAAAGTACAAGAGCTGACACTGACGTAGGTGGTGAAATACTCCTTTGCTGCTGTTGGGCGGATGGGCTGGCCAGATTTCCCAAAAGCTGCCCTGGGGTACTTGGTCAAAGCAAGACTATACACACTCTGAGACTCAGCAGTTTCACTCCTGGACATGTGATCCTGAGTAATTCCCACCAGGCCGGAGGAGACATGTGCAAGGGACTATGCCCCGGAGCATTGTTTGTGGTCATGGGAAATGGGAAGCAATTTGATTGTCAGCTGCTGTAAATGCAATAGGTGGGTCACTATAGAATGCTAGATGTCCTTAGACACACAGGACCAGATGTACACACAGCCATATGGACAAACCTTAAAATCAGAGTGCTGAGGAGAAAAACATAAGAGAAGGCGACAGCAGAGTAACATTTAAATAAATTAAAAGTAATGCAAAACACTATCTTAGGACATGCACAAAATGGGGGGAAGGGGATGGGATATTATATGGGATAAATTATTTGCAAGGAATAAATTAAAAGAGGGACCAGTGAATGTGACTAGTGAATATAATTATCTTCTCTCTCTGTCCTGAGTGCCAAATTACAACAAAAGCCAGGCATGGTGGTGCGCACCTGTAGTCCCAGCTACTCAGGCAGCTTGCTATGCAGGAGGATCGCTTAGCTTAGAATTCAAGGGTCGAGCGCACTGTGATTACACCTGTCAATAGCCACTGCATTCCAGCCTGGGCAACATAGCCAGATCCCATATCTATCTTATCTATCTATCTGTTGATCTCTCTCTCTCTCTCTCTCTCAATCAATCCAAAAGAAAGTAAATGATGCAAGCCAGGAGCATAAGGGATTAGGCAGAGTGGGAAAGTGAGATGTTGGGGGGATTTGGCCCTAGAGCTGTCAAACACAAAGAGTGTGCACAGAAGCAGGTTTCCAAAGTGGTAGGAAATTCCTTGGAAACGTGAGGCTAGGCAAGTATGAGACAGGTCAGCTATGCGGATGCTTCAATCTCTGAGTACAATTGTGGGAGCACAGACAAGAGTCAGCTGATGAAGTCATCTGTGAATGTGGCTCACAGATGAGTGACAAGCAGGAAGGCAAGGTGGCACCAGAGTCCTGAGCAGGATCAGAAACATTTTTATTAGCCATAAAAGAAAGAGCCTGTTCTGCTGATGATACGTAGCAGTACTCACTGGGTAGTTGTAATTTCAGGCAATTAGGCTGTAATTCATAATTTCACTGTGTAATGGAGCTGGTTGAGATGAGATGATTCCCACACTATAGAATGGTGAGAATCACTAGGCTGGGAAAGTTCTACTTAATGAGCTTCATGCAGTTAGTCCCTGTGTAGTTTTTGGAAAGCTGCTATCTCGAAGTCCAGGGTTTGTAGATATTTTGCCGAGAACCACACCTCTTATTGGAGATTTTATATGATTTTTCTTAGAGCCCTCAAATAATCAGAATCTATTTACAGCAAATATTTATTTCTTTCTATAAATCAAATTTACATGGTGTTTCAGGATAGTGGTATTTTATTGTTAATGGCAATTTTGACTAGATGGAAACAGAAGAGAGAGATCACAAAATAGAAGGAGAAAACATCCAACAGCATTTCCATCTCTCGGTAAGTTTGATATGTGTGCTATTTTCTCTTTTGTTTTATAGCCCACTAAAGTACCTGGATGTGTTATAAAAATGGTTGCATTGGAAAAGGCCAGCATTTTGGCAATCTTCCTTTTTTTTTTTTTTTTGAGACAGAATCTCACACGTTGCCTAGGCTGGTGTGCAGTGGCGCGATCACGGCTTGCTGCAACCTCTGCCTCCCGGGTTCAAGCGATTTTCCTGCCTCAGCCTCCCAAGCAGCTAGAATTACAGGCGCCCACCACCACGCCTGGCTAATTTTTTGTATTTTTAGTAGAGACGGGGTTTCACTATGTTGGCCAGGCTGGTCTCGAACTCCTGACCTTGTGACCCACCCGCCTCAGCCTCCCAAAGTGCTGGGATTACAGGCATGAGCCACCGCTCCCGGCCAATGTTCCTAATTTCTTACCAGCTTTTTGACAAATTGAGTCAGCTTCTTTCATGACAGCCAAGAGCTAGCCTTGAAGCAGCCTGGCCTCCTCATAGGCACATGAGGCTGGGGTGAGTAAGCAAATACTGGTGCCCACAGCAGGAGTTGCCTCACAATCTCCGTGGCTCAAGTGTGTGTAAGGCCCTCATGAAGTAACTGGGAGCTGTGTCCATGGAAGAGGTCAAAGAACCAGGGTTCTGGGGATTCTCTGCCTTGGATTCCCCCTAAAACTCCCTCAGTCTACAGAGAGGAGGGGAACACAACACTGGACTCAGGTCAAGGTAAAAGCATGCATACCACCAGCTTCCTATTTTCTGCAACAAGCTCAGTGTGCCTTCATGTAGCATTAGAATGCCAGGAGAGTGGGTCTGTGAAACCCTAAGGAATCTGGCCCCCATGTTGCTGTAACAGAGGACATTTTACCCACTGTTGGTCTGCATGGGAGTGGGGCTAGGATGAGGACAAGGGTGGACAGAAGGCTACAGGAAAGTGGTCTAAACAAGAGAACAATGACAACTGCCTCCCCTAATAAGGCCACCAGATCCCAAATTTTGGTACCAAGAGTTAACATCAACGTAGACTTGGGCAAGATTGTTAAAGCTTTTGTAGGCCTCTGTTTTCCCATCTCTAAAAAGGGTATAATAATAGTACCTATCAGCTAGGATTCTGGAGCAGATTAAACAAAATGTGCATAAATCATCACCCATCACAAATAAGTGTTTGAAATATGTTCTGGGCTATTATCATAATTTAGGTTTTCAAAATTATTTATTTTTAGAGACAGGGCCTTGCTATTATTACCCAGGTTGGAGTACAATGGTGTGATCACAGCTCACTGCAGACTTGATCACCTGGGCTCAAGCCATTTTCCCACCTCAGCCCCCGAGTAGCTGGGACTATGGGTGCACACCATCACACTTGGCTAATTAAAAAAAAAAAAATTTTTTTTTTGGTAGAACAGAGGTCTTGCTATGTTACCCAGGCTGGTGATTTAGGCTTTGAGTAAGTCCCGCTTTGCCTTTAGAGGTATCTGATTTTAATCTGGGGGGTGTCTAGTCTGAGAGGAGTTCAGTCTGCAAATATTCACAGAATGTCAATACTATCAATATTATTAACAGAGCCTTTCTTAAAAATAAGCCCTACTGAGCTTGCACTGGTAAGTGGCTCCCTGTGGAAGTGATTTCCTTCATGGGGTGAGCTGGGGGACTTGGCACTGGGCCAGGCAGTGCCTCCATGCCTTGGGAGCCCCGGGGTGCCTGTACCCTGGTGGACTCCACCCTCCCTCCACTTCTAGCTCAGATGACCCTGGTGAAGGGACAGTGCAGGGCAGGCTCCACATAGCAGGCAGCTTCCCTAGCAGATGCCGGGCTTATCACTGCTACATGGTGGGCCCAGGAGGAGCAGGCTGGGCATGAGGAGAAGGCAGAAAGCCTGTAGCTCTTTCTCTCAGTTCACCTGCAGAGGGGAAGTAGAGGACACTTGGAGAAGCTCTTGGCCCATGTCCAGTGGGTGACCAAAGGACACTGCCTCTCCCTTCCTTGTCTCCAAGTGCTGACCACAATCATAATGTGGGGGAGTGTGCCAGGGTGCTACACCCCATTTACTGACTCTGGCTCATGGAAAGGCCTGGGCACACATCCTCTCAAAGAGCTTCCCAGTGATTCTGACACACACGTGTGGGGTCACCACAAGATGGATGAGTGAAACTGCCTGTTTCTCTGCAACTCTGATTCACGGCCAAGCCCGGCTGGTATCATAGTCAAAGCATGTAAATCAGCTGCATCAGAAACTTGTACTGTTGAATATCCACATGTTCCTAAGCCCCTTTATGGTTAGGTAAAGCCATCTGCCTAGTTCTGGTCAACAGGCAGGGCGCAGAAGCATTTAAATGCTGTGGTGGGAGCCTTTGAGTGGGCTCTTAGGTGGTGGATGGCCAACAGTCTGAGTTTCTGAGTGAATGTATGGATCAGAGACGTGCACCTGTCCCCTAACCTGCACTGAATATATGGTGCAGGCAAGAAACAACGTGCCATGCCACTGAGATTTGGGGAGTGAACCTGTTATTGCAGAAAAATCTAGCCTCATACTGACTAATATACCAGCCATACAAAAGAAGAGCCACCTGAGCCTCCCATGTGGAAGGAGCACACTGAAGCCAGACCTGGCTCCTCTCAGCTCCCTCCCATGCAGCTAGATGACAGCTGGGGAGAGCTGAGAGGAGCGGTGTTGAGACAGGACTTGGTTTTACAGAACTTTTATGAATTTAAACTCAGCTAATATTGGCATCCTCTTCCTTATCCTGAAAAGAAATTCCCATGAAGAAATGGAACAAATAAGAAATGAACAAAGTTCCATAAAGGACAAAAAAGAAGACTCAGCTTATATGTGAATATCAAACCATTAAAAGCTGTGAGATACAGATCATTCTCCATAATCCATACTTTTTTGTTTTTGCTTAATTTGAAAATTAAAGAGGACAAAGAAGAAAAAAAGCAATCGCATACTTCCACTGCCCAGATTTAACCTGTTAATATTTTAGCATATCAGTGTTCTATTTCTATGTATATACTTCTGCATATTAAAAATTATACAATGATATGAATACATTCATTAAAAACATAAATTAGAACATTATAGAGAAGTTTAAGGTCCCTTTGAGGCCAATACAACATATTACCATTATGATGTTGGTTTATATTTTTCTGGTCTATTTTCAATATTTTTATATACATACATATGAATATCTATGAAATGGAAATTTATACAGCTATAAATTCATAATAAATATAAAGTACTATTTTGCAGTCTGCATTTTCTCTATATAGCCCTGTCTCAAGAAAAGCAACACCAAGGGGAGGTAGAGTGGGACCAGCTCAGACGGGACTATGGCCAAATGAGGCTAAAAGAGATGTGAGGGAAAACATAGATGTCTCTTTATTTAACCTCTGTAAGATCACAACACTTACACTTCCAGGCTGGTCTCAAACTCCTGGGCTCAAGCAATCCTCCTGCCTCGGCCTCCCAGAGTGCTAGAAGTATAAACGTGAGCCACCGCACCTGGCCGAGGGTGACTTTTATTTGGTTCAAAATAGCATGTCTACTTGTCTCTTGAATTTACTGTGGCAATGAAACCAGAAGCCAGACCCCCAGGATGAGAGAGGCCCAGGAGAGACAGATGGAACTCATTCCAAGACATGCAGAAAATACCCAGGTAGAGCACAGTGTGTAAAGAAGAAATTGTTAACACCTTATGACATGAACATGCAGAAGAATTCTGTAAATCTGAAGAATTTCTAGAAAATCTCAGAAGGAACTTATGTGGCCGATTTGTGTTCAAGTCTATGGTTCAGCGGGACACAGTTTCATGTGCCTGTGGTCATATCAAGTTTGCTTTGCCAAACACATTGGGGAAAGCGCTGATTATTTTTGCCACATCATGGCTGACTTAAACAATGTAGCTAAAAAAATGGGAACAATGTGGAGAAAGTGGTTCCTGCCATCACACGACTCTCTGGGGAGCTCTCAGGGCACTCTCTGTGTTTACCTGTCCCCACCACTTGACATAAACCTTGCAATGATCTGTTTACTTGCCTGTCTCTCCAACATCCTTGAAGCCAGGGACTGTGTCCTGTTCATCACTGTAACCCCTCTGTCTGGCACAGAGATGACCAATCACGTTTGTGAAATGAATGAATGAAGAATAAAGTAATTCCTTTACAGAGTAATTCTCCCTTGCCTACATTAAGCCCAATTCTTTATGTGTGAGGAAATACATGGTTATATCACAGAGCAAACAGAAATAAATGATTGCCTCATTCAGTAATGAACTAGGACCAATAATAAAATTGCCTGTTGCTCCTTAGGTACTGCTCTGCCACTAGCCCAATTTGTTAACTGACTACATTAAAGATCTAATTTAATTAAATCTTGAACAAAGCTCAGAAGACCTACAGAGAGCACTTTGCTTAATTACAGGCACGGTTCAAGCACCAATCCTATTGATCTGGTCGGTTAAAATTCTATACAATGAATGTGGGCAAAGAAAAAAAGAAAAAGAAAGTGGCCCCAATTGCTCGTCAAGGAACTTTGATGAACTATGGATTCAGAGCTGCTACAAAGACAGCAAAGGCAAACCAGCCTTGTACTCTGTACTGTCACAGGGTAAAAATAAAATGGTACCTCAGTCACTCTGCAGAGCTACACATCGTCAAGAACAGAAGACAATGACAACCACGAAGGACAGATCCCTCCTGAGGGAAATAAAGCACACTAGGTGGGTGGGTGAGTGACGGCTGGAAGAAGACTTTTGGCACTTAAAGTCTAGTAAACAGGCATTCAAATGCATCTAGTACACTTTTTGAGATCTACACTCATCTTGAAATAAAAAGCAATAAATCCAATTCATGGTATGTATATAAATTCCTGAGAATATCTCTAGTTGAGGAAGAGATAAAAGTTAACATTATTTGAAGGTAACTGAAATAAAAATTATACAAAACTATACTAGTTGCACAAACTTATAAAAGGTAACAGATGTGACTGGAAGAAAGGCTTTGACTAAAATGTGTCTATGTGTGCAGGCCTGTATGTGTGTGTGTGTAATTATCCAATGTCCATGTTGGAGTTCTTCAAACATCTAAGGATTCCTATTTAAAAAAATGACAGGATGGTGTTCAACTTTCCGTATCACTCGACAGGTAACTATATATTTTACTCCAAAGAACTACTACTAATTTTTTGAGCATTTACTACGTGCCAGACATCGCCTAACCACTTTACGAGTATTATCTAATTTTTGCTTTGGGTGCTATTATTGTCCCACTTCGTGGCAGAGTAAACTGAGGCACAGAGAGGTTAGGCAACCTGCCAAAGACTCGTGGTGACTTGGCAGGTCAGGCTGTGCATGACCCAGGCAATCTGGCTCCAGAGCCCTGGTACCTAGTGTAGTGCCTCCGCACTGTGCTATTCTTAATACTGACCTCCAGAGTTGGAGAAAACACTGGAAAGTGGGGAAGGGGACTTTTTATTTTTTGCTAGTCCACCATGAAGGGCTGGCAAGTGAGAGAAGAAAATTCATTCTAAACCACAATATGTAATTACACCAAAGACCAACAATTTCCCTCACAAAACATGCACCATCAGAATGCACACACTAAGAGCAAGTACATACCTAATTAGGACATCAGTGATAATCATCGGGGAGTGTAACCCAGGAAATTACAGGTGGCGTGGGCTTTAGTGCTAAGCAAATTTCATCATGCTGCCCAGATAAAGCCTTTGCTGACTGGGATGATTTACACCTGCTGATGCAACTATGGAGACTGTCATCCGATATAGCTGCATACTGAAAATATGCTTATGCACGTGAGTTAAGACAAAATGATGTTCAGATATGAGAGGTAGTAGTGCCAGCCTTTTAATTATGACATTAGCACAAATGAAGAAGAGTTGATAACATTCAAAAATAGTAATTTCTTCCATATTTTTCAAATGAGGAAGAGTTGATAACATTCAAAAATAGTAATTTCTTCCGTTTTATATAATGGCAACTAAGAATACTTACAAATGGATTAAAAACAAAATGATGTACACATCCTGAGCTCGTTGAAGCATAGAAGAGCAAGTTATTTACAAGGTCTTTTTTATGGCTAAGGGAGCAAGAGCAATGGTGAAGGATGATGAGACCCACTAGATGTATTTTTCCCTTTTTTTTTTTTTTTTTTTTTTTTGGACATGGAGTCTCCTTCTGTCGCCCAGGCTGGAGTGCAGTGGTGCGATCTTGGCCCACTGCAACCCCCGCCTCCCGGGTTCAAGCGATTCTCCTGCCTCAGCCTCTCAAGTAGCTGGGACTACAGGCACACAGCACCATGTCTGGCTAATTTTTGTACTTCTAGTGGAGACGGGGGTTTCATCATATTGGCCAGGCTGGTCTTGAACTCCTGACCTTGTGATCTGCCTGCCTCGGCCTCCCAAAGTGCTCGGATTACAGGCGTGAGCCACTGTGCCTGGCCAGTATTTTTCCCCTTCTAAGTCAACTTTATCTGTGTACAAAATTAGCAGTCAGAGCACAACTAGAAAACAAGCTTCTAATATTGCCAAGACCAAGAAAGAGAGTCAAGTAAGTCTAGTAATTCAAAGTGAAGTTCTGAGGGAAGTGTTTGATTGAGGAATTCATTGCTTCACCCCCAGTCCAATCACAGATCAAACTCACAGCCAAACACAGAAGTGCTTGTGGGTTCCTGGGATTAAAAACTTCACCTTGGAAAAACTGAGGCTTTAACAATTCTGCCGAACATTTCTATCCTGAAACATTAGCTCCTTCAGTAATGGATACATGTCCTAAACAAAATGATACTCAAACTAGGTCAGGCCCTAGGGTGAATAGCAGGAGTCACACATACACATCTGTAAACACAGAGACACACACATAACATGCACACTTAAACAGATGCACATACACACATACATATATGCACACAATGTACAAGATATGGCTATTTTAACTTCAGTAAGTCTGCACCAGGAGAGACGACATTCTATACTAGATTCAGTATAAGCAAATGAGAGCAGGTACAATAAAGCTAAATAAAATTTTATAGAAAAAAATTAAAAAGGTAAAATTCCATTTTTTTTTTTCAAATTCTAAAGACTATTAGTTTATCCTAAAGAACATTTTAATTGAGCTTAGAAAAGATGTGCTTACCCTGGAAAGTTTAGAATCACTGCCCCGATGTAATTTTATCAACCAGTCAGATTTAAGATTCCAGAGAAAAGTGTTTGCTTTTTTTTTTTAAATCTTACCTCTATACCTTAGCAATTTCGAACTACTTTCAAGAAGGACTTCATAACAGGAAAGAGACAGTGATTCCCAAAATTACAAATGCCACAAAATTCTCACGGTGCCCCTGGTGCTATACACCAGCCTCTCTCAGCCCCATGCCCAGGAAGGGCCTGACCATTATGGATGCAGCATGCTCACCCTCCTCCGGAGCCGGTCCCGCTCTTCCCGGATGGCATTCATGGTGGCCTTAGTCCGGTTCAGTTCTTCCTCTTTGCTGCACAGCATGGCAGTCAGGCTCTCATTCTCTTCCCTCAGCCCAGCCAGCTCCTTCTCCCACCGAGACCTCTCTTCAGCCAGGTTGGGATACAGGTCCCGGCCAAGCACCCCCTCAATCTCCTCGACTGTCTGTAAAACACAGCCCCAAAGAAAAGTCAAGTAAGTTACCTTGGAGAAAGGGGATAGGAAGAAAATAGGCTGAACAGGAATAAATGTCCATAGAGGAGTGTGTTCTAGAACCACTTTGTTATAAATAGTGATCATGACTACAGACACCCCAAAGTTATCCTGTCTCCAATTTCAGATGAGGCTCTGTCACTTGCCTGGGGTACAGTCTGTGTTACCTGGCAACCTTCAGAGTAAGAAAAACAGTGAGTCCTCTCCTGGCAGCTGAGTCTGTCTGTGGTGCTAGCTGACACATCCACACAATGCTTATTTCCTTCACTTGAGTTCCAGAGTTGGTGGATACACACAACCAGGCAGAAGGCCATTTAGTGATCCTGGTAATGTGAGGACAAACATGAGGTTGTAAACTGCATACAAAATCTAACTTGAAGTTTCCTAAATTATAGGCCTCCCACATGCCAACTCAGCGATAAGATAGGTCACATTACCATTTCCAGCTTTTAGTGCCACATCCAAATTCAGATGGTGCAAATGAGGTTCAGTCTCAAGATGTGAAAGACAAAAATAAACCTCATTGACACAGAAAAGAGGAAGCTCATTGTGGAGATTTCTAAGACAGCAGGGATTAAATTAATAATACAGCTTCAAAATTTAAAGGAAAATCTTAGTAGCACATAGTTTTAAAAAATTCATTTAAAAACATTTAATGAAGAAGAAACATGCATATTAGGGAAAAAAGGAAGAAGTCATTCTGCTTACTCTTATAAACTGTTCATTCACATTTACTGTCCTTTGAAAAAGGAAGCACAAGCCAGTGGATAATGAAACAAGAGGGAGAATTACTATGAAGAGGTAGAAGGCAGTGAAGAGATGGAATAAGAAACAGAAGACTGGCCGGGTGCAGTGGCTCACGCCTGTAATCCCAGCACTTGGGAGGCCCAGGCGGGTGGATCACCTGAGGTCAGGAGTTCAAGACCAGCCTGACCTCAGGTGAAACCCTGTCTCTACTAAAAATACAAAATTTAGCCGGGCGTGGTGGCGCCCGCCTGTAATCCCAGCTACTTGGGAGGCTGAGGCAGGAGAATCGCTTGAATCTGGGAGGTGGAGGTTGCAGTGAGCTGAGATCATGCCACTGCACTCCAGCCTGGGCGACAGAGCAAGACTCCGTCTAAAAAAAAATAATAAAAATAATAAAAAGAATAAAGAAAAGAAAAGAAACAGAACGCCTCCAATACTAAAAAACATAAGGGTACATCACTCTTGGATGCTCATGTTGGTTCTCAAATCTTGCTGCCACTTTTCCCATGTGCTGCTTTGTCCTTCCTTTAAATCTGGAGACTCTCATCCTACTTGGCTCTGCTCCAGACCCTGTGGCTTTGTCCCTAGCTGGTTGGTAGAGGCCCTTGGCCTCCTCCTTCCCTCTCAACTCCGAGGTTGGGGCTAGACCCAAGTTGACATTACAATCAAATATAGGGCCCAGGAGATTCCAGAGAAAGAAACACCAGCAATTGCTTCTCCCTGCCCTGAACTACATCAACTACATATTTGCAATTGAGATGAAGAAAGATGGAAAACCAGCAGTGTTACAAACATGCATCGTGGTTTACCTTGTGACACCACAGTTCTTTTGTGCAATCCAGGATTCCTACTTATAGAAACTTGGGCCTGCATTTTCTCTTTATGGGCTCCTCCTAGACTTTTAAATTTGAATTGCTATGCCCAGGTCACTAAGTTACGTTGAAGGAATATAAAGATACCAGAGGCCTAGTATCAGTAAGCCTTGACTTTCCCATCATTCACAATGAGTTTGTGCAGATGCAACAAATTCCTGTCACCATCTCAAACAGCAAGAGGAATTGATGAATGGACTCCTGAAATCGTATTCTAGAGGCCTTAGAGCTTTAACAAAACTTCCAAGCTAAACTTACAGCTTACGAGTGGCTCTATGATGAACCACTCTAAAATGACGTGGTTCAATACTAGCAGTCGAATGGTTTCCAAGTAAATTGTCCTTTTTACCGCAAAGCCAGTGAACCTGACTGCTGACATCATGACTTTTTCTGAAATAAATCAGCCCAACCAAAATTTCTAGAGCCCCCGCTTCTACACCGTGGCTCAATCTATTGTATGGCTCTCATGGAAACATTCATCCCTAGTAAGTATTTAAGAAAACTGCACTTCAAGAGAAGGATTGGACCATTTCCCTTTCAGAACCTCAAAGGGCCTCACAGAGGGTGAGGAAGGTCTACCTTAATAGCCAGGTCACAGTGCTCGCTGGCTGTGGTGAGCTGCTCAATGTGCTTGTCCACCTCGGCCACGGAGAGGCTGCAGCTGCTCTTCTTCCTGCCGCAGACAACATTCTCCAGCCCTGTCAGCACCCTCTGCAGTTCTGAGTTCAGGTCACTGCAGTTGTCTGTGAGTGAATGAAGACAAAATGCGTTACACAGGGCAACAAATGCTGTCTGTTTTGCTTACCATGAGGGACTCATTCAGGTAATGGGATGGCAATGGAGCCTGACATTTCAAAGTTCAACACCAGCCAGCCTAACCTCACAGGCACTGCCTCTGAGACTTGGAGCCAATGCAAAGCTCTTTTTATTAAAGAGTTTCAGATGATGGTCATTTTCTGAATTCTCTTGTCTTTCACTCAAAGCAGCCACATCTTGAGTTTCTTTAGTAAGAACAAAGAAATGCCCAGAAGAGGCTGTTGGCACTTCCAGAGCCTCTGGTCAACCTGTCTGCTGTCATTCAGACAAGCACTAACTGCAGAAAGATCCCATAACTTTACTAAATGTAACAAAAAGTCTCAGAATGAGCAGAGATGCTAGGTATTTTGAAAAACAGAAACTGTGTAAGAGATAGTCCTTGCCCTCAATGAGCCTAAAACCAAGAACTTTTCCATGATAGAACCAATCAATATGCTCCACTGTTGCAATTTAATCCATGTTCTTTCATCAGGGGGAAAAATAAACTGTTCTAACAAATTCCTTATTGTTCTCCACATAAGGCAACCAATTCTAATAATTTGATTTTGACTTAAAAACTTGGGTTGCTTTGAACCGCTGGACATCCAGGGCCTGGTCAGAGAAATAAAAAATAATTATAATGTGATTCAGATATATCTTAGAAGACAATTTTGTTGGGAAGAAAACTCCCCTTAAAGTCAAATACAAATTTTGTAACCTGCTGTTTTGGATTCTGTCTATCGCCATGCCATTCAATTATTGTTGCAGGGCAGATGCTGACTGATTATATGTAATCTTTCAGAGTACATTCTTCACCTACGTCCAGCCTAACCCTGCATGAAAATTGCTCAGTGTCTTCCATTTTCTTCTTCTCTCCTGCATGCTTCTCACCACAGGTTCCATGTACTAAAATGGTTAACTGCTTTTGGGACTTACCTTTGGAAGACTTCAAGAAAACTCTTGGCACAACAGGAACAGGACTTCTCAGAATGTTTTAGTCAACCTCATCTGGTTGCCTCTATTTGTAAATTACCTAAATCTAGAGAGATCAGCCTAAGGCTTTCACTCCAACCAATACACACAACTAGTCTACCTACTTCTCAAACCTGTTCCTCCCCGATCTCTCCCATCTCCATGAATGGCACCCCTATCCACCCAGTTACTCAGGTGAGCTCTGAGGCAACCTTCTATGCCTTTGTCTGACATACTAAATCCAATTCATCTTGTGACCACAACCTCCAAAACTTATCCTCAAACTGACCTCTTATTACCATCTCTACTGACACCATCCTGCTCTAAACCATCATCATCTCTCAACTGGACCACTGTAACAATCTCCTGCCTCTACTCTCCACGCGGTCACCAAAGTGGGCCTCCTAAAAGCGCAAATCAGAACAAGTTATTTTCCTAGTTCAAACTGTCTAATGGCTTCCCATCAACATTCATATAAAGTCCCAACTCCTTACCAGAGCCTGTAAAACTCTGCATGATCAAGACTGATGTGCTCAGTTCAGGCTGCACCATGTCCCTGGGGAGCTTTTATAAACTACGGATGCCCAGGCCCCACCCCAGACCAATTAAATCACAATCTCTGGGGGTTGGGCTTGCACAATGGCAACTTTAGGTTCCTCAGGTAATTCTAACGTGCAGTCAGAGTGAGAACCACTGATCTGATCTTGCCTCACCCATCCACCTTCCCCTGTTCACTATGCCCCATTCACACTCCTTCCCCTCATTCACTATGCCCCATTCACACTCCTTCCCCTCATTCACTATGCCCCATTCACACTCCTTCCCCTCATTCACTATGCCCCATTCACACTCCTTCCCCTCATTCACTATGCCCCATTCACACTCCTTCCCCTCATTCACTATGCCCCATTCACACTCCTTCCCCTCATTCACTATGCCCCATTCACACTCCTTCCCCTCATTCACTATGCCCCATTCACACTCCTTCCCCTCATTCACTATGCCCCATTCACACTCCTTCCCCTCATTCACTATGCTCCATTCACACTCCTGGCCTTCTTTTTTCCCCCTGGAATATGCCAAACTCCTGTCTGCTCCACAGGTTCCTTTCCTTTGCTGTTTCCTTTGTCTAGGCTGATTTTTTAAAATTTTAATTAAAAAAAAAATACAACCTTTTTAGAGACAGGGTCTTGCTCTGTTGCATAGGCTGGAGTACAATCCTGTGGAGTACAGGCAGGGGTACAATCCTAGCTCACTAAAGCTTTAAACTCTTGGGTTCAACCTATCGTCCCACCTCAGCCTCCCAAGATGCTGGGACTACAGGTACACATGACCACAATCAGCTCATATTTTTATTTTTGTGTAGACACAGGGTCTATGTTGCCTGTCTCAAACTTTTGGCCATAAGCAATCCTCCTGCCACAGGCTTCCAAAGTCCTGAGATAATTGACATGAGCCACCATGCCTGGCCAACCAAATTTCTACATATTGTTCAGCTCTCAGCTCAAATGCTATCTCCCCAACAAGCTCTTCCCTATCTAAAGCATGGAGTTTCACCTCCTCCCTTACCCATTCCCTATCTTCTTATCCTATTTTTTTCATGGCAATTATCACTATCTGATCTGACTTACATGTTTGTTTTCTCTCCTCTACTAAACGTAAGTTCCAGGAAAGAAGGGACTTTGATCTTCCTCATCATTTGTATCTCCAACAGAGAATAGGGTAGGCGGTCAAATATTATTTTTTAAATAGGCAAAGAGAAACACCACATCATCATTTATTTAATAGACAGGAAGGCTATAAACAGACTCAATAGTAGCATGTTTTTCTTTTTTTTTTTTCTTTTTTTTTTTTTTGAGATGGAGTCTCGCTCTGTCTCCCAGGCTGGAGTGCAGTGGTGCAGTCTCAGCTCACTGCAACCTCCACCTCCCGGGTTCAAGTGATTCTCCTATCTCAGCCTCCCGAGTAGCTTGGATTACAGGCGTGTGCCACCACACCTAGCTAATTTTTATATTTTTAGTGGAGACGGGGTTTCACCATGTTGGCCAGGCTAGTCTCGAACTCCTGACCTCAGTGCTTTTGTTCCTTGTTGTGGACCTCGACCTGAGCTGCTAAGAACTAGGATGCTCATCACTGCAGAGGCCCTTTGGAGATGGAGGCAGGTGGACACCAACTGGAGGCAAAGGACCCAAGTGAGGAGAAGAACAACTCAGAGACCACACCAACCAGCCTCTGAATGACCACGTACCCTCTGGTGCAGGTCTCCTGGTATCCAGAGCTGGTGTGAATCCGCTGTCCTGAGTTATGTGCATTAAGTGCTCATGAGTGAGATATTCATGAAATATTCAGACATTCTGTGCTGACTTCCCTAGCGCAGGTCCACCTGATGCAATAATGACAATGGACATGTCTGCTGAGGGGCTCTCACAGCAGAGCCGGAGTGGTGGCAACAGGCTGCTTCCTGAGGGTGCTGGGTTACAGGGAGCAGGAAGAGGGGCTAGGCATGTGACTAGTATTTCCTTCTCATACTTAAATTGGGCAGTTGCCGAGCCCTGACTCAGGCCAGAGCAGAGTGCAAAGATGAATAAGAGACTGACCTTAACTGTGAGAGACCCCCAGAAGTACAAGGCCACTGCCCCACCTCTCTGCTGCCCACCACTACTGTAAGGAAAGTAACCATAGAGGCCAGGCGCAGTGGCTCACTCCTGTAATCACAGCACTTTGGGAGGCCGAGGTGGGTGGATCACCTGAGATCAGGAGTTCAAGACTGGCCTGGCCAATATTGTGAAACCCTGTCTCTACTAAAAATATAAAAATTAGCCAGGTGTGGTGGCGCACACCTGTAATGGAGGCTGAGGCAGGAGAATCACTTGAACCCAGGAGGTGGAGGTTGCAATGAGCTGAGATTGCACTCCAGTCTAGGCAACAGAGCAAGACGCAACACTCTATCTTAAAAAAAAAAAAAAAAAAAAAAAAAAAAAAGAAAGGAAAGTGGCCAGGTGTGGTGGCTCATGCCTATAATCCCAGCACTTTGGGAGGCTGAGGCGGGCAGATCACGAGGTCAGGAGTTTGAGACCAGCCTGACCAACATAGTGAAACCCTGTCTCTACTAAAAATACAAACATTAGCAGGGCATAGTGGTGCGGGCCTGTAATCCCAGCTACTCAGGAGGCTGAGGCAGGAGAATCGCTTGAATCCGGCAGGTGGAGGTTGCAGGGAGCTGAGATCGAGCCATTGCACTCCAGCCTGGGCAAGAGAGCGAGACTCCATTTCAAAAAAAAAAAAAAAAAAGGGAAGTAACCATAGATAACACAGTGCAGACACAAGGCAGAGAGCTGGCAAGATGTGAGGTCATTTACACTGATGCACAGACTCTGAAGAATATCTACCCTTCAAACCAATGAGGGCTACACATACTTTCTTTGGTCATAGGAAGCTGAATGTATAAAAACACAGGTGAGGTGATGAACCCCACAAACTCCAGTTTGTGCTGCAGAACTCTGCACTGTGGCTTCACACAGGCCCATCAGTGACCAGTTGGCACTTGACTGTCCATTGCTATTTTTCCCTGTTTGGAGCCTCACAGGAGGACGAGGAGACTGGGCCGCCTGGAGCAGGTATTCTGTGTCCCCTCTCAAGGTACTACGTCAAGGTACCAAGCACTTATCACCACTCACCGCCAGCATCCACATGGCTCCAGACAGAACTGTCTTTCAGAGTCTGTGGCATAAGGTGCCACAGTAGGTCCTAAGTATAGGAGTAGAGTTGCTGGATCATATGGTAATTCTATGTTTAACAAAAACAATGAAAAGCAGTGACTCAAATAATTGTACCCCGATGTTCATAGCAGCATTATTCACAGTAGCCAAAAGGTGGAAGTAGCCCAGGGGTATACTGACAGATGAAGGAACAAAATGTGGTCTCTGAATACAATGTAATGTTATTCAGCCTTAAAAAAGAAATAAAATTCTTTTACATGCTACAACATGAACCCTGAAAACATTATACTAATTAGAATAAATCAGACACAACATGACAAATATTTCCACTAATACAAGGTATCTAGAAGACGCAAATGCAGAGACAGGAGATAAAGTTTACCGGGGTGGGGGTGATGCGAGAATAGGGAGTTATTGCTTAACGGGTACAGAGTTTATGTTGGCATGAAAATGTCCTGGAAATGGGTGGTGGTGATGGTCACACTAACTCTGTGAATGCCACTGAACTGTACACTTAGAAATGATTACCATGGTAAATTTCATGTTTGTTACCACAATAAATATAATAAATGTATATCAGTGAGTAAAATGAGGAGATATAAGCAAATAGGCTGATATGAAACAGAAAACGGTAACCTTCAAGAATGGCAGCACATTCAGAAAGGATTTGAAGTATTGTAATTTAATTAAAAAAAATTTTCCCCTGTGGGTTGGAGAGCAAGAGAAGGAAGAAAGAGATATGGGAAGTCTAAGGACAAGGGGGAGTAATGTACTCTTTAGAAAAACCCTGGCCCCCACTGCCATGCAACTCCATGAAGGGCAGCTGAGGCAGGCCCACTGGCTTTCTCCCTCAGCCTCTGCTGTACTTTATTTTTTTATTTTAAAAATCTTTTTTTTTTCTCCAGAGACAGGATCTCATTACATTGCCCAGGCTAGGAACGAACTCCTGGGCTCAATCAATCCGCCCACCTCAGCTCCCCAAGTAGCTGGGGTTACAGGCGTGAGCTACCTGTGCTGTGCTTTATGCATCAAAGGAAACTGTTCTACATCCAGGAGACAGAGAGGAGGCCTTTGGTAGCAAATACACATTCCTTTAAGTTTATCTGTACTGTGCCCCTTTCTAAAGAAGAATTTGAGGTTGCTTATCACAAGCAGCCACAAATAAGGGGAAAACACGGTGACTGGATCAGGGAAAGGCTGGGAGCAAACGGAGGCTGACACAGCAGAGGGCTGACTCCTCCAGCTAGCCTTGAGCATCCTGGCATCCTCAGCAAATATGAATTATCTCCTGACAGAAAGGAGGAAGCATTCCGGTTTCACAAGGGAGACAAGGTGTTTTTGGCAACAGACGCTAGAAGGATTTAGGTACACGGTACTTCATACGTGGTGTGAAGTGATGTGATGCCAGTCTCCTCAGCCAGTTTCACACATATGTGGATTTCATATGGTTTCTTCTTATGTTAACCTTCAGTTAAAATTAAAGTTGTAGACCATTTAAAGCACAAGGTAAAGGGAACTCTGGGGAGTGCTAAGTTCACGTAATCTTGGCACTCAGTCTTCAAAGCTGTCTGATAAGACTGAACAGGACCCAGAAGACTGGATGGAATGGACCTCTCCCTTTGGCCAGCAGATGCAAACCAGCCACCTGCAGCCAAAGATGTGCTTGCATATGGGATAGGGCTATGGTGTCTGGCATGGCCTTTTTTTTATTTTTAAAACAGTTTTTGAGTTAACTGTCAACATTTTAAAAATTGTTAAAATTTATGGCTATCCTTGTAAAATGAGAAGATCTGGCAATGCGGGGCCCAGCTTCTCAACCACAGCCATGTGCAGAGGGGCCAGCCGCAGACCCCAGGACTCAGCACGCCCAACCCACAGTGCTCCTCTGCTCTGCCCGCCTCCACCCAAGTCCATGGCTCCTCCTGCCCTTTTCCTCTTTTCTAAATGCAATTTTCCTCAGTTGGCCTCCTGATAAGAGCTCAATAATACACAGCTCAGGTTATATTTTTCTAAGGAGAACCAGAGCCTTAGGTTTTTATGTTGCTGTTTGGGGAAAGATCCACATATGGCAGGTCCTCAAATAACATTTTGTTCAACATCGTCTCATTATAACATAGACGAGGAGGGAAACAGGTATTCCCAGCTGGGGCCACTGTCTGTGTGGAGTTTGTACATTGTCCCCTCCCCATGGCTGTGTGGTTTATCTTTGGGTATTCCAGTTTCCCCTACACCCCAAAGCTCAGCACGTTAGGTTCATTGGTGTATCTAAACAGTCCCAGTCAGAGAGAGACAGAGACAGAGACAATGAATGTGTGTGCCCTGCGATGGGATGGCACCTGGCCGGGGTGGGTTCCCATCCAGCACCCTGAGCTCCTGGGATAGGCCTCAGCTACCTGCGACACTGACCTGGAATAAGGGGTTAAATAATTATCTCCCTTATTTTTATTAATCTGCCTTAAATGTACATATAGTTCAAGTTTATTCCCACATTTAATATTAGAAGTGCTTTGGGTCTCTATTTAGAAATTCACTAACGTTTCAGTGACCACAAATACACTACAGGAACTTAACTCTTCATTATATCAATTAACCATAAAACTGGTATCGTTACACGTCATTTCATTTAAAGTTGCATTTTCCAGGAACCTATCAACGACGTTGAGGACTTACTATACTTTGGAAATCTGGAAAGGAGGTAAGAGGACATTCATGGCTGTGAAAACTAAGAATCCTAATGAGCCTTCTGGCTTAGTTAAACACACACCAGTGGACAAAGCTGGTTTTCTTCTTTCTTACTCAGGATCAGCTATGCCTATGCCCAGAGCTGACACCATTAACTACGGCAGAGTTGGTTCATTTTGAATCAGGTGTTAAAAGTTGCTTTTTTAAACAAACAAGCCCTGTAAAAATCCTAACTCAAATAAAGGGCAGCTCCAACAGGTGAGATGTTACAAACATCTCCCCTGGTCCACCTGATTCCAACCAAGCAGTCCCCTCTTTACCAGAATGACTTTGCTCCAAAGTATGGTCCCAGCTTCCAAAAGCACGTGTTCCTGGGGATCGGTACTTGCTTCACACTAGTGGTTAGGTATTTGCCTAGTTTGGAAGCCTTCCATGCTGGGTCTTTATTAAGCTTTGCCTTTGATAGGGCTTGGGTTTGTGTCCCTACCCAAAAACCATCCTGAATTGTAATCGCCAATGTTGGAGGAGGGGCTTGTTGGGAGGTGACTGGATCATGGGGGCAGACTTCTCCCATGTTGTTCTCATGATAGTGAGTTCTCATGAGACCTGGTTGTTTAAAAGTGTGTAGCACCTCCCCTTTCTCTCTTTTTCCTCCTTCTCTGGCCATGTAAGATGTGCTTGCTTCCCCTTCACCTTCTGCCGTAATTGTAAGTTTCCTGAGGCCTCCCCAGTCATGCTTCCGGTACAGCCTGTGGAACTGTGAATCAATTAAACCTCTTTTTTAAATAAATTACCCAATCTCAGGTAGTTCTTTATAGCAGTGTGAAAACGGACTAATACAGCCTTGAAATCTCATTTTCCAGGAAGCCTTCCCAGCCCTTTGGCACTCAGCCCTAAAAGTTGATGATTTCATTCATTCAACAGTGTGTTTCCAGAGACTCACAGTGCTGGGCATGTCCCAGAGACTTACAGTGCTGGGCATGGAACATGTGCTCTACAAACACTGGATGAGATTAACATGTAAAATAAATGGAAGACTTTTTATAAGCCAACTTTTTAAAGTCCCAAGTTTTTGTTAATTTACTTGTTAATCCAGTGTCAAATTTAAAACCTATCAAATGACATTATCACAGCCTGCTAATAGGGCAGAAAGCTTTCAATTAAGATTCCCAAGGTAGAAAGCTGTCAGTGAAGTTAGAGACATAAGTCACAGAGAATTTTAGCCAGGCTAAGAAACAGAAGCAGCTGTAGGCCTGCTACGATGTGGGCTATAGCAGGACTGGCCATTCACCATATCCCTGCCACCTTCTGAGGGCCAGCGCACACCACCCACCCTTCTTTTCTGACTGGGCACACACCATGCCTGGTAAAGCAATTCAAAGTGGGAGAAAGACCTACAGATTCTTTCAGCCTCAACACAGACTTTCTGTAAAGGCAAGATGTTATATCCCAGGGATGTAATAGTTCAGATCTCGTTGTAGCTCTACGGCTGAAACCAGGAGGGCTGTTGCTTTCTTTTGAGCATTCCTCTGTACTCTGCATACAGCAAGGCCCTCTTTAATTCCATCGAGGAACAAACACAAACCGAACAAAGTAACATAGAAAATTAGAAAACAGAATAGTCAACTTTTAGGGTTGAACACCAAAGAGAAGACTGAAGGGTCTGGGAGGAAGGGAGAAAGAGTATCCACAGAGGTTACCCCTTGCTTTGTGTCCCATGTTGCCTCTGTCTACCTAAGACAAGAGGACTTATGAGAACAATGTTGTGGTAGTTTAAAAACTCCTCAGTATCACCTATAATGGACAAACTGACATTAGGAACCTCCCGCTGCAACATGGTAATGAGGACCATAACCCACATATGTTCTTGCAAAAAAAAAAAAAAAAAAAGCTAACCTCAAGTCTTGTAAGAAAACAATCAGATCATCAGATTGAGGGACATTCTATGATACCACTAACCTGATAACACTAACCTGACGTCCTCAAAATGGCAATGTCACAAGAGACAAAACAGCAGGAGGGAGGATCTGTTCTAGATTAAAGGAGAGTCAAAAGACATGAAAACTAAATATAATGTGTGAGCCTTGACTGGATCTGGGACTAAACAAAAGCAACCAAAGACATTAATAGGACAATTGGGGAAATTTGAATATGGATTGTGGACTGTCAATGCTTCATCAGTGGTAAAATTCTCAGGTGTGATGAAGGTACTGTGTTTATTATAGGAGAAGGTTCCTTCTTAAAAGGTTTACACATATGCCTTTAGGGGGTGAAGCATCATGGCATCTGCAACTTTTAAATGGCTTAGAAAAAAACGTATACACAAACACAAATGGGAGCAAGAGAGAGAAAAAAATCAAAATGTGGCGAAATGTTAACAATTGGTTGATTAAGATGAGTGGTTTATGGAGGTTTGTTTTACCTTTTCTGTAAGTTTGAAGATTTTTAAAATAAAAAGTTGAGAAAACACATACTTCAACATTCTAGGCAAGAAGGTCTCACAAGGTCTGGATATGCTGCAGTGGAGATTTAACACGGAGAGCGCAAGATGACTGATTCTCAGTGCAGCCACCAGAACTGGAGAGCTCTCCTGTAAGTGTGTCTTCCACATCCAAATGATCACCAAGTACACAGGCACAAGTTGACAGGGACAGGAGGCAGAGAAATTCTAGGCAGAAAAGGGCAAGGTCCCTGGCGAAGCCCCACCCTGAAGCCTATAACCATGGCCCAAAGTGAGAACATGCAACCTTTTTTCCCCACTGAAATGCTGCCTTTTCAAAAATCACCCATGGCCTACCCCGCCCCCCATCCTATACCCATAAAAACTCTGACCCCACTGGCAGAGAGCAGAGAAGGGAAGAAGAGGAGAAGCAGCTGGATGTCAGAAACTGTGGTTTGATGTCAGAGAGCAGCAGCTTGACTTCAGAGCGATGGCTTGACACCGTTGCTTCGGAGAGGAGTCTGGCTGGGGACAGCCAGAATCCAGGGGAAGATTACCTTCCCGTTCCATCCCCCTTCTAGCTCCCCTTCCTGCTGAGAGCCACTTTTATTGGCAATAAAATCCTCTGTATTCACCACCCTTCAATTCTTCATACGACCTGATTTTTCCTGGATGCCAAACAAGAGTTTGGGTGCCATGGGCGCAGATGCTAAAGGGTGCCACACTGACCCTCTGCCTTCAGTGGTGGAGAGCAACTGCCTCACATGAAAAGGCAGAGGGCCCACTGAGCTGCTTAACACTTAAGCTGTCCACGAACAGCAAAGCAAAAAGAGCACTGTAACACATGCCCTCTGGGGCTTTGGGGGTCACAGATCCTCCCCCCTGAGACGCTACTGTGGGGCCATCACGGAGTTTTGCTCCTGCTGGTGCTCAAAAGCACTTGTTCCGGCCCCTGCACACACTCACCTGTGTGCTCCTCCTCCCTTGAGGGGTTGAGAGCTGCAGCCTGAGTAAGCGAGGCACCCCTGTCACGAGGCCTGAGAAGGGGTCAAGAAAAATTTCCTATTTCAAAGTCAGGGTGGGTGACCTGAGAAGCGAAAGACGCCACCCCACCACATTCTGACTATAGATCTCTGTTTCTTTTCTCAAAGCAATCGAGGCTGCATTTTCAGGACTTCTATTTTAGTAAAATCTTACCAGCTGGGGATTTGTTTTCATTTTCACTGTTGTCACTTTAGATTTCTGACACAATTTGTTTCTGTGAAACAACAAACTTGGTCATAAATATGAAGGGATAAGGAAGATAACCTAACATCAACTCCAGGGAGCTGTCCTCCAGGACTGCGAGCCTCTACTGACCTTGGTGCCCATCTAGGATCCCCTGCTCTGCTCTGTTACGCACCCCCACATAACTCCTAGTCATCCACCTCCAGCCTCGGTGGCAGAAAAGTTCCGTCAGTGGTTTCTGCCAGAACTTTTCTGCCAGAAAAGTTCTGTTTCACACATATGTGAAAAGAAGTTCAAATCTACGTATAATCATTTTACTTATTTGACTATTGATCACCTGAATTGGCACAGCTTTAAAATAAGAATGATACCCAGTTTTGAAGAGGATGAGAGGAAATCTTTGGGGTAGAGAAGGGACAGCAACTGACAATATACAAGAAAAGACTTAATCATTCAATACCTTTGAGAAGTAATCTTGAAGAAATAGTTACAAGTATGTTTAGAGGATAAATTCCAACCCCTTCACTGTGCCTCCATGGCTCTCTGTCATCACTGACCACAGCCCAGCTCTCAGGCCTCACTTCTGCCCACTCTCCCCCAGGCTCACTAACCTCCAGTCCAAATGGCCCTTTCTTAGTGCCTGGGTCACCTGCGGCAGCTCCAGATCCCCTTTAGATAGGCTGTCTCCTGCCCTTGACAGCAAACAGTGGATCCTCCATTAGCACTCATCCCAGGCCCTGTGACCCTCATGCTAACAGGAGTGAGAGGATTTCCACGCCACCAGGAGGAGGGGGAAGATGTGGTTCTGGCATCCATATGTGATCTGCAAAATATTTTCTCATAGCAGCAATGTTCACAATGATGGCTGGGGATGCGGTAACAACACTAGCAAGGTCCCGAAGTTATTTCCATGACAGATTACACAGGCTTTCCAAGGCTGGTTTCAGGAGCTAACACTCCTTTATTATAATGCTGGTTTTAAGAAAAATTATGTCATGAATTTCAAATAACCAAAACCAAATCAACCTTAAAAGACATGGTCTATTTAGAAAATAAAGACTGTTTATGCTATTAATAGAAGAGAAGTTCATGAATCCCAAGAATTGTGGGAGCTCATTTTGAGTAAATGCTGTAGATTAATGCCTTTCCATTTCCATCTTATACCCCAAGTCTCTTTTGGGGACTGAAAAGTTATGGAACAGCAGAATTTGGGGAAAATATTCCAAAGTAACACAAACTGAAGTAGAACAATAACCTTTCCTGCTCTCAACCCTGGTTACTCTAAGGAAGATTCTGGAATGACTTCAGGGGGTTCTCCTCAGTCACTTAGCTCTGCTACCATTTGCAGACAGGTCTTATTTGACCAGGCTCAGATCCCTAGGAGAAAACACACAGTCACCCCAGAGAGTGCTCCAGTGAATCAATGTTCAAACTGTTAACTGGTTCTCAGGGATGATCCCTATTGTGACCCTCTCCAGAGAAATTAAGTTGCCCACATAAAGAAAAGAAAAAGGTAACAAAGGGCTTGGCCTGTTACATGAACTAGTTAGAGTACAACTTTCAGTCCGGTCTAACCCTTTCAGTCTGTGGACTAGAGGATCACTGACTATCTAGCCACCTCATTCCTAGCAAAAAGTGAGTATTCTCCAGACAGCTTGCCTTACCTGTGTAAACACATTTCTCCAGGTCTGCAAAAACTGTTTTTGGCAGAGGCAGGGCTGCCTTTCCCTGCCCCGACCCTCTCTCCTCACTCTGAGTGGCTGCTTGACACTTGTAAACATTTTTTCCTGAAGCCATTAAGCCTCATCAGCCAGTAAGCCAGGAGAATCTGGCTTTAGCATCAAACATATTTCACAGTCACAACCGCACCAAAAAACCAGGTTTCATGTGGAAATTCTTCCTTGGTTGTCCTCCAAAACCTATTCACACAGAGGAAAAATCTAAGTGATCACACCAGAAAGCAAGGTATTCTATGCATAGGACACCTTGCGGGTATAAGAGTAGATTTCAACCCTAAGGGTATAAACCTCAACCCTCAGGGTATAATGGTTTGATATTTCAACCTTGAGGGTATAATAGTTTGATATTGCTAAATTCCAGAAAAATAAAAATTTCTCACCCAAAATCAGAAGAGATCTCAAAATAACAGAATGCTTCACTGGCTGTGCAAAGGCCCATACCATCAGGGATTTTGTTTGTTTTGGAAACAGTTGCTCCAGAAAAGCACTGCTGTTGCGTTAACAGAGGTGGGGAAAATGGTCCACAGGAAAGGACAGCAAACATGCTGTAACATGCAGGATGCAATGAGTCTGTGTGCACACATCTGTGCTCTGCTCTATTGCAATACCCAGAATCATTGGGTCCAAGAGTGTTGTTTCTATTTTAATATGAAGGGCCGCAAAATCTGATTGCAAATGCTTCACTATTAAGCCAGGTGCTTGTGATCACACAGCTGCTCCCTAATTCCCCCATCAGCCCTAGAGACCTCAAAGGACTGCAGTAAGCAAATGACATCAACCACTGGCATGTCTTCCTGTTTAAACCGAGGAGTATCAAAGGAAAGCCATCTATAGAAACACAGGCGGCAACAACAAAAACAACTTCTTGGCTGTGTGGCCTTGGACAAGTGACTTACCCTCTCCAAACTTCATTATCCTGATTTTACAGATGAAGAGACCTCCAGGGCATCCTTCCAGGTTGGGGATTAAACATGAGGGATGCATGTAAATGCTTGACACAGGGTAAGTGAGCAAAGCATGTTAGTTGGTATACCCACCCTCTCTTTTAACGGCGAGCCTTTGCCAGATGGAGGACATAAAAATTCTAAGCAATAACTCCTACCTTGGCTTTGTCCACTTAATTACCTTTATTTTCTGAACAATGTGTGACGAGGTTTGATAAGAGGTAATTTTTTTAAAAAAAACATGCAGTGTGACAGAGGCTGGCACCTTTCTCCTTTATTTGACTGCTTAGTAAGTCAAAGCACTTTTTAATTGGATCGTTTATTCCTCCAGGCTTGGAAGACAGTGTCCAGGAACCAGCCTACTGAAGGGGCAGCTGGACTCTGATGGGTGGTTATGAAAACAAAAGAAAAGTGCTTTTTGATGAAGCTGATAGGCTGGACTTAGTCCTGTTATCTTTGGAGATCGGCAAATACACTGCAGCAAATTCTGCAGCTCAAGAAAACCTCTGGGTTGCTAATGCAGGTTTGCAAATATAGCAACTATAATGAAATGGCTACTTTTAAATGATTTCCTATAATGGTGCTTACATATGGAAGCTTTTTTCCTGTTGAAAAAATTTAATTGGAAAATGGCGAAGGAATAAGAAGAGGGAGACAGCCAGTTCCGATGAACAAACACACTGACGGCACTGTGTGAGCAGCTTTAATGAACTCCTCCTTGTTGTGCCCAAGTGTTTGTCCTCCTGGGGGATCTGGCAGAGCTGCCCCTGCCCGGTGCACCCTCCTCCTCATGGGCTCCGACCCCACTCAGTTCCCAGATTCCTGCTCGGCTGTGACCTCTGGCAAGCATTCTTCCATGCTCCTCCCCGAGGTTATCACCAGGGCCACTGCAGGCCTGCTATGGAGTCCTAACTGCACTGTGAGGTCTTCCCTGTGGACCTGTCTGCATCCTCCAAACAACTGTGAGCTTTGGGATGGGGTTCTTTCACTGCTGCTCAAGTATTTGAGTATCTCCTACGTGCAGGAACTGCTATGCTGGTAAATTAGGCAGGTGAAGTCCCTGCCCGCGTGGAGCCTGCACTCTGGCATGACAGCCAGATAAAGCTTGATAACACACAAGGAAATGAGCACAAACACAATCCATCCTCAGGGAGTGCTCCATGTTATGAAAGAAAATGAAGCAGGGAAAGGGAAGCAAGTGGCTGCCTGAGAGTGAGGGATGAGGCATGACTCTAGAGGGGAGGGCGGGGGGCCTTGGTGGAGACAGCTGCCGAGGAAGGAGGGCTCCAGGCGGAAGGAACAGCCAGCACAGAGCCCCGGGCAGGAGAAGCAGCTCAGGCTGGAGGAACAGCAAGCCAGGAGGCCAGAGTGGCTGCAGCTGGAAGAAAAACAGGACAAATGGCCAAGGAGGCGGCCAGAAGCAGGGACCGCCCTGTTGGCTGCGTGCTGAGGAAGCTAGAAGTCACTCTAGGCTTGAAGGATTTGAGGGTGGGAGCACAATGACCTGACAGCAGATTCTGTCTTTCATCCCCAGTACCTAGCACAGCCCCAAGTGAGTTTGCTGACTAAATGAAAAAAAAAAAGCTTCTATGTGTGGGCAGAGAACATGTGTCAACACTGGGCAGGGAAGGTCACTCCCCTCCAGGAACTCAGTCTTCTCAGGAAAGAGGCTACCACCAGTTATAATTAACCCATGTATTTTTAAATGAGGGACGGAATGAAAAGAATGGTTTGGGAAAATGAGGATGCCCCATGGCGCAGATAGGTGGACACTGCCTTCTGTGTGAGGACCAGTGCAACAGACGCCACCTCAAGTCAGGAGGTCCAAGAAGCCCCACAGGAAAGACATCCATGTAAATGTGTTTATCCTTGCACTTCCCAAACTTATTTAATTATGGAACTTTGTTGGAGTACAGGTCATTTATTAATTCCATAAAATACAATTTGAGAGAAGTGAATGGCGGGATCAGTATAGGGCTCACATTCTACAATGATAAGCAATTTCTAGGCTGTTTAAATCTGTCTGGCTAAGGCAGAAGACAGAGTCCTGAAGCTTGGGGCTGCCAGGGTTAGAGATTTATGATGCCCTTATGAACTTAGCATGTTGGTATGAACTTAGCATGCTGGTATGAACTTGGCATATGCATGGTCTGGTTGCAGGGAGTTGTGTGTATTGTAACATAAAGCCCGGGGACTGGGTTCAGTTTAGTTGGGGGAAGTGTCTTCACTCCTCAACATAATTCTGCCTGGCTTAAGCTGTACCAACATACAGCTCTCAATGGCTTTGATGTATTTTATTTGGCCTTAGATGCAATCCAGACTACTGATCGCTCCTTCCTTATTAGAGCCTCCTCTGCCCCACTGGCTTCCAGAATACCACTCTCCTCATTTTATTCCTTCATCTTTGGCTGGCTGACTGGTGGATTGGTTTATTACCTCATTCATTCATTCCCACTACTATCTTTAAACACATGTTATGTGCCAGGCCCTGTGATAATCTCTGAAGATATACTAGGAGATGAAACAAACATGCTTCCGCCTAGTGGAATTTAGTGGGAGAATCAGTCAAGCAAATAAATACTATTACATAATTTAAAATGTCAACGTGATAGTAAGATACAAATGGGGCAATGACAGAGTCAACAGTTATCATCTGCAAACACCCTGATGTCTCCCAGCTGCTTTTCTTCAGCCCAGGTCTCTCCTCTTGGTGTTTTATCTGAATGCCTACTGCCTTCTGAAGCACCTCCGCTCAAATACTTCAAGACACTATAAACCCATGGGCAAACAAAACACGATCTCCACCTATCATATAGTTCCTGCCCCAAGCAAAACAAAACTCAAAGCAAAACCACCTGGTCCTACTTCCTATGTGCCCTATTGGCGAATGGCCCTGTTATCCATCTGTTGTACAAACAAACTCTTATGGGGCATACACACCCCCCACCTTCAATCGGTTTCCAATCCTTCAGCAAATCTTGCCAATTTTACATCTTTATTAAATCTCAGCTGCCACCACCCTAATCTGAGCAACAATTTTGCCCATCTAGAGTTCTGCAATAGTTTCCAAGCTAGCCTCCCCAACTCATTCTTCATCTATGGATTCTTTCTCCACACTACAGTGATTGATTCAAAATGCAAATCTGATTATCTCATTCTCTTCCCCCACTATTAAAAAATCTTTCAGTAGCTTCTTGTGGATCTTTGGGTAAAGGCCAAACATGGTCTCTGTCATGGCCTGTAAGACTCTGCATGGCCTAGTTCCTGCCTACCTCTCCAGTCCCCCTCTCACACCTCTGTGTCCTCCATCCATGAGGATCTTCAGTCACCTCCTTAAATGCATTCCTCTCCCTCACTGGATGCTATTCTCTTCCTTGACCTGCTTAATTCCTACTGATCCTCCAGCTCTGAGGTCAAACGCCTTCCTAGAGGAAGCCTTCTTGTAACCCTAGACTGAATCAAATTTCTTTGGATACACTCTCATAGTACTGTGTTCCATAATGTTGTAGCACTTATAGGATTTTAATTAAACCCAAATATGTAATATTTGATTAAAATCCCTCTCCCCAACAAAATTTTAACTTCCAAGAAAAACTCATTATAAAACTCAAGAAAACTGACTATATGCAACTCTTCTTTCTCCTGGTTCTTCTTCCATCTCTCCCATACATGTAAACATGTCTGTCCTAAGATATGCTGCTCCTCCCTCTTTTGACTCCACACCCTTCAACCACAGGGATCACCTTAGCTCAGATAACTTCAAAGCCTCTTCCCTCAACCTCGATCTCTTTCCAAATATCCAGGTAGGCAAGACCAGTAGTTTTGTAACATTTTGACTGCAACCCAGTTAGAACATTCATTTGGCAACTTACTGCCTACAAGGATGCAAGAAACAAATTTCATGAAACAATACTGTCACTTGCTTTCCTATTAGCCTTCATTTAAAAATACTTTTTCATGTAATTTCAAGACCCAACAGTAGGTCACACCCTGCAGTTTAAAATACATCATACCAGATATTTACACATGGATATTTCTCTACAACCTCAAACATAATATGACTATTTCCCAACTCACTTCTCAACACAACTTCCTAAGGAATATATGATCATTCTCTTAGTCACTTAGGAACAACACATTGGAGTCATTTTGGATTCCTCCTTCTTGCCCAATCCAAGTAGTTGTTAAAACCTATTGGGATTCTTCCACTGCAATGTGTTGGCCCCCATCCCATCCCTTCCCTTCCCACCATCATAGTTCAGATATTACTGTAATTTGGAATACTGCAATAGCCTTTTAAACTGGTTCCCTACTTCCAGAATTTTCAAATAGAAGTGACTTATGTTTGAATCACAATTGTATCAGAGCAGAAAGCTTCAGTTCCATTTTGACCAACAAAGTAATGTGTAAGGGACTGAAATACATGTGACTTCATCCACTCAGCAAACCCCTTGAAAAATTAAATTTTAATTCAGGCTGCCTCACATTTCTAAAATTTCTATTACAATCCAGAAACCAAACTCTGGCTTGGTGGCAAGGGCAGGCAGACTCACCCATGTCAGCAGTAACCATGGTAGACTGGTTTTCGGGGATAGAGACAGAGGTCTGGTCTTGGTCCATGCTTCGAGAGTCCTCGTTGACCTCGTGTTGGCTCTGGCTGAGTTCTGATCGCAGTTCTGAGTACTCATCTTCCTCCCTGAGAAAAAAGGAGAATTGGCAACCACTAACAGAGGATATAAGACAACCCCCTAGAGAATATGTCTTTTAAGGACAAGAAAAAGACATTGAGAGAGAAAACAGATTTCTCCCCCAGGCCACAGGGACCAGGATTTCTCCCAGGCGAAATAGATAGTCACATCTATGCTCAGTGAGTGAAGCTGAAAGGTTGCCTCTGTGTCCACAAAACATACCCATGTACCAAACGAGATTCATCTATCAGCCTGCAGAAACTCTTCCCCTTTAAAGATTCCTGAAGAAACTAGATTTCTTCGCCTCCTCAAATTCCGAGGAGAATAAGAACTAAGGCTACTAGCACTGAGGCTGCTGTGAACCAAATAACTAAGAGTCTAGCGCACAGCAACAGCATGCCCTACAATCTGGAGGGGCCCACAGGGGCTTCCTTCTTGAAGGAGGCTGGAGGTTGGAGATGGGGTTAGAGCTATTGGGAAACCAGCACCTCATCTGTGCAGATCAAACTAGACTTTTTTGAAAGGTATATGGATCAGCATGTATAAGAAAGACTAGGCTAACTTCCCAAAGAAAGTAGGTAGAACTAGGGGGTAGGAAGAGAGGATGCAATGAGGAGAAAACAGAACACTGAATGAGAGAACACCATTCAATGGTCTATTTCCTTTAATTTACACTTGCTAACAGGAAGACAACATTTAAACCCCACTGTGTTTTATTTGTATACACACATCTACCTCTTCTCAGCCCTTCAGAGGTCCCTCAACCTCTGGTCTCTTCACTGTACTATTAGCAAGCTGAGAAACTTAGAATTGCAGTGTGTATTTCAGAGCACGTGTACTGTCCCCTTCCCACACCACCACCATCACCACACATACACTGGACACAGGTATGGAGACAGCAAAATGAACCGTCTTTGAAGGATCTATTTTGCAAGTGAACCAGTAGGGGGAACTGTCAGGGGATTTAACTGGGAGTGGAATGCCCACTTGGGTCTGCTCAGCTTCAAGGGCAGGTTGTCTGTGAAGAAAGCTAGGAATCAGAGAAATCTCAGCCTGGCATTCATTTTAAGTTGTCAACAACCAGAGGAGAAGAAAGTCTACAGTGTTGGATTCTGGGTGGACCAAAATGATGAGTGGCGATCATTAGGGTTTAGGGAGGCAAGCGGGAGACACATCTATAAATCAGAGAAATGTGAAGAACAGAAATCTTGGTTCTCTTAAGATATCAAATTTCTCCCAGGAAAGGGATTCAGCTGAGCCCGTGCTTTATAAGGTATTGTTAATAAAACCTACCCAGAAAACTGGGAAAGCTTTATGTAGATATAAAGCCCCATGACATGGAAAATATGAATTAGAGAGTGGTGAAGACAAAAAATACAGGCTAATGTTCTATGAATAAGTTAATTATTAGACATCTGCAAAAGTCAACAATAATTAGGTTTAGGAAAGAAAATGATTAAAAAGCACTCTTAAGTGCCTTTTTGGTCTACAGGATGATTGTGCACTGATAGATACATTAGCTCTCCTTTCAGTCAGCACTTAAAATTCTGATTTTAGTTAAGGGAGATTTTGTGTATGATGAATAAATTACCTTTGTTGCATGGCCAACGTAATCAGCTTTGGCTCAGCCGAGACTTTTTTGCAGCCAAGAAAGCAAGTGATAAATGCTGCTGCTGTTTCTTTGGTATAAATGGCATTTGTAAAATCTTTAATAGCCACCTTAAACCTGGCTTGGCAGATTCGAAAACATATATTTCCTGCCAAATCTCCTGCTTTGTACAAAATTACTTCTAGAGATTACTAGGATGAACTTTATAAAGCAGTGAATTGGGAAAGTATGGGAAAGGGAAGCTGTTATTGCAGAAACATTCCCTACTGAGGTCAGAGCACAGTCTGAAGGAGAACCATACCACATTAAGCAGTAGGTTTTCTGTGTCACAAAATGCAAACTAAAAATTCCCATTCAATGTATTTGAGCACCAAAACAAAGATAGGAACACAAAGACTGCACAGATTCTGTCTTCAAGGAGACAAAGATGTTCACAAGAAGGATGCTGTGGGTGAACACTGGTGGAATATCTGGGGCTGCCAGTGGGGAGTGACCAAAGAAGACCTCCTGGGTGGAGCAGCGCTCAAGATCAGTTAGGACCTAATTTCAGTTACGTCACAAGTGTGGAATAGCACAGGCAAAGGCTCAGAGGAGCTGGGAACGTGCAGAACTTGGAGGGGAGCAAGTGGTTCACTATGACTGAAACCAAAATATGGCACAGGATGGAAACATGAGGCTGGAGAGGCACTCATACTACTTGTTGACTAGGCAGTGTGAGCAAAAGGAAAATATATTGCACCGGAGGATGCAAATAATCAGGGTTAGATGGAAGAAATAAAAATACAATGTGGAAAGTCTAGGAATTCAGAGGAAGGAGTAAATGTTGCCAAGATCTTGTGTGGAAACAGATAAAATGAGAAGAAGAGAAATGCATTCCAGCTATGGTAATCATTATAAGTATTCTAGAACAAAAACGACACATGGCAACAAAGTAAATAGTCATCAGAGGTGGAAAGCTACCTTGCGAGAACAGGGAAGATTTTGTGCCACAAAGAGTGAGGTATAAAAATGTTAAACTGAGCTTAAATATTAGAAAGTTCATGCACCCTGTTGTGTCTCCCACTGACTTTGGTAAAAAAATCATGGAGCTGCATATCCTTATCTCTCATTGGCATCATTCCTGAAAGGGGGCTGGAACCTGGGACCGGGAAATGACAAAAGCAATTCTCAGAGGGTCCTCTGTAAACTAACTCGATTTATGATTGCAGTATGCGTGGCAGACTGCATCAGGAGTATTGTTCCATCAAGAGCTATGGAGTAAGTAAAAAACACCAAGAGTCCCTGGCAGTTTTATAAAGACAAGATTTTGAGTTGTGCTTCTGCAGTGGCTCTGCACAGCCTAGAGGATGCCTGGTGAGGCTAATGACACAGCACAACAGCATCTCAAGATGACTTCTGTTTGTTGTATATACAGGCATTCTTCTCAAGCAATAACTTATTTCTTTGGGGAAAAAATGCCTCCCAAAAAAACACCAACTGCTATTGCTGGTGATGAAGAAGAGGAAAATGTAAAAACATGGAAAAAAAGTGTCCATTTAAAACCAGAAAAATAGCACCTCTGATAAACTGATAAATGTTGAAAGTGACACTCTGTAGTGGTAGGTTTATAATAATGGAATGACAAAGTTCTCAGGTGTTTCTCCTTGGAACATAAAGGGTCAACTCACAGGATTCCAAATGCATATTCTTTCATTCATGTAGAAGCATCTGCGAAGTGCTTCCAAGTTGCTTTAAGAGATGCAACCATTAATGTTTGCTCCTAGCTTAAACAACAACATAACAAATGTTCCTCAGGAGACAGGCATTAGATTGTACACTTGCCTATGTAATGACCAGCAGTGGCAGAAAAATCACAGGCTGGCAGACTGGAAGGGATTTTAAAGACTGTTTTAGCCAGGACCACTACCTTTATTTTACAAACAAGATAAATGGGGCTTCGAGAGGCAACTTACCTAAGATTATGCAACCACTAGCACAGCCTAATTCCTAAATTTCATACCAATGAGACAATATGTACTTGACCTTTGAACAACATGTATTTGAGCTGCATGAATCCATTTATATGCAAATTTTCTTTCCATAAATATATTTGACAATTTTCTGGAAATTTGTGACAACTTGAAAAAAACTCAGATGAATCGTATAGCCTAGAAATACAAAAACAAACTTTTTTTAAGGTATGTCATAAATGCATGAAATATATACATTAGGTTGATGCAAAAGTAATTGCAGTTTTGCTTTTGAAAGTAATGGAAAAAACCGCAACTGCTTTCACACAACCTAATAGATACTAGTCTATGTGTTAATTGACTGCTTATGTTATCCGTAAGGCTTCAAGTCAACAGTAGACTATTAGTAGTTAAGTTTTTGGTGAGTCATGAGCTATGTGTGGATTTTTAACTGCACAGTGTAGGGGTTGGTGCCACTATCCCTCATATTGTTGGGGTTTTTTAAACTCTTATTTTAGGTTCATGAGTACATGTGAGGGTTTGTTACGCAGGTAAACTCGTGTCTTGGGGGGTTTGTTGTACAGATTATTTCATCACCCAGCCCAATACCCAATGGTTATATTTTCTGTTCCTCTCCCTCCTCCCACCATCCACCCGCAAGTAGGCCCCAATGTCTGTTGTTCCCCTCTTTGTGTCCATTTGTTATCATTTAGCTCCCACACACAGTATTCAGTTTTCTACTCCTGCATTAGTTTGCTAAGGTTAATAGCCTCTGGCTCCATCCATCTTCCCACAAGACATGAGCTTGTATTTTTTATGGCTGCATAGTATTCCATGGTATATACGTACCACATTTTCTTTATCTAATCTGTCACTGATGGGCATTTAGGTTGATTCCATGTCTTTGCTATTGTGAACAGTGCTGCAATGAACGTTTGCATGCATGTGTCTTTATAGTAGAATGCTTTATGTTCCTCTTGGTATATACCCAGTAATGTGATTGCCGGGCTGAATGCTAGTTCTGCTTTTAGCTCTTTGAGGAATTGCCATACTGTTTCCCACAATGACTGAACTCATTTACACTCCCACCAACAGTGTGTAAGTATTCCCTTTTCTCTGCAACCTCACCAGCATCTGTTATTTTTTGACTTTTTAATAGTAGCCATTCTGACTGGTGTGAGATGGTGTGTCACTGTGGTTTTGATTTCCATTTCTCTAATGAGCAGCAATATTGAGCTTTTTTTCATATGCTTGTTGGCTGCATGTATATCTTTTGAAAAATGTCTGTTCATGTCCTTTGCCCGCCTTTTAATGGGGTTGTTTTTCTCTTGTAAATTTGTTTAAGTTCCTTATAGATGCTGGAAAGACCTTTGTTTGATGCATAGTTTGCAAATATTTTCTCCCATTGTGTAAGTTGTCTGTTTACTCTGTTGATAGTTTCTTTTGCTATGCAGAAGCTCTTAAGCTTCATTAGAACCCATTTGTCAATTTTTGCTTTGTTGCTATTGCTTTTGGTGTCTTTGTCATGAAATCCTTGCCCTTGCCTCCATGCAGAATGAAATTGCCTAGGTTGTCTCCCATAATCCTCACATTGTTTGAGGGTCAACTGTAATGTCATGACTGAAGGAAAAGATATTTCATTGTTTATTAAAGATTCCTTCTCATTATTGGTTAGGGGTAAAATAATTTAATCAGAAGAGGGAAAAGTCAATGGAAGTATAATTCTTACTATGCTATCTAGACTTCAAGCTGAAAGTACTATGGAGTCAACAGCATTTGATAGACTGTCATGTCACTAACTATCCACATTATCTATCTCATTTTGGGTGCACATTCATGCCTTCCATTGGATTGGAATGATTTGTGGAGAAGAGCCAGATGGTCATCTGCCTGCTTTGACAGCTGTCAAGCTGTCAGTCAGCTGTGGCCAACTAATCCACCCTACTTGACCTGGTGTTTTTTGGGCGAACTGCATTCTTTCTTAAATTAAGAGTAGACTTGCCTTTAAATGGCTGGCTTTCTTTTAAAGAACAAAGTTTTTTGTTTTTTGTTTTAAAGCTATTGGAAGGAAATGTATTCCTTTTAGTTCTCTGAAAGAATCTATTACATACAGGAAATAAGTGATGAATAAAGTCCTCGTTCTTTCTTCAATACTATCTCCTCTTATTTTTTCAGATAGCATAGAGAAGATCAGACTCATCTATGAATCTTTTGGTGAATAATTGAACAAATGGGATTTTGAAATGCTCTCCTATGAATATAACAATCCATTTTTGTCTTAACAAGAGCTCATATAAGATCCATATTCAAGAACTTCCAAATATTAAAAAAGAGATTGATACAGACCACACAGGAAAACAGGGAGAGAGAAACACTCTTCTTTCTGGGTTTTATTTTTATTTCATTGCATTATACTTTTTAGACTGTAAATTAATCAGAACAACATGTTTTGCTGGCAGACAAGGAGGTTTTGGTTACAGTTTTTGAAATGCAACAACATGAAGATGAACAGATGCCTGTGTGTTTTGTTGGCTGCATGTATACCAAGATGTACGTGATACCAACAACACACAGGTAACTGTGTGCCCAAAGATCAGGAGAAACATCAAGCTCCTAGTGCAGGCCTGAAATCTTAGTGGTCAGATTATATTACAGTAGATAGAGACTCTGGGATGTTTTCTCTCTCTGTCCTCAAATGAGGGGGCATTTTGTAGCAGACCCAGTAAGCAGAAGGGTTGAGTGCCAATCCTGAGATCACAGAGATAGGAGGGGTCTGTGCCTTGGGGCTGCTGCTGTATGAGGTTAAAGGTGTGAGAGAGAGAGTTTAGGATAGGAGCCCAGGCTGAGGACAAACTTGGTGGAGGGAAGAGAAGATCAACTGTCTGCAGGGTCCTAGAGGTTTAAGAAGAGTGCCGTCAGGAAGGAAAGAGGGCCTAGGGTCAAATGCCATAGAAAGAGACCAATGACAAAAAAAGTCACTGGATTTTTCATTTAAGAAATCATTGGTGATTTTCAAGAAAGGTGTTTCAGTCAGCTCAGGCTGCCATGAAAAGATACCATAGACAGGGTGGCTTAAACAACAGAAATTTATTTTCTCACAGTTCTGGAGCCTAGATCCTCCAAGATCAAGGTCCAGCATGGCTGCTTTCTGGTGAGGGCTCTTCCTGGCTTCCAGATGGCTGACTTTTCCCTGTGTCCCCATATGGCTGGGAGGAAGAGAATATACATGCAAGCCGTCTTATGTCTCTTCTTAAAAGGCAATACACCAAAAAACAACCCCATCAAAAAGTGGGCAAAGGATATGAACAGACACTTTTCAAAAGAAGACATTTATGCAGCCAACAAACATTTGAAAGAAAGCTCATCATCACTGGTCATTAAAGAAATGCAAATCAAAAACACAACAAGATACTATCTCACACCAGTTAGAATGGCGATCATTAAAAAGGCAGGAAACAACAGATGCTGGAGAGGATGTGGAGAAATAGGAACACTTTTACACTGTTGGTGGGAGTCTAAATTACTTCAACCATTGTGGAAGACAGTGTGCCAATTCCTCAAGGATCTAGAACCAGAAATACCATTTGACCCAGCAATCCCATTACTGGGTATATACCCAAAGGATTATAAATCATTCTGCTATAAAGACACATGCACATGTATGTTTATTGTGGCACTATTCAGAATAGCAAACACTTAGAACCAACCCAAATGCCCATCAAGGATAGACTGGATAAAAAAAATGTGGCACATATATACCATGGAATACTATGCATCCATAAAAAAGAATTGAGTTCATGTCCTTTGCAGGGACATGGATGAAGCTGGAAACCATCATTCTCAGCAAACTAATACAGGAACAGAAAACCAAGCACCACATGTTCTCACTTATAAGTGGAAGTTAAACAATGAGAACATATGGGCACAGGGAGGGGAACATCACACACTGGGGCCTGTCTGGGGATGGGGGCAAGGTGAAAGACAGCATTAGGAGAAATACCTAATGTAGATAATGGGTCCAGCAAACCACCATGGCACATGTATACCTATGTAACAAACCTGCACGTTCTGCAGATGTATCCCAGAACTTAGGTATAATTAAAAAAAATGAAAAAAAGGCAATATACCTTCTTGAGAGCCTGCTATGGTTTGAATGATTGTCCCCTCCAACTCTCATGTAGAAATTTCACCCCCAATATTGGAGATGGAGTCTAGTGGGAGGTGTCTGGGTCATGGGAGTGGATCCCTCAAGAGATTATTGCCCTTCCTTGTGGGTGAGTGAGTTCTCACTCTATTAGTTCCTTGGAGAGCGAGTTGTTGAAAGAGCCTGGCACATCATCCCTCTCAGGCCATGTGATCTCTGCACAGCCGGCTCCCCTTCCCCTTCTGCCATGAGTAGAAGCAGCCTGAAGCCCTCACCAGAAGCAGATGCCAGTGCCATGCTTCTTGTACAGCCTGCAGAACTGTGAGCCAAATAAACCTCTTCTATTTATAAATTACCCAGCCTCAGATTCCTTTCTAGTAACACAAAGGGACTAAGACAGGGCCCCACTCTTCTGACTTCATCTAACCCTGATTCTCTCCCAAAGGCCTCATCTCCAAATACCATCACAATAGGGGCTAGGGCTTCAATATATGAATTTGGGTAGGGGGAACCACAGTTCAGTTCATAGCAAGAGGGTTTTGGTAAACTGTTGGAGTCAGATGCCACACAGCAGCAGTGAGCTAACGAGCAAAGGGGAGATGAAGCAGAGAACATGAACAACTCATGAGACTTGGTAGTGAGAGGCTGATGTTATGAGAGTAGCTTATAGAAAAGAAAATAACCTCCTTGGGAAAGAAAAGATCTCATGTTTAATTTGCTTAGAAATCCTTTTTTATTTTCTTTTCACATCCAGTGAGCTACTGATATATTTTTCCATTTCCCCCATCCCACTATATAATCTCCCCAAGTCAGGTGAACATTTAAAAAAAGCCACCCATAACAGTTAAGAGAAAGAGCACATATTACAAAACAGTGCGTGTTATATGATCAGATTTGTTTAAAATATTCATGAATACAATTTTTCAGAAGGCCTTATGTATAAAGTGTTTAGTGTTTAATCCTAGGAGATAGGATTTAGGATACATTAGGCAGGGTTCAGTTAGGAAAACAAACTGCACTGCATGTTTCAAGTAGAAAGGATTTAACTTAGTTCCATGCCTGCAAAATTGCTGAAAGGGCTGCAGAAAAGAGAGGTGAGTAAAGGCCACCAAGAGCTGTCAGATTTGCCATCGTGGCTGTGATCCCCTCAGAGATCAGGAACTGCTACTGACTTTGCACCACCACAGCCTGAGGGAGAAAGGTTCCCACCTCCCTCTGCCTTCCAAACCCATGTGAGTGCATTTCATCGGCAGAGTTAAAACTCTATCCAGAACCCAGCTGGTAAGAGAATCTGAGAGGTAGTTCCCAGGCCCTCTTTGATTCTGGGGAGAATAGAGGGGTGGGAATGGTATCAAGTGCCAGACAACAGCTATCATAGTCTCCACCCTCTTTAGCTACTCAGTGACCAACCATATGCACCCTCTTATCCATACCACAATTTCTAAATCGCAATAGCAATGATACTAACCTTCTCTGTAGTCATTCCTTGATTCAATTTAAATAGGTTCAACTTTTGAAAATGAGAGATCCAAAGTACCATGATTTATAGTGTGGGATATAAGCGTTTTTTTAAATAACGATTAATTTTTTATTTTCTAATTTATAATTTTTTTCTTTTGAGTTTTCTATTAACTGGAACTTTACAAGGATTCAATTTCCTTAAAATTTTAAACATTATTCCTAACAATAGTATTGTAAAGTGATCTTCATTCTTCCAGTTCAATGACAAACCCACCTAGATATCATGTAACCTACCTATTAAATTATGAGTTTCACCAGTACCAACTCACCCTATATGAAATAATAGGAGAAAATAAGAGGAAAAAGAAAAGTGCATATGTGTGTGTGTGTGTATATATATACATACATATATATATACATACATACATATATATATACACACATACATATATATATATATATACACACACACACACACACACACACACACACACACATACATATATATATACAAGCAAGAAAATATGCACAGCCTAGCCATCTTTTCTGCAACTGGTCATGAGGCTATAGCTGATATTTATAACTTCCCTCCACTGGGAAATCCATATTTTATTTGTTTGGCTAGCATCTCAGCTGGTTAGAATTAGTTCTTTACTTAATGAAGTAATCCAAAATCTTTATTCCTCAAGGGCCTAGCCCTTAGTGGACTGACTTGTATTTGGCCTGACTTGTATTGGGTTGTTCTAATCTGCTAACTTTTACCACTGGATAATTACTGGAAGGTATCCTAGGGATTCCCATGTGTTTCAGACATAGTACTCAGTGTCCCAATTTCCTCTTGATAGTTACTCCAGCCAGTAGAGTAACTCCCTTCTTTGCTTGTTGGCTCAGTGGCATGGGGTGTCCCAAAGGGCTAAACAGGTGGCAGTCAATGGAATCATTTTTGTATTCTCTGATGGAGAACTCCCTAAGATTTCAAACTAGCAGAGCTCAAAGTTGCAAAAATAAGAATCTATAACTTTCTTTTTTTTTTGTTTTTACTGATACCGGATAGATACGTATTTTCAGGGTACCTGTGACATTTTCATACATTTATAATGTGTAATAATCAAGTCAGGATAACTGGGATATCCATCACCTTCAACATGTATCTTTTCTTTATGCTGGGAACATTCAAATTATTCTCTAGTAGCTACTTTGAATTATAAAATATTATAGTCACTCTATTGAATTATCAAACACTAGGTCTTACTTCTTCTATCTACCTATATTTTTGTACCCATTATTCAACCTCTCTTCATCCCCCTCTCCTCCCTACCCTTCCCAGCCTCTAATAACCACCAAAATACTCTCTATCTTCATGAGATCCACTTCCTTAGCTCCCACATGAGTAAGAACATGCGATATTTGTCTTTTTGTGCTTTCTGGCTTTTTTCATGTAACATAGCAACCTCCAGTTCCATTCATGTTGCTGTGACAGGATTTCATTCTTTTTTTTTTTATAGCTGATAATATTCTATTGTGTGTATCTTCATCTATTCATCTGTTGATAGGCACTGATATTGATTTCAAATTTTGGCCATTGTGAAGTGCTGCAATAAACAAGAGAATGCAGGTATCTCTTCAATATATTGATGTCTTTTCTTTTGGATATATACCCAGTAAGGGAATTACTGGATCATATGGTAGTTCTATTTTGAGTTTTTTGAGGAATTTTCATACTGTCTTACATAGCAGTTGTAGTAATTTACATTTCTGCCAAGAGTGTATGAGACTTCCTCTTTCTTACATATCCTTGCCAGCATCCATTATTCCCTATGCTTTGGTAGAAGCCATTTTAACTGGGGAGAGAGAATATCTCATTGTGATTTTGAATACTTTTTCATTTACCTGTTGGCCATTTGTACGTCTTCTTTTGAGCAATGTCTATTCAGATCTTTCGCTAATCTTTTGCTAAAAAAAATCAGATTTGTTTTTTGTGCTACTGAGTTCCTTATATTCCTTGCCAATGGACAGTGTGCAAATATTGTCTCCCATTCTGTAGTTTGTCTTTTCACTTTCATTATTTCCATTGCTGTGTGGAAGCTTTTTAGTTTGATGTAATCCCATTTGTATAGTTTTGCTATCATTGCCTATGCTTTTGAGGTCTTACTAAAAATTCTTTGCCCAGACTCAATGTCCTAGTGCATTTCCTTAATGTTTTCTCTGAGTAGTTTGATAGTTCAGGTCTTATGTCTAGGTTTTAATCTGCTCTGATTTTTGTATATGGCGAGAGATTGGTGTCTGGTTTCATTCTTCTGCATATGGATATCCACTTTTCCCAGCACCATTTATTGAAGAGACTGTTCTTTCCCCCATTGTATGTTCTTGGTACCTCTGTCAAAAATGAGATGACTGTAGATGAGTAGATTTATTTCTGGATTCTCTATTATGTTTCATTGCTCTATGTGTCTGCTTTTGTGCCAGTACTATGCTGTTTTGGTTGCCACAGCTTTGTAGCATAATTTGAACTCAAGTAGTGTGATCCCTCCAGCTTTGTTCTTTTTGCTCAGGATTGGCTTTGGCTATTTGGGCTTTTTTTTTTTTTTTTTTTTTTTGTAGTTCTATAAACATTGTAGGATTTTTTTTTTCTTCTATTTCTGTGAAGCATGACATTGGTATTTTGATAGGGATTACATTGACTCTATAGATCACTTTGGGTAGTATTAACATTTTAACCCATTTGTGCTGGAGCCTGAAATTTTTTTGTGTGTGAAAAATCAGACGTTGGTGATGACCTTGAGCAGTAGGATATAAATAACTCCCACAAGCTTAGCGTTCCAGTAATGGAACACTAGGCATAAATAGATTAACAATATTAATTCTTCCAATCCATAAGCATGGGGATCTTTCCACTTGTTTGCATCCTCTCCAGTTTCTTTAGAGAGAATTTTGTAATTTTCCTTGTAGAGAACTTTTACTTCTTTTTTTTTTTTTTTTAAACAGAGTCTCGCTCTGTCTCCCAGCCTGGAGTGCAGTGGCCCGATCTCAGCTCACTACAACCTCCGCCTCCCGGGTTCAAGCAATTCTCCTGCCTCAGCCTCCTGAGTAGCTGACTACAGGCGTCTGCCACCACACCTGGCTAATTTTTGTATTTTTAGTGGAGACGGGGTTTCACCATATTGCCCAGGCTGGTCTTGAACTCCTGACCTTATGATCCGCCCACCTCGGCCTCCCAAGTTGCTGGGATTACAGGCGTGAGCCACTGTGCCCAGTCGGTCTTTTACTTCTTTGGTTAAATTTATTCTTAGGGGCCGGGCACAGTGGCTCACACCTGTAATCCCAGCACTTTGGGAGGCCGAGGCGGGTGGATCACAAGGTCAGGAGATCGAGACCAGCCTGGCTAACGTGGTGAAACACCGTCTCTACTAAAAATACAAAAAAAAAAATTAGCCGGGTGTGGTGGTGGGAGCCTGTAGTCCCAGCTACTCGGGAGGCTGAGGCAGGAGAATGGCGTGAACCTGGGAGGTGGAGCTTGAAGTGAACCGAGATCGTGCCACTGCACTCCAGCCTGGGTGACAGAGTGAGACTCTGTCTCAAAAAAAAAAAAAAAAAAAATTATTCTTAGGTATTTTATAATTTTTGTAGCTATTGTAAATAGGATTGCTTTCTTGATTTTGTGTTCAGATTCTTCACTGTTGGCATATATAAATGCTATTAAAACCCACCTAGATACGTAACCTACCTACTAAATTATGAGTTTCACCAATACCAACTCATCCTATATAAAATGATAGGAGAGGCTGGACGTGGTGGCTCACACCTGTAATCCCAGCACTTTGGGAGGCCAAGGTGAGCAGATCACCTGAGGCCAGGAGTTCGAGAACATCCTGGCCAATATGGTGAAACCCCATCTCTACTAAAAACACAAAAAAGTAGGCGGGCATGGTGGTGCATACCTGTAATCCTAGCTACTCAGGAGGGGGAGGCACGAGAATCACTTGAACTCAGGAGGCAGAGGTTGCAGTGAGCCCAGATTGCGCCACTGCACTCCAGCCCAGGCAACAAAGCAACACTCTGTCTCAAAAATAAATAAATAAATAAAAATTAAGTAGGAGAAAGTAAGAGGAAAAAGGGACATGCATATATACATAAAAGCAAGAATATATGCATAGCGTAGCCATTGCTTCTGATTACAGGCTATAGCTGGTTACAGGCTACAGTTGATATTTACTCCTTCCTTCTCCTACTAGGAAATCCTTATTTTCTTTAGCTAGCATCTCAGCTGGTTAGAATTCTTTATTTAATGAAGTAATCAACAATCTCTACTCCTGAAGAAGTCTGCTTTTAGACCTAGTGATGTAAACAGAGATCTGAAATAAGAAAATATAAATAAAAATAGACCTACTGATGGTACAGCTCATGGGTGCAAGACATCTTCTGATAAGATTCATACATGCATTGATATTCCTATAGGTAGAATTACTTGGTTGAGGACTTTGAGTAATCGTAGCTCTCCTGGTTTAGGAGCTGCTGTAAGAATTATATAAGAATCAAAATTTATTTATTTATTTATTTTTTACCTGCTAGGAGTGCAAGCAAGGAATCAAAATTTAAACCTTTTTAGATCTAAAATTTAGATTTTTGTAGCTATTGTAAATGGAATTGACTTATTTGATTCTCTGATTGTTATTGGTGCATAGAGATGCTAAAATGATTTTAACGTGTTGATTTTGTATCCTGTAACTTTACTGAATGTATCAGTTCTAGAAGTTTTTTGTTGGAGTATTTAGGGGTTTCTATATATAAGATCATATCATCTGTGAACAGGATAATTCTGCGAACAAGGTGAATTTGACTTCTTCCTTTCCAATTTGGATGCCCTTTATTTCTTTCTTTCCTAATTGCTCTAGCCAGGACTTCCTGTTTTACGTTGGGTAACAGTGATGAAAGTGGGCATCCCTGTCTTATTCCAGTCTTTAGAGGAAAGGCCTTCAGTTTTTCCCCCTTCACTATGATATTAGCCATGGGTTTGTCATAGGTTGCCTTTATTTTGAGATATGTGTATTAGTCTGTTCTCACACTGCTATAAAGAACTTCCCTGAGACTGGGTAACTTATAAAGGAAAGAGGTTTAATTGATTCACAGTTCAGCATGGCTGGAGAGGCCTCAGAAAACTTATAATCATGGTGGAAGGGGAAGCAGGCACCTTCTCAAGGCAGCAGGATAGAGTGTAAGCATGTGCAGGAGGAACTGTCAACCACATAGAAAACCATCAGATCTTGTCAGAATTCGTTCTTATGCTATCATAAGAATAGAATGGAAGAAACCAGTCACCTCCCTCCCTCAATATGTGGGTATTACAATTCAAGATGAGATTTGGGTGGGACACAGAGCCAAACCATATCAATATGTTCCTTTTGTATCCATTTTAGGGTTTTTATCATAAAGGGATGGTTATCAAATGCTTTTCTGTCATCTACTGAAATCATCATGTTTTTTCCTTGATTCTGTTAATGTGGTATATTGTGTTTATTTATTTGCATATGTTGAATGGTATTTGCATCCCTATGGTGAATCCCACTCGATCATGGTGAATGACCTTTTTATTGTGCTGTTGCATTTGGTTTGCTAGTATTTTGTTGAGGATTTTTACCTCTATTTTCATTAGTGATATTAGCCTGAAACTGGTGCTTTTGTTGTTGTTGTTGTTATGCCCCTGTCTGCGTTTGGTATCAGGGTAACAGAAGCAACAACTTTTTAAGTGGATTTTTAGGTGTATTCATAAGAAGGGCCACTTCCATTCTCTCAATCCACAAAACACAGCACCATATACTGTTGCTAGTTCGGAGCATTTACCACATCTCTAGGGCATTGAAAAAGGTTACCTCTCAGATGGTGCCATCACTAGGTCCACTATGATTTGGATTGAGTCCATAATGCGACTTACCACCTGACTTTCAGCAACCTGCATTGTCTGATTCTTGGCTACATTACCCTGTAGCTATAAGGGATGGGAGAGTCTTCTAGGGTAGTCACAGAAGGTCCCAGGCACTAAATTGCGTCCCAAAATTCTTTTTTTTTTTTTCTCTGTTACCCAGGCTGGAGTGCAGTGGTGCGACCTTGGCTCACTGCAACCTCCACCTCCTGGGTTCAAGTGATTCTCCTGCCTCAGCCTCCCAAGTAGTTGGGACTATAGGCACGCACCACCACGCCCAGCTAACTTTTGTATTTTTTGGTAGAGAGGGGTGTGTTGGCTAGGCTGATCTCAAACTCCTGTCCTCAAGTGATCTGCCTGCCTCAGCCTCCCAAAGTGCTGGGATTATAGGCATGAGCCACCACGCCTGGCCCACGCCAAAATTCTTATGTTGAAGCCTTAACATCCAATGTGATGGTGTTTGGAGACAGGGCCTTTGGGAGGTAATTAGGTTTAGATGAGGTCATGAGGGTGGGGTCCTCATGATGGGACTGGTGCCCTCATATGAAGATACAGCAGAGAGCTTGCTTCCTCTTTCTCTCTTCCCTCCATGTGAGGACACAGTGAGAAGGTGGCCATCTGCAAGCCAGGAACAGAGCCTCAATGGGGAAATAATTAGCTTGTGTCTTAATCTTAGACTTCCCAGCCCCCAGAACTGTGAGAAATACATTTCTGTTGTGTGAGCCACCTTGTCTATGATATTGTGTTATGGCAGCCCAAGCTGACTGATATGCCTTCCTAAGTCCCTGCTCTGACTTGTGAACCACAAATATTTTGAAGCTCCATGGGTTATCATCAGTTTAGATTCAATGTCTAGTAATCTACCTAAGAATATGGTTCTCTCTTTTCCCCACTGCACACTCTCCCTTATAAGTACCTGCCATTCTCTTTGAAGGGGTAAAAGGAAAGTTTACTGTACTCACTTGTGGCATGATTGATACATCTTCCCCTTCATCCAGGGGACTCTGGTTCTATAACTGGCCTGTTATCCAGGTAAGGGAATTGGATGAGGCCATGATTATTCATTGTGATGACAAGTAAAGTCTCTGTTCACCAGACCAGAGTTTGACTATAATGATCTAGTAAAACTTTAGTAGGCTGCCCATTTATATCAGTTCTAGAGATCTCAAGCTTAGCCACTACAACTATCCCTAGCAGGTCAAACTTTTTTGATTACTATTGTGCCCTTGTTGACCAATATAGTAACCAAGCCCACTTCGACTCTGTTTGTTCAGTGGTACCAAGGACCCCATTTTAAGGACATTATCTCCCAGTCAACATCGCTGATTCCTCAGGCTTCTAAACTTTTTCTAGATTATACTAGCAAAGTTCTGGCATTTCAACATAATTTAATGCAGAGTCCTTTGTTGAGCCTAGTTTTCAGTTATTCAAACTGGTGAATACTAGTTTGATTAGTATAACATAGTAACATACTCAATCCAGAATCTCTTACAGGAAAAGTCCTATCAATAAAGTCGTCATCGGTCCAACTGAGTTCCTCCCTCCCTGGTCTAGAACCCTTAGTTCCTAATCTCACACATGAATTAATATGAACATATGAAAAAAAGCTCATCATCACTGGTCATTAGAGAAATGCAAATCAAAAACACAACAAAATACCATCTCACACCAGTTAGAATGGCGATCATTAAAAAGTCAGGAAACAACAGATGCTGGAGAGGATGTGGAGAAACAGTAATGCTTTTACACTGTTGGTGGGAGTGTAAATTAGTTCAACCATTGTGGAAGACAGTGTGGTGATTCCTCAAAGATCTAGAACTAGACATACCATTTGACCTAGCAATCCCATTACTGGGTATATACCCAAAGGATTATAAATCATTCTACTATAAAGACACATGCAACCTTCACCTCCCAGGTTCAAGCGATTCTCCTGCCTCAGCCTCCTGAGTAGTTGGGACTATAGGTGTGCACCACCATACAAAGACACCAAAAGCAACAGCAAAAAAGCAAAAATTGACAAGTGGGATCTAATGAAGCTTAAGAGCTTCTGCATAGCAAAAGAAACTATCAACAGAGTAAACAGACAACTTACAGAATGGGAGAAAATATTTGCAAACTATGCATCAAAGGTCTATCCAGCATCTCTAAGGAACATACAATAAAACTTCCCCGAGTTTTATTAAATGTAAATTAATGGAATCTTACAAAT